>NC_000014.9:30823834-31126864 GCF_000001405.40 Homo sapiens
CACAGCAAGACTGCATCTCAAAAAAAAATTTTTTTAAGAATATTTAAAAGAAATACTTTTAAAGCATATTCATTAATTTCTTCATTCAGCAAACTTCATTCAGCACCTACTCTGTGCCAGTCACTGTTTGAGAAGCTGGGAATATATTCAAAATAGAATAAAATTCCCACTGTCATTGAGTTTGCTGTCCATAATATTAGGCAGAATATAAAATCAACTCCTGTTAGTTGCAGTTAGATAAAAATGGGTAAGCCAATAGACAGAATCAGAAGAGAATATGTTAAACTTAAAATAGTAGCTGGGTATGTCGAGAAGGTTACAGACTATTTCTTTCTTTATTCAATATAAAGTGCATGAGTTCATAATGAAATGACATAAAAATTAAAGATAAACAACTCATCATTCACCTGTGAAGACTACTAGTGTACTAACTCATTATTCTGAAAATTGATAAATAAGTAGAATAACCATATAATTTGTTGTCCCAAATGGAACATTTTAACGAGTAATATTCAATTCAAAGTTCACACATTACATTTGGTTGATGTATCTCTTAATTTTCTTTTAACCTATAACTTCACAAACCATAAGTATAAATTAAATAAGTTTAACGTATAACTTTATGCTAACATCACCTGTCACCTGGACTATCACAACTGCCTTCACTCTTGACTCCTAGAACTCATTTACCACTCTGCATCAAGAATCATCTTTGTAAAAAGTATATATCAGAGGAATTAACTGGAGGATAACGGTGGTAACCTGAATTCAAATCTCCATACACATCCCAAAAAAATAAATAATAGCAACAAGGAGTACAAATAAAACAAAATGTTACACATGCCACCGAAATCACAATCAACCAGAGTATAGCGGGAATTTCAAACTACCTGAAAGTAGAGAAATGAAACTTGAAGTCCCACCACCAACGCAAGCCTGTGGATGTACAGAACAGTGACACGGGAGGCCTAAGTCATTCTAAAGAGAAGAGAAGACAGGTTAGGATTTAAAACATAAACAAAACTACCTGCAGAAAAAGAAAGCACAACATATGTGATAAAATACCACACACAGGTCCATGACTTGGTAGCTCATGGCACCCAGTAGAGGGAAAGAGCTTGAAAGTAAGTAGAACGGAGGAGGCAGAAGAGGAAATACTACATCTGTGAGACAAAGAGATATGAGGGAGAACAGCCCCTTGGAGAGTGGCAGTGAAGGAAAATAAGGAAGTCGATGGCAAAAAATTAAAGATGCTGCAGAAAAAGAACAGAAACAAGACATGGCAAGACGCCCACCCCGGCTCCCGCCGACAACTACCACTACCACAATCACCATCTTACTTGGAAGAAAAATAATGTATTTTACTAAAATGAGAGAAGAGCATGCTCACGAACCAGAAACTCTGTCCAAAAAATGCCCTGGAATAAAAATAAAATCAAACAAATTCCATACAAAGTTATCGTAAGGAAAAAAAAATAGAACATATATAATCAAAACGTTTCAGCCAGGCACAGTGGCTCATGCCTTTAATCCCAGTACTTAGGGAGGCCGAGGCCAGCAGATTACCTGAGGTCAGGAGTTCAAGACCAGCCTGGCCAACATGGTGTTGTGGTGGGCGCCTGTAATCCCAGCTACTCAGGAGGCTGAGGCAGGAGAATCACTTGAACCTGGGAGGTGGAGGTTGCAGTGAGCCAATATCACCCCACTACACCCCAGCCTGGGTGACAGAACAGGACTCTGTCTCAAAAAAGAAAACAGACAAAAAAACAAAATGTTTCAACTGGTGAGAATTACTCTAAAAATGCCAACCACAAAACACAATACATTCAAACTGGTTTAAATAATGTCAAACAACATTTGGAGATATTAAAAAGTCTAGAATCATAAATTTAAAACAAATAACATAAATAGGCCCAGGAAAATCTATGAGATCTATGCAAGGGGAAAATGCAATGAGAGTAGATTGGACCAAAAAAGAAAATCCAAGAAAAAGACAAAATTATCTCAGAAAGGAGGAATAAATTGCAAGGTGCCCAAGGGAAAATATATTTGGATGAAAATTTAATAAGAAAAAAAACAAGAACAAAAATATAAGATAGGCCAGGCATTGTGGCTCATGCTTGTAATTCCAGTATTCTGGGAGTCCAAGGCAGGAAGATCACTTGAGCTCAGGGGTTCAAGGCAAGCCTGGGAAAAGTAGTGAGACCCCATCTCTATAAAAAATTTAAAAAATTACCCAGGCATGGATGCATGTGCCTATTGTCCCAGTTCCTTGGGAGGCTGAAGCAGAAGAGTCACTTGAGCCCAGGAGATTGAGGCTGCAGTGAGTGGTGATCATACCACCGCACTCCAGCCTGGAGGATAGAGTGACACTCTGTCTCAAAACTCATAATAATAAGATAAAGAAAGAAGCAAAAAAGCATCAGAGAGTAGAAAGTGATCAAAATTGAAGACATGCAAAGAAGGCTCAACATATGTATAACTGGAACTCTTGACAAAGGAAAACAATACAATGAGGCAGAACTAATATTTAACACTACAATCCAAGAAAACTTTCTGGAAATAAAAGAAAAGCCTGTAATACTAGCACTTTGGTAGGCCAAGATGGGAGGATTGCTTGATGCCAAGAGTTCAAGACCAACCTGGTCAACATAGCGAGACTCTATCTCTATAAAAAATAAAAAGAAAATAAATAAAAATAAAATTATACATTAAAAGGGCCCATATTTACCTGAAAATATTGACCTAAAATGATCAACTCTAAGATATATGTTAATACAACTATTAGAATAAAAGATCGAATTGCTAATAGGCATAAGAAAATTAGATTGGCATTAGTCTCCACAAAAGCAGCATTTAAAGCCAAGAGGCCAGTATTTTCAAGAAACTCAAGGAAAGAAATAATAAGCAAAGTATTTTATAGCAAAGTTCTTCTAGCATCAAGGCTATATAAAAACAGTTTTGAACATGCAAGAGCTCAAGAAACACGGTACTCAAAAGTCCTTTTTGAAGTGTCTACTTAGGCAGGAGTTGACACGCAATAGTCCACAGGTCAAATCTGGCCTGGCATCTATTTTTGTACAGCCCACAAGCTAAGAATGTTTTACATTTTTAAAGCATTTTAAGATAAGAAAAAGGAGTGACAGAAGGAAAAGGAGAAGCAGCAGCAGCAGCAGCAGTAGCAGTAAAGAATGTATATATGGCCCGCAAGGCCTAAAACATTTACTCTCTGACTCTTTATAGAAAAACTTTGCTGACTCCTGCCCTAGACTATGATAAGCTTTATCCACACAAAAGATGACTGGGGAAATATCAGTAAACAGACATGGTAAGCACTTAATATACCTAATTGTAGAACCAAGAATAAAAGAAAAGTAGGGACAAGGTTGAAAGAATAGTACATGAGCAGTATACATTCTGACAAAGTAGAAAGAATGCAACCAGCGGGGGGAAAAAGAGAGGAATGGGGGTAGTAGAATAAGATAATTGAATATTATAAAGATGATAGGAGCCCAAGGACATCACTTAAAACTTATAAACCAGCTAGTAAAAAAAAATTAGCCAAAAAAGGAGGAATTAAGCACTATTAAAAGCATAAATACAAAGATAACCACAAGAATAACAATACTAATTTCCCTAAATGCCTCTCTATAAAAGAGGGGCACAGTAAATATAATTACATCCAGTAATTATAACACAAAATAATATAAGAAAGTTGAGAATAAACATATCAGTCATACCAATAATGTTAGTGGGCTTAACTTGCCCATTAAAAGAAAAACAATTTCAAATTGGCTTACAAATCAAAACTGAACTTTGGGGGCCAGGTGTGGTGGCTCATGCCTGTAATCCCAGCACTTTGGGAGGCCAAGGTGGGTGATCACCTGAGGTTAGGAGTTCAAGATCAGCCTGGCCAACAAGGTGAAACCCCCTCTCTACTAAAAATACAAAAAAAATAGCCAGGTGTGGTGGTGCACGCCTGTAGTTCCAGCTACTTGGGAGGCTGAGACAGGAGAATCACTTGAACCTGGGAGGTGGAGGTTGCAGTGAGCCAAGATCATGCCACTGCACTCCAGCCTGGGCAACAGAGTGAGACTCCATCTCAAACAAAACAAAACAAAAACAACAACAAAAAACTGAACTCTGTGCTTTTTACAAGAGACATTCCTAAACCATGGTAAAAAGGCTACAAATGAAGGAATAGTCAAAAATATATTAAGCAGGCTGGGCGCAGTGGCTCACGCCTGTAATCCCAGCACTTTGGGAGGTCAAGGTGGGTGGATCATGAGGTCAAGAGACTGAGACCGTCCTGGCCAACATGGTGAAACCCTGTCTCTACTAAAAATACAAAAATTAGCTGGGCACGGTGGCACACACTTGTACTACCAGCTGCTTGGGAGGCTGAGGCAAGAGAATCGCTTAAACCCAGGAGGTGGAGGTTGCAGTGAGCCGAGATCTTGCCACTGCCCTCCAGCCTGGCAACAGAGTGAGACTCTGTCTCAAAAAAAAAAAATTATATATATACACTAGACAAATGAAAATCATAAAAAAGCAAGGGTTGTCATCTTGATATCAGGTATAATTCAGGCCAAAAAGCATTAAATAAAACAAATGATGACACTTTATGATGCTAAAAGCCACGACTCACAAAGCAGATATAATAGTTATAAATATCCATGTACCAAATAACCCAGTGACCAACTATACAAAGCAGAAACTACATGAGATAGAATGAGAAATAGATAGACACTATACAGGATGCTTCACCACCCATTCTCAGCACAGAGATGTCAAGTGTATGAAAGACAAGGATATGGAATATGGATAGATATTGGACAGATAATGATGTAGAAACAACATAATTCATAAGGCCACTCATATGGATATTTCTTGAATATTATACCCCGATAATAAAGAATAGTTCACATTCTCTTACAGGTCAGACAGCTTGCTCTACTCTTTCTCCCTTCTCATTACTGTGCTTGACTATGCATATACACACACACACATACACACACACACACACACACACACACACACACTTTCTTCTTAAGTACATATGGAATATTCTTAAAATTAATTATATTTTAGGTCACAAGAAAATATCATTAAGTTCCATAGAATAGAGATAGCACAGCCAGGCGCGGTGGCTCACGCCTGTAATCCCAGCACTTTGGGAGGCTAAGGCAGGTGGATCACGAGGTCAGGAGATCAAGACCATCTTGGCTAACACGGTGAAACCCCGTCTCTACTAAAAAAATACAAAAAATTAGCCGGGCGCGGTGGCAGGCGCCTGTAGTCCCAGCTACTTGGGAGGCTGAGGCAGGAGAATGGTGTGAACCCGGGAGGCGGAGCTTGTAGTGAGCCGAGATCGCGCCACTGCAGTTCCGCCTGGGCGAAAGAGGGAGACTCCATCTCAAAAAAAAGAAAAGAAAAGAAAAGAAATAGCACAACAGGCCAGGCGCAGTGGTTCATGCCTGCAATCCCAGCTCAAGCGGGAGGATCACCTGAGCCCAGGAGTTCAAGACCAGCCTGGGCAACATGACAAGGCCCCTATCTCTATGAAAAAACCTTTTTTAATTACCCAGGCATAATGGCACACACCTGTGGTCTCAGCTACTCAGGAGGCTGAGATGGGAGCATTAGCTCCTTCAGCCCAGGTGGTTGAGTCTGCAGTGAGCCATGTTCTTGCCAGTATACTTCAGTTTGGTGACAAAGAGATCCTGTCTCCAAAAAAAAAAAAACAAAAAAAAAAAAAAAAAGAAATACCACAAACAATGCTATCTCACCACAATGTAATAAAACCAGAAATTTAAAATTGAAATTATAAAATAAAAAGCCACTTCTGCTGAAAATTAGAAAGTCTTCTATGATATGTCTTGGGTGAAATGAGAACACACTTACAGAATATCTGAAAAATGATGATGAAAACACTGTTTATCAAAATCTATGGTTATGTTTAACAGAGTGATCAAGGAGAATTTGTAACCTTTGTGGGCAGCTGAAAAAAAAAATGGCCTTCCAAAGATACATTCACTTCTTAATCCACGGAACCAGTGAATATTGCCTTGTATAGCAAAATATGTGATTAAATTAAAGATCTTGAGAGGAAGGGCTTATCCTGAATTATGCAGATGAGCCCTAAATACCATCACATGCATCCTTATGAGGGAGAGGCACAGTGGGACAGGCAGACGCAGAGAGGAGAAAGCAATGTAAAGTCCGAGGCTGAGACTGGAGTGATGTAACCACCAGCCAACCAATGCCAACAGCCACCAGAAGCTGGAAGGAACAAGAAATTGATTCTCCTCTAGAGCTTCTGTAGGGAATACAGCCCTGTGGAAGCCTTGATTTTGAACTTCTGGCCTTCAGAACCATGCGAGAATGAATTTCTGTAGTTTTAAGTCACTAAGGTGGTAATTTATTATAAAAGCCCTAAGAAACTAACATAACCTTAAACACCCATATCAGTAAAAATGAAAGAATAATAAAAAATGAATTAAGTCCTCAACTCAAAAAAACTAGAAAAAGCCTATAAAGTATTTCTAAAATAAAGCACAATTAAGGAATTAATAGAAATAAAAACAGAAATTAAGGAGATGAAGAACAGAAAAATAGTACATCAAATTATTAATATGAACATCCCGATTATTTTTTAAAAGTCAACAAAATAGACAAAATACTAGGTAATTCAATCAAGACAAAAAGGAAGACAGCAAAATATAACAAGAATAACTGTTGATGAAGAAAATTTTAAATCATAAAATATTTTGTACATATCTAAACAAATAAATTCTAAAATCTAGATGGCATAGAAAACTTCTTAGAAACATATAACTCACTGAAATTTACCCCAATAAAGATAGGAAGCTTACATCCACCCATTTTCATAGCAAAAACTTGAAAACATTATCAAAAAAACTACCCCCCACCAAAAAGAACTAGGCCCAGATGGTTTCAGAGAAGGATGCTGCCAAACCTTTAGAGAACAGATAGTACCAATGTTGGTAAACTGTTTCAGAGAATTAAAGCTAAAGGAAATTTGGCTGGGTGCAGTGGCTCATGCCTGTAATCCCAGCACTTTGGGAGGCTGAGGCAGGTGCATCACTAGGTCAGGAGTTCGAGACCAGCCTGACCAACATGGTGAAACCGCGTCTCTACTAAAAATACAAAAATTAGCTGGGCATGGTAGCACACACGTGTAATCCCAGCTACTCAGGAGGCTGAGGCAGGAGAATTGCTTGAACCTGGGAGGTGGAGGTTGCAGTGAGCTGAGATCGCAGCATTGCACTCCAGTCTGTGCAACAGAGCAAGACTCCATCTCAAAAAAAAAAGCTACAGGAAATTTGCAAATTCTTTTAATGGAGTATAACATCTAATATCACTTATAAATGTAAATATAAAATATCCCAAATAAAATATTATTGTATAGACCCTAACATCACATTAAGAATATAACACACTATGACCAAGGGAATTTATACCAGAATTGCAAGGATAATTCAATTTTAGGAAATCTATTAATGTTGTCCACCGTTATAATAGATCTATGGAGAAAAAAATCATATGATTACCTTTATACATGCTGAAACCATCTTTGAAAAAAATTAACACGAATTCCAAATCAAAACTCTCAAGAAAACAGGACTGGATGAATACTTTCTTAACATGTCATATACCTTAATCCTAAAGCCAAATCTTACTTAATGGAGAAACACTAGAAAGTTTTTCACCTTGTACCAACAAGGCTCTTTTTTTCTGGAACTAAATAAGTTGATACTAAAATTCATATGGAGAAGCAAACATGCAAGAAAACCAGGAAAAAGAAAAGGTCATCAGAGAGGATTAGCCTCTATAATTTAACAGATTAATAAAATAGGATACTCAATTACATACAGAAATTTATTATATAATAAGGGTGGCTTATTAAATTACTATGTCAAAGATGAATTTTTGAATAAATGCTGTTGGTACCAATGGGTAGCCATTTGAAAAAAGACAAAATTAGATTCATTCCTCATACCAAACAAAAGAACAAACTCCTAATGAATCAGAGATTGAAATATAAAACAATACACTACACTAAAAGTATTAAAATAAAATATAGACAAATTCCTCCAAATCTGAGTGTGGGAAAAGGCCTTCTAACCATAACTCAAAATCCAAGTGCAATAAAATAAAACATAAAAAATTTTGACTACATAAAAAACTATTGCATGACAAAATTTAAGTCACAAGACGAATGACTAACTGGGAAAAAAATTTAAATTTTGCTATACACACACATACACATATATATGTGATATATGTCTGTACATATATATCTTTAAAGGGCTAATAGACAACTTTTAAAATTAAGGGAAAATATAAATAATTCTATAGAAAAATGGGCAAAAGAAATGAACAGATAAGTCATAAAGAAAATGGTGCAAAAATGGCCTTTAAACAAATGAAACTATGTTCGAAATCATGCAAAATAAAAGAAATAAAAAGTAAAATTACACTAAGATACAATTTTTCTCCAATTAGATTGTCAAAAATTCAAAAGCTTAACTAGATACTCTATTGCCAAGACTGTGAGGAAACAGGCATTGGTAGTAAAGGAAAACAGTGTCCCACCTATGGGAGAAAAATTTTGCAATATCAAACAAAACTACATATGTATTGACCCTTAGATCCAGCAATTCCACTCACTGAATTTTTACTCTAAAGATTCAACTCTAGCAACATGAAAGTACATCTCTAAAAGGTTATTCATTGTAGCATCGTTCACAGTTACAAAATACCAGAATACTATCTAAAGGACCAAAGTAAAGGATATTAGTTGAATAAACTATAGTAGTACATTCACTATGCAACTATTTAAAAAATGATGTGAAAGATATCTATATAGTGATATGGAGATATTCCAGAATAATTTTTAGTAAAAAAATATTGAAGTTTAAAAACGTAAAAAGTTTCAACTGTAAAAAATTTAAAGTATGTTTCTTTTTGTATGAGAAAATGCGGGGAAGGGCCAGGTGCAGTGGCTTACACCTATAATCCCAGAGCTTTAGGAGGCCAGGGCAGGAAGATTGCTGAGGTCAAGAGTTCTAGACCAGCCTGGGCAGCATACCAAGACCCCTGTCTCTACAAAAATTATTTTTAAAGTTAGCCTGGTGCAATGGCATGTGCCTGTAGTCCTAGCTACTCTGGAGGCTGAGGGAGGAGGATTGCCTGAGCCTAGGAATTCGAGGCTTCATGGAGCTCTGATCACTCCACTGCACTCTAGCCTAAGGGACAGAGCAAGAACCTGTCTCACAAAAGAAAAAAAAGAAACAAAGAAAAGTAAAGAAAATAAGGGAAAAGAAAATACATACACATATCTCCTTACTTTTGCAAAAAGAAACATAGAAATGATAAAAACAAAACAAAAAATGAAATTAATACCTACAAAGACAGGGTAATGAGGGTGTGTATTAGTCTGTTTTCATGCTGCTGATAAACACATACCTGAGACTGGGTAATTTATAAAGAAAAAGAGTTTTAATGGACTCACAGTTCCACATGGCTAGGGAGGCCTCACAATCATGGTGGAAGGTGAAAGGCATGTCTTATATGGTGGCAGACAAGAGAGAATGAGAACCAAGTGAAAGGGGAAACCCCTTATAAAACCATTAGATCTCGTGAGACTTATTCACTACCACGAGAACAGTATGAGAGAAACCGTCCCCATGATTCCATTATCTCCCACTGGGTCCCTCCCATGACACATGGGAATTATGCAAGCTACAACGCAAGATGAGATTTGGGTGGGGACACAGCAAAACCATATCATTCAGCCCCTGGCCCCTCCCAAATCTCATGTCTTCACATTTCAAAACCAATCATGCCTTCCCAATAGTCCCCCAAAGTCTTAACTCATTTCAGCATTAACTCAAAAGTCCACAGTCCAAAGTCTCATCTGAGACAAGGCAAGTCCCTTCTGCCTATGAGCCTGTAAAATCAAAAGCAAGTTAGTTACTTCCTAGATACAATGGGGGTACAGGCATTGAGTAAACAGACCCATTCCACATGGGAAAAATTGGCCAAAATGAAGGAGGTAAAGGCCCCATGCAAATCCGAAATCCAGCAGGGCATTCAAATCGTAAAGCTCCAAATGGTCTCTTTTGACTCCACGTCTTACATCTAGGTCATACTGATGCAAGAGGTGGGTTCCCATGGTCTTGGGCAGCTCCACCCCTATGGCTTTGCAGGGTACCGCCTCTCCCTCCTCCCTCCCAGCTGCTTGCACAAGCTGGCATTGAATGTCTGCGGCTTTTCCAGGTGCATGGTGCAAGCTGTCAGTGGATCTACCATTCCAGGGTCTGGAGGATGGTGGCTCCCTTCTCACAGCTCCACTAGGCAGTGCCCCAGTGGGGATTCTGTGTGGGGGCTTCAACCCTACATTTCCCTTCTGCACTGCCCTAGCAGAGGATCTCAGGGCAGTGCAGAAGGGAAGGCCCCGCCCCTGCAGTAAACGTCTACCTGGGCATCCCACTGTTTCCATACATTCTCTGAAATCTAGGTGGAAGTTCCTAAACCTCAATTCTTGACTTCTGTGTACCTGCAGGCTCACCACCACATGGAAGCTGCCAAGGCTTGGGGCTTGTGCCATCTGAAGCCATGGCCCAAGCTGTACCTTGGTCCCTTTTAGCTGTGGCTAGAGTGGCTGGGACACAGGGCACCAAGTCCCTAGCCTGCACACAGCAGATGGGCCCATGAAACCATTTATTCCTCCTAGGCCTTCAGGCCTGTGATGGGAGGGGCTGCTGCAAAGGTCTCTGACATGTCCTGGAGGCATTTTCCCCATACTCTTGGCAATTAACATTTGGCTCCTCATTATTACACAAATTTCTTGCAGCTGGCTTGAATTTATCCTCAGAAAATGGGTTTTTCTTTTCTAGCTCATCATCAGGCTGCAAAATTTCCAAACTTTTATGCTCTGTTTCCCTTTTGAAACTGAATGCTTTTACAGTACCCAAGTCACCTCTTGAATGCTTTGTTGCTTAGAAATTTCTTCCACCAGATACCCTAAATCATCTCCCTGAAGTTCAAAGTTTCACAGATCTCTAGGGCAGGAGGAAAATGCCACCAGTCTCTTTGCTAAAACATTACAAGGGTAACCTATACTCCAATTTCCAACAAGTTCCTCATCTCCATCTGAGACCACCTCAGCCTGGATTTCATTGTTCATATCATTATCAGCATTTTGGTCAAAGCCATTCAACAAGTCTCTAGGAAGTTCCAAACTTTGCCACATTTTCCTGTCTTCTTTTGAGCCCTCCAAACTGTTCCTACCTCTGCCCGTTACCCAGTTCCAAAGTCGCTTCCTCATTTTGGGGTATCTTTACAGCAGCATTCCACTCTTGGTACCAATTTACTGTATTAACCTGTTTTCACACTGCTGATAAAGACATACATTAGACTGGGCAATTTATAAAGAAAAAGAGGTTTAATGGACTCACAGTTCCACATGGCTGGGGAGGCCTCACAATCATGGCAGAAGGTGAAAGGCATGTCTTACATGGTGGCAGACAAGAGAGAATGAAAGCCAAGCAAAAGGATTTCCCCTTATAAAACTGTAAGATCTCATGAGACTTATTCACTACCACAAGAAAAGTGTTGGGGAACCACCCCCATGATTCCATTATCTCCCACTGGGTCCCTCCCACAACATGAGGCAATTATGGGAGCTGCAATTCAAGATGAGATTTGGGTGGGGATACAGCCAAACCATATCGGGGGTAACATTGGAAACTACAGAGGAAGAAAGAGACATATCTTAAAATAATTTCTTATATAGTTTGACTCTTGAAAACACGTCAGGCTGGGCGTGGTGGCTCATGCCTGTAATCCCAGCACTTTGGGAGGCTGAGGCGGGCAGATGACCAGGTCAGGAAATCGAGACCATCCTGGCTAACATGGTGAAACCCCGTCTCTACTAAAAATACAAAAAATTAGCCAGGTGTGGTGGCAGGCGCCTGTAGTCCCAGCTACTCGGGAGGCTGAGGCAGGAGAATGGCGTGAACCCGGGAGGCAGAGCTTGCAGTGAGCCAAGATCACGCCACTGTACTCCAGCCTGGGAGACACAGCAAGACTCCATCTCAAAAATAAGAAAGAAAGAAAGAAAGAAAACACGTCAACATTCTACACAAATAAATACCAAATAAATTTTAACATAAATAAATACAAAAAATATATTAAATTGAATCAATAAGAACAAGAAAATCAATAAGGAGTGTGGTAAAGCATAAAATTGAACACAAAACAAATGTCTCCTACTGCATTTCAAATAAATAACAACCATATTTAAGGGCAGAAAGCACTAATCCAAGAAACTTTCCAACACAGTACTTCAACAACTATATGCCATAAGTCTAGATAAAAGAAAGAACCCCCCCAACAAACCTTAAACTCTTGTTTTTCTGTGGTATGGCTGCAGAATGCACTGTAGAATTGAGCCAATGAACAAATGTGTTAAGGTTCTTAATGTGAAAGAAGAAGGAAACAAATACGGAAGAAGAAAGGCAAAGAAGAACCCTACAGAGTTAGGTTGGAATTGGAAGCATTGATATGATCTCATGATTTCTAAGAAAAAAAATAGGGTTTTGCCCCCAGAACTATTTTGTAAAAGGGCCTAGAAGCAATGACATCTCAGAAACAGTAAGCAAAACTAGCACCCAGGTCACAGTTTCTTTTTCTCTCTCTCTCTCTGTGTGTGTGTGTGTGTGTGTGTGTGTGTGTGTGTGTGTTTTACAATAGAGATGGGGGTTTCACCTTTTAGGCCAGGCTGGTCTCGAACTCCTGAGCTCAAGTGATCCACCCGCCTTGGCCTCCCAAATTGCTGGGATTACAGGCATGAGCCACCGTGCCCAGTCCCAGGTTATGGTTTCTAAACATCATTCCTCACTAAAAGGAACAAGGGTTCTTTCAAGAAAAGGCATATTCCAGGAGTAGGGGAGAAAAGGGACAAGATTAGCCTGAAACATCTTTTGTATCAGAAAATAAATATGTACCGAAAAGAAAGAAAGAAGAAGGCATTTTGAAAGAACACAAGAATCAGTTTGATGGGGCAAATCTAAGGCAATTTGATCATCAAAATAGTGGAATTAATGGATTATAGCCCACTGAAAAAATAGGAATCCATGAGTCCATACTAATCATAAATAAATGCATACCTACATAAGTAAATTAAGATTGGGTTGGGCTCTTTCCTAAAGTAGAGTGATGATAGCAAATGCGAAGGTAGGGCCAGCTCCGCTGGGCCCATGCTCAGAAAGACCTCAGGCTTGGTTTAATGTTCTTCTATTGCCATCTCAAAATTTTTCATAATTTTATCGTGTGTGTGTGTGTGTGTGTGTGTGTGTGTGTGTGTGACTGAGTCTCGCTCTGTCGTCCAGGCTAGAGTGCGATGGCATAATCTCAACTCACTGCAACCTCTGCCTCCCAGGTTCAAGTGATTCTCGTGCTTCAGCCTCCTGAGTAGCTGGGATTACAGGCACCTGCCACCACGCCTGGCTAATTTTTGTCTTTTTAGTAGAGACAGGGTTTCACCTGTTGGCCAGGCTTGTCTCAAAGTCCTGACCTCAGGTGATCGCCTGCCTCGGCCTCCCAAAGTGCTGGGATTACAGGCATGAGCCACCATGCGTGGCCATAATTTTATCTTTTAACTTGTATTTTTAAGCCTTTTTCCATTTGCCCCAATAATACTGGCTGGTGACACTTGCAGCAGTAGTGTTTACCCTGAGATAACTTTGCCATGAAATATGTCAATTTTATTATTATTTTTGCATTGCTCTACTATATTGACTTTGGAAACAAAAGACATCGTTCTATTTATAGCATTCTGTTTTTAGTAGTGATGTTTCCATTTACAAACATAGTAATTCTCGATTGCTGAAAATGTCACATTATAGAAAACATAGCACTCCTACACGTTGATGTTAACATTGTTCTCAAACAGTTGTTGGCCAAAGATTCATTTGATGAATCTGATTTTTCTGAAATAGATGATTCTGATGATTCAGACCAGAAGTGTCCAATCTTTTGGCTTTCCTGGGCCCCATTGGAAGAAGAATTGTCTTGGGCCACACATAAAATACACTAACACTAACAATAGTTGATGAGCTTAAAAAAATTGCAAAAAAATCTCATAATGTTTTAAGAAAGTTTATGAATATATGTTGGCCACATTCAAAGCCATCCTGGGCCACATGCAGCCCATCAGCCACATGCAGCCCATGGGCCACAAGTTGGATGAGCTTGATTCAGATGATTCTAATGTTAGTTCTGTTTAGAAATAAGAACAATTTTATATTTTATTTTCACATTGAAAATCTGTCAGATTTGCTTCAGCCTCAAAGAGCTTGTTTATGTAAAACTAAATGAGCACCGGCAGTAAGTTGCACTTGTTTTTTCTAAACGAGAAAAGGTTTAAATAAAGTCCTAAGGGACAATGAAGCATGTGTCTAAGCAGATGAGGTTTATGCACCATATGTGTCTGTAGTTCGTTGCCACTCCATATGCATATAGCATTCCCAGTGTCCCAAGAACACAGAATTCCAGGGGAACCACAGTACATGGGAGTTCAGCAAAACTCAACACAAGTACAAGCTAAG
Organism: Homo sapiens; assembly: GCF_000001405.40. Classification (NCBI taxonomy): domain Eukaryota; kingdom Metazoa; phylum Chordata; class Mammalia; order Primates; family Hominidae; genus Homo; species Homo sapiens. The sequence continues at coordinate 30,838,474 of NC_000014.9, forward strand.
CATGTCATGTCCACAACTAAGTAGGGCACTGACATCCATGAAATGCTACCCTTTCTGTTTCTACTTGAATACTTCAAACATGGAAAGAAGGAAATGGGATTCTAAAAACAAGAACAATCCATACTCCTTTTGCTTTCAGTCTTTCTTACTCATCAGTGAGCCAAAAGTAAAGTGTCAGTAGAATGTGAGCATATCAAGAAACAAAACAAATAAAAATCCTTGAGTTTAGTTGTGTGCAGTGTTTCCAGCGCTCTGGTGAGAATGAAATATACTATATGCATGTGTGAACTATAAAATACATTTTGTGATTTTAGATGATTCCACAAATGAGTTAAATGCTCCTATGGCCAGGCATAGTGACTCATGCCTGTAATCCCAGCACTTTGGGAGGCCAAGGAGGGAGGATTGTTTGAGGCCAGGAATTCAAGACCAGCCTGGACAACAGAGAGAGACCACCTCTTCTGTACAAAACTTTTTTAAAAAAATTAGCCAGGTGTAGTGGCTCTCAGTTACTCAGGAGGCAAAGGTAGGAGCATCACTTGAGTCCAGGAGTTTGAGGCTGCAGCGAGCTATGATTGCCACTGCATTTTAGCTTGGGCAACAAAAGGGAGAGCCTGTCTCTTAAAAAAAAATTTTTAATAAAAAAAAAAGCTCTAATATTTGCACTTTAAGCTGGTACAATATAAAGAACAGTAAAATTTATGCTAATAATTAAAATTTTTAATATTTCTTAAGAATGACATTAAACAGCAAATTTTTTTATTTTGTAAAGACGGGTCTCCCTATGTTGCCCACGCTGGTCTCAAACTCCTGGGCTCAAGTGATACTCCCGCCTATGGCCTCCCAAAATGCTGGGATTACAGGCATGGGCCACCATGCCCAACCTAAATAGCAAATTTAAAAAACATGAAGTCCTTTGGGAGGCCGAGGTGGGTGGATCATTTGCAGTCAGGAGTTCGAGACCAGCCTGACCAACATGGTGAAACCCCACCTCTACTAAAAATACAAAAATTAGCTGGGCATGGTGGTGGGAACCTGTAGTCTCAGCTACTAAGGAGGCTGAGGCAGGATAGTTGCTGGAACCCAGGAGGTGGAGGTTGCAGTGAGCTGAGATCACGCCACTGCACTCCAGACTGGGTGACAGAGCAAGACTCCATCTCAAAAAAATAAAAAATAAAAATAAATTTAAAAAGTGAAGTCAAGAAAGAGCCAAGGAAGAAGGGAAAAGTAACTGGAGACATTGCAGAAAGTCCTGACCAGGTGATCAAAATTAAAATCACCAATTAGAAACAAGCAGATGTGGCCCTGTGAGAAGCACACAGCACACATCAATTGTGTAGCATTCCAACTGGAAAAGAACAATGTGAATCTAGTCAAGAGGAAACAACAGACAAACATAACTAAGAATATTTTCTAAAATAACTGACCTGTTTTCCCCAAAACTGTCAATGTCACGAAAGACAAAAAAAGGCTGAAGAGTTTTCTGTAAGTTTCCTATAAAACAGACTAAAAAGACTTGGCAACTAAATGCATTATGTTGCTGAGGGGAAGGAGTGGAAATATGCTATATAAAGGACATTATGGAACAATTAACAAAACTGGAATAAGGAGTGATAGGAAGTACTGTATCAATGCTTCATTGTGAACTTTCCTGAATTGGATAACTATACTGTGGCTAGATAAGAGGACATCTTTATTCTTAGGAAATACACATTGTAAGGAATATGGATGTGCTTTGGTCAAGGAATAGGCCGAGATGGATATCCAGGCCTGCATAAGTCAGCGAGTTGGGCGCGCCGGTGCACACCTCCACTTGCTATAAACCTGTTTGTGTAAGTTCATACTTGGCTTGGAGCCACTATTGTCTGTAAAAGGTATAACTGCCCCATTGACGCTGTGCATGAGAGACATGGTTCTTGGGCTCTTGGGGCTCAGCTCAACTCAACGTGGCTTCACATGGTGGGCACGCTGGTGCCCAGGGAGAGAGAGAGAGACAAAGATGTCCATCTTGCAGACAGACAGGAGGGAGACAGGTCACAGCTTGGCTTGCTCCTGCCCAGAGAGAGAAAGAGTTAAGCTGCTGACCCTGAAGGCAAGGGAGAGCCACCTGTGCAGCTGCAGGCGTTGGGGCACCAGGAGCCTCAGAGCTGGAGCAGACAGCCGAGATAAAGGTGGACAGTGTGAGAAAGCTGTTGATGAGAGTTGCTGCTGAATAAAATCATCTTTCACCTGCCTACAGCTCCCTGAGTATTCTTTCTGCTCATCCACCCACACCCCTTGGACTTCAGCATGGCCTGGACCTGGACCCTGGGATCTGACACACACTGATATATAGTATTAAGACATAAAATATTAAAAAGCTTAAAAATGGTAAATCTGGATAAAGGTATAGGCTATTTCTCTGTACTATTCTGAAGCTTCGAGATATTTAAAAATGTAATTATGCTGAAGTATATTTATCAGATCATATCCTTTCCCCCACTCCTTTCTCCAAACCCCTCCAGCAGTTTCCTTTCACATTTTAAATTGAATACAAAATGCTTACCCTGCCCCTTGTGATCTGGCCTCAAAACAAGTACAAGCTAAGATAATTTTATCTCATCCCTACCTTTCTATCCCACCAACCTTCCCGTTGCTCACTGTGTTCAGCTCCACTCCCCTCCTTGCCATTCTTCATCGCACCAAACAAGTTTGTCTTTGCAGTCGCTGGTTGCTCTCTGTAATGCTTTGCCCCTGATCTTCACGAGGCTGATCCCTTTGCCTTATTCAAGCATCGACTCACACGCACTTCCTCAGAATAACCTTTTCTAAGTAATTATAAAGTACCTGGCTCCCAACCCAGCCACTCTCTCCCCTCTGTTTTATTTTTATTAGGATATTTATCACTATCAAATGGCTCCATTCATTTGTTTATTGTCTATTTTTTTATTGTCTATTTATTTGTTTATTGCCTGCTATTTGTTTATTGTACAAGCAATCCTCCCGCCTCAGCCTCCAGAGTAACTGGGATCACAAGTGCGAGCCAACAAGCCTGGCTTCTTTTTTTAAAAAAAAAAATTTTTATAGATGGGGTCTTGCTATGTTGTCCAGGCTGGTCTTGAACTCCTGGCTTCATGTGATCTTCCCACCTCAACTTCTCAAAGTGTGGAGATTACAGGCGTGAGCCACCATGCTCAGCCCACCCAGCTTCTTAATGTACACTTTCTAACAAAAGCTTTAAAGGAAACTCCTTCTTTAAAACAAAAAAAAAGTTAATTGCTTTACTGTATCTTTCTTGTGGGTTTTATGACTTTGTAATAACCTCTGCTGAAATAGAAGAATGTAAGAGTACTTTAGTAGGCAAATTAAAAATGTTTAATTTCTAGGGACTAAGGTGCTATAACTTTCTTAAGATGACTTCAATAATATTAACAATTCAACAATATTACAACATAATTTTAAGAACCCCAAATATCAGTGAGGCTAGAACTCAGAAGAAGAAGATATACTGACTTCAAATAAAGGACAAAGTGAGAATCTCAATACTTTGGGACCTAATTACTCTTCAGCTAGAGGTAGAACATCTGTCTTCTTCCAAGTTAGCTAGGCTTGCCTTCTTTTTGTTTTGTTTTAGGTTCTGTGTTTGATTAATTTCATGGTCACAACTAATATATTTGCAAAAAAATTATAGTGGACATTTGACCTCAATAAGCTCTCTTTAATTTTCTGCAATTCTTATAAAATCTTAAGAAGAAAGCAGTAATTACACTACACCCCTGTGAATGCTCAGTGAAATAAAAACTAAAAGGTTTGCTAGAGGGAGACTCATGAGAAAAGCAATTTCAACCATGTAATACCAAGACATGGGCTACAGATCTCAGTCCTAAAGTTAGTCGGGACTGAGCCATAGGACCTCCTGGTGACATTTCAGAATCACAAATCAGAAATTCAAGAATCATTTATCAATGTCATTCCTCAGTTTTCTGGCAGTTCCAGGATTCTAATAAGTTAGTTCAACTGCTTTGGACAAGTTCTTTAATGAATAATCTGAATGAGTCCCTACTAAAGATGCTAACAATTGCTGAACATGCAAACAACCCAAGTCCATTAAACAAGTATTTTCCTTTATGTAGTTATATGTATACATAGGCACAAACCTATCAAGAATAAGGATTTATGACAGTTGCACTGTCACTGTTTAAACCATAACATTTTTTATTAGGGTTTACCAGGCATCATGTCCTATATTAAAAGCTTTACATACTTCCTGTTTAATCCACACAAACTCTGCTAGGTAAGAATTATTTTCCCCTTTTGACAGTCAAGAAACCAGTTCTGAGAGAAAAAATTACTTGCTCAAGATCACATGGATAATAAGTTGTGGATCTGGACCCCTTTCCTACCACTTCAGGTTAGCTATTCTTCCCACATTGAAACAAACCTGAACAAATGTTAAGAAGCTATCATCCCAGCAGAAAATGGCAAGAAAGTACTGCACACTTTCCCTTCCAGACATACATGGCCCTCAAAGGCCACATTCAGATTGGTAATGGGGAAAGGCACCTCCACTGTGATACCCTCCCCCGTAAAGCACCCATGCTCAGCCCTGATCACAGTTTGAACTGTGGCTGTGAGTTTCACAGAAGAGTTCATATCAGAATCCCATGAAGATATGTGTATATTTTGAAAGAGTCCTTCAAGAGATTCTGAAACCCTGGGGCTTTGACCCGAATTTAAGAATCACTGACAAAGGAATGTTAGAAGATTTTAGAGAATTTTTTCCACCTATTTTCTGTAATGCTGCATTTATCTTATAAAGAGGCAGTTAAGTACTGGCTCGTTTGCTGTAACTTCCAACACATGAGTCCAAATTGCATTTTTAAATTTAATTTAATTTTTATTTTATTTATTTATTATTATTATTGAAACAGAGTCTCACTCTGTCACCCAGGCTGTAGTGCAGTGGCGTGATCTCAACTCACTGCAACCTCCACCTCCTAGGTTCAAGGGATTCTCCTGCCTCAGCCTCCTGAGTAGCTGGGATCACAGGTGTGCACCACCAAGCCTGACTAATTTTTGTGTATTTAGTAGAGACGGGGTTTTACCATGTTGGCCAGGCTGGTCTCGAACTCCTGACCTCAGGTGATCCACCTGCCTCTGCCTCCCAAAGTGCTGGAATTACAGGCATGAGCCACCGTGCCCGGCCTACATTTTTTAATTATAAATTTTTAATTTGAGTGGATACATAGTACATTTATATATTTATGGGCTACATAGATATTTTGATACAGGCACGCAATGTACAATAATCACATCAGGGTAAATGGGGTATCCATCGTCCCAAGCATTTATCCTTTGTTACAAACTATCCAATTATACTCCTTTAGTTATTTAGTTATTTTTACTATTTTCTACTTTTTTTTTTTTTTTTTGAGAGGGAGTCTCACTGTTGCCCAGACTGGAGTGCAGTGTAGTAATCTTGGCTCACTACAACCTCTGCCCCCCAGGTTCAAGCAATTCTCCTGTCTCAGCCTCCCGAATAGCTGGGACTACAGGCGCGTGCCACCATGCCCACCACATTTTGTACTTTTAGTAGAGACAGGGTTTCTCCATGTTGGTCAGGCTGGTCTCAAACTCCTGACCTCAGGTGATCCACCCGCCATGGACTCCCAAAGTGCTGGGATTATAGGCATGAGCCGCCATGCCCAGCCCTCCTTTTGTTATTTTTAAATGTACAATTAAATTATTGTTGACTATAGTCATCCTGTTGTGCTCTGAAATATTCAGTCTTATTCATTCTTTCTATTTTTTGTACCCATTAACTAGCTCCACTTTCTCCCTACAGCCCCACTACCCTTCCCAGCCTCTGGTAACCATCCTTCTACTCTCTATGTTCATGAGTTCAATTGATTTGATTTTTAGTTTCCCAAAATAAGTGAGAACATGCAAAGTTTGTCTTTCTATGCCTGGCTCATTTCACATAACATAATGACCTCCAGTTCCATCCATGTTGTTATGAGTGACTAGATCTTATTCTTTTTCATGGCTAAATAGCACTCCATGTGTATATGTACCACATTTTCCTTATTAATTCATCTGTTGATGGATACCTAGATTGCTTCCAAATCTTGGCTACTGTGAATAGTGCTGCAATAAACATGGGTGTGTGGATCTCTTCAATATACTGATTTCCTTTATTTTAGATAGAACCTAACAGTGGGATTGCTGGATCATATGGTACCTCTATTTTTGGTTTTTTGAGGAACTTCCAAACTGTTCTCCATAGTGGTTGTACTAATTTACTTTCCCACCAACAGTGCACGAGGATTCTGTTTTCTCCACCTCCTCGCCAACATTTGTTATCGTTAGTCTTTTGGAAAAAGCCATTTTAACTGGGGTGAGATGATATCTCATTGTAGCTTTGATTTGCATTTCTCTGATGATTAATGATGTTGAGCACACTTTCATGTGCCTGTTTGCCATTTGTATGTCTTCTTTTGAAAAATGTCTGTTCACATCTTTTGCTTATTTTTAAATCAGATTATTATAATAGATATTTTTCCTGCACAGTCGTGTGAGCTCCTTATATGTCCTGGTTATTAATCCCTTGTCAGGTGGATAGTTTGCAAATATTTTCTCCCATTCTGTGGGTTATCTTTTCAATTTGCTGATTGTTTCCTCTGCTGTGCAGAAGCTTTTTAACTTGGTGTGATCCCATGTGTCCATTTTTGCTTTGCTTGCCTGTGCTTGTGGGGTATTACTCAAGAAATCTTTGCCAGTCCAATGTCCTGGAGAGTTTTGTCAACGTTTCCTTTTAGTAGTTTCATAATTTGAGATCTTAGATTAAAGTGAAAATGGATTAAAATAAATCCATTAAAGTTGAAAAGGCTTTAATCCATCTTGATTTGATCTTTGTATATGGTGAGAGAAAGGAGTCTAGTTTTATTCTCCTGCATATGGATATCCAGTTTTCCCAGCACCCTTTATTGAAGAGTGTCCTTTCCCCAATGTATGTTTCTGGTATCTTCATCAATAAGAGTTCACTGTAGATGTATGGTTTACTTTCTGGGTTCTCTATTCTGTTCCATTGGTCTACGTGTCTGTTTTTATGCTAGTACCATGCTATTTTGGTTACTATAGCACTGTAGTATAACTTGAAGTCAGGGAATGGGATTCCTCCAGTTTTGTTCTTTTTGCTCAGGATAGTTTTGGCTACCTTGGGTCTAAGCTGGGTCTTTTGTGGTTCCATATAAATTTTAGAATTATTTTCCTACCTCTGTGAAGAATGTCATTGGTATTTTGATAGAGATTGCATTGAATCTGTAGATTGCCTTGTGTACTATGGACATTTTTTAAAGTATTGATTCTTCCAATCCATGAACATTAAATATATTTCCATTTTTTCAGTGTTCTCTTCAATTTCTTTCATCAATGTTTTATAGCTTTCATTGTAAAGATCTTTCACTTCTTTTAAGTTAATTTCCAGGTAATTTTATTTGTTGCTATTGTAAATTAGATTACTTTTTTATTTTTTTCAGATTGTTTTCTGTTGTCATATAAATGATACTGGTTTTTTTTATGTTGATTTTGTATCCTGCAACTTTACTCAATGTATCAGTTCTAATAGTTTTTGGTGGAGTCTTTAGGTTTTTCCTAATATAAGATCATATCATCTTCAAACAAAGATAATTTGACTTCTTCCTTTCCTATTTGGATGCCTTTTATATCGTTCTCTGGTCTGATTGCTCTAGCTAGGATTTCTAGTACTACGTTGAATAACAGTGGTGAAGGTGGGCAGCCTTGTCATGTTACAGATCTTAGAGGAAAGGCTTTTAGTTTTTCCCCATTCAGTGTGATACCAGCTGTGACTCTGTCATATATGATGTTTATTACATTGAGGTATATTTCTAGCCCCAGTATTTTTTTAAGGGTTTTATCATGAATGGATGTTGAATTTTATCAAATGCTTTTTCAGCATCAGTTGAAATGATCATGTGGTTTTTGTCCTTCATTTTGTTGATATGATGGATCACATTGATTTGACTATATCGAACCATCCTTACACCCTGGGATGCATCACACTTGTTGATGATAAATGATCTTTTTAATGTGTTGTCAAATTCTGTTTGCTAGCATTTTGTTGAGGATTTTTGCATCAATGTTCATAAGAGATACTGGTCTGCAGTTTTCTTTTTTTGTTGTGTCTTTGTCTGGTTTCGGTACTGGGTAACACTGACCTTGAAGAATGAGTTTGAAAGTATTCCCTCCTTCTTTGTTTTTTGGAATAGTTTGAGTAGGACTGGTATTAGTTTTTCTTTACATGTTTGGTAGAATTCAGCAGTGAATTCATCAGGTCCTGGACTTTTCTTTACGGCGAGATTTTTTATTGCGGCTTTAATCTCATCGCTTGTTATTGGTCTGCTCAGGTTTTGAATTTCTCTATAGTTGAATCTTAGTAGGCTGTATGTGCCTAGGAGTTTATCAATTTCTTCTAGGTTTTTCAATTTTTGGCACATAGTTGCTCAAAATAACCTGTAATGATCTTTCGAATTGCTGTGGTATCAGTTGTAATGTCTCCTTTTTCATCTGTTTATTTATTTGGGTCTTCTCTCTTCTTTGCTTAATTAGTCTGGCTAAAGGTTTGTCACTTTTATCTTTTCAAAAAACCAACTTTTGGTTTCATTAATCTTTTTCAAATTGCATTTTATCTGGCTGATATTTCCAAAAATGCATGGCTTATGCTTAGCATGATTTCCTAGTTTCAGTGTCAATGCAGTTTTGTCCTAATTACTTCTCTTTGGCCATTTTGTTCCATTACAAGCTTGTTTTTATGCCATCCCCTTTCCATTGAAGAAAAATATATATCACATACCCAAATATGTACACACATGTATACACATGTATATATAATTCTTGATATAATCAAAAGAATATATGTAATGTATATGTAAGTTTTAAGTAAAATAAGACAAAGAACAACACTCTGTATCCTTGACAATATAAGAAACAGAACACTGCAAAAAATTGTAACTATATACTTGCCCTCCCCTTATGGTGGAAGGTGCCCTCTTCATATAGGGAGAAGTACACAGAATATACCTGGCAGTGTTTCCTGATTTTAATGCTAGTAAATTTTATTCCCTTTTTTTTTTACTTATCTTTAGCCATTTCATTGAAATTTTGTATTAGAGACCTTTGGGTGTTCATTATCAACTGATAGATTCAGTCTGTGTATGTGTTAATGAGAAAGAGTGACTGTAATAACCCATTTTCATACTGACGTTGCCTGGATTTGGTATCAAGGTAGCAGTGACCTCATAGAATGAGTTTTCTATCCTCTCAAAGAATTATTACATTTGGAATAATATGCTCCTTAGAAATTTGGTAGAACTACCTGTAAAACATCCAAGACATAGAGTTTTCTTAGTGGGAAAACATCACTGATAGTTTGATTTTTTTTAAATAGTCTTAGGACAATTCAGGCTTTCTATTTATTTTTTCTAAATTTTTATTTATTTGTTTTAATTGAGAAATAAAAATTGTATATATTTATCATGTACAGCATGCTTTGAAATAGGTACACATTGTGGAATAGCTAAATCGAGCTAATTAATATATATATTACCTCACATACATATCATTGCTTTGTGATGAGAACACTTCAAATCTATACTTAGCAATTTTCAAGAATATAATGCATTGTTATTAACTATAGTCTGCATATTTTACAACAGCTCTCCTTTTTTTTCAAAACAGGTTTTTCCTAGGATCTATGGAATAGATTAGTTCTGGAAAATTTAAAGCCCATATCTCTTTAAATATTGCCTACAATTTTCTCTCTAGTCTCACTTTTTGGGACTCGGTTAAATATATATTAGATTTCCTCACATATCTACTTTTTTATGTTTTCCAATTCCTTTTCTGCCTTTCCTGGAGTGATTATGGCTGTATTAAATCTGCTGTCAAACCCATTCATTGAGTCCTTAAATTTTTAACAATTGTATTTTACATTTTCAGAAATTCCCTTTTATTTCCAAGTCTACCTATTTATTCCTGCTGGTTTTTTTGTTACTTACTTATCTTTTTGATTGTGTCCATTATTTCTTTAAGTTTTTTTTTTTCTTAGAGACAGAGTCTCACTCTGTTGCCCAGACTAGAGTGCAGTGGTGAGATCATAGCTCGCTGCAATCTCCAACTCCTGGGCTCAAGAGAGCCTCTTGCTTCAGCCTCCCAGGTAGGTAGGGCAACAGGCGTGCCCCACCATACCTGGCTACTTTTTTCTTATTTTTTGTAGAGATGGGGCTCTCAATATGTTATCTAGTGTGGTCTCAAATTCCCAGCCTCCAGCGATCCTCTTGCCTCCATCTCCAAAAGAGATTACAGGCATGATCCACCACACCCTCCCCTTTAAATATTTTTAACATAGCTTCCCTATATTGTGCAACTGACAACTCTAATAACTGAAGTCTATGGGGAAGGGTCTAAATCTGTTTTTTTTTTTTCTATTGATCTCACTCAGCTTGGCTTGCATTGCAATGTGCATGGTGAACTTTGATTGTGAAATGATTGCTTAATCTGCAAACTAAATTGTTGAAGATTTCCCCCAGAGACAATTTGTTTTTTGCTTCTTCTTTTACCAGCAGCAAAAGGCAGTACTACCCTGGGATGACATCAGCCCCTTGGCACAGTCGAAGCTCACATTGGATGTTCCAAGCTCAGTTTTCTTACCTGGCCACCAATATCTTGGTAGCAGCATGACTATTGACATCTACTCTCAGGGAAAGCTCATCTCACACTTTCATTGCCCACGGCTCTGCTGGTTGTTGTATTTGCTGGGAGAGGGTCCTTGGAGATCTTACTACCTCTTATGAGACCAGACGTGCCTGAGAGACTGTCCTAAAGAGCCACACTGACAGAAGCAGAAATCTGTGGTGGTTTGTTCTGTGTTGACTCGGTCAAACTGAAATCATGTTTCCCAAAATCTTCTCCCTTCTATGGCTGTGGGCTTAATTGGCCAAGAGGATCTTGTGTGAGATTTAGAAGACAGAAGTGAAACAATAGCCATTATGTTCTGAAAGTCTGTCATCAGACACAGTGACAGAAATATGCAAAGGTGCCCAGCAGGCTCCAGCTGGTCTTTGGTCTCCTGTGTTCTAGAACAGTTCCTCTGTATAGCTCTTCTTCCCAACCACTGACCTTGTTGGCCAACAGCAGCCCATACCTACAACCAGACACACAGCTGGTGGCCAAACAGCTTCCTGCAGACCTTCCCAAGGGGTTCCCAATCAACAGATGTGGTTTCTCCTATCCTGGCTGATGACCTCTTCTATCACCTTATTCCCCTACAGGGCCTTCACTTCCCAGCTCCTTCCCAATTGTGTAAGATCTAATTCCCATACGAATCACTTATCTCATAACACTCATAATCTCTCTTCTCTTCAGACTGAATTCTGACTAATATATCCCCATGGCTTTTTTATTTAGCATAATCAATTATTTTTTTTAAGCCCAGAATGTACGTATGAACCTTTCCCTCAACCAATCAACATTTACTTACTTCTGCTGTATGCTAGACACTGTCCCAGTCTTTGAGAAAATTTAAAAAATTGTTTTCAAGGATAGACAAATACCTATGAATCATATTGTTGTGAGATAAATTAAATGACAGAACTCTGCACAGACCCAAAAGAGGAGCATCTATCATGCTCGGTTTAGTCACAGAAGACTTTCAAATGAAGTAAGCCTCAAGCTGAGTCTTAAAACAAGTCACTCAAATTTGAGAAATGCAGGGCCTCTTCTTTTAAGAGGGTTTAGTCTGTTCATGAGCTGCTGTGTATTGATAATTCTTCCACCATTTTCCTCCATCCTAAATCAAAATATCCTCTACTATAGCAGTCTATGTTATATTTAGATATTTAGTTTGCAAATAGTGATTCAGTTCTACCAAAACATTTGTCACATTAAATGAATGTTGTTAATTTAGAATTAACAGGTTTCATAGTTTTTATATTTAATTTGTAAGTTTTTTTGCTTTTATAAGACTAATAAAAGAAATATATACCTAATTTTGTGTATATACATAGTTAAGTAATGCTTTTATATAATTAATTCAAGTTAACACCAGAACTTTATTTTCTTTAGGGGAAATCTCTTCATTGCTCATCTTGAGAAACACTGGGAGTCATCACTGACTACTTCCTCTAACCCTCACCTCCTAACCTTCCATCCTCAGGAGATAAACAATCACCAAGTCATGTTGATTGAGCATCATAAATATTTCTTCTTCTCCACTCCATCTTCACTACCTCCACCTTAGTTGAGTCTCTTCAATGGTTTTTCATCAGAAGATCTATCTACAAGATCAGATCCAAGCTCCTTCATATTGGGTCTCTGTACTCTGTGTTCTGATCTTCACTTGCCACAAGTGTGTCATTGCACAGCAAGCTGTCTCTGTTTTTTTCTCATAAATGCATGAGTTTCATAAAAATGCATGGCCCCCAACACAACTGTCATAAACACAGATGCATACACGGGCAATGAAATATGATGGCAGAACTTAGTTGTGAAGTGGTCAGCCTGATGACCTAGAATATACCTGCATCACATTTTTAAAATTATCATCAAAATAAGAAACACAACATTTTGGCCAGGCACAGTGGCTCATGCCTGTAATCCCAGCACTTTGGGAGGCCAAGGTGGGCGGATCACAAGGTCAGGAGTTCAAGACCAGCCTGGCCAATATAGTGAAACCCCATCTCTACTAAAAATACAAAAATTAGCCGGACGTGGTGGCAGGCACCTGTAGTCCCAGCTACTCGGGAGGCTAAGGCAGGAGAATCGCTTGAACTTGGGAAGCAGAGATTGCAGGTTTTAAAATTCTCACAGGTAACTCATGAACAATGCCCTCTGCCCTTCTGAGTAAATCCTAAGCAAATGCATGGCACAGTACTCTCAACCCAGGCTGCACCCATGAAGAGGAGATCCTCAGTTAAAAGTTCTAATGGCCAATAATACTGGCTACTAGGCAATTATTCGAGAGGATTTAACCCAAAAATAGGAGCATTAAATCAAGAAACTATACAGGCTAAGGAAGAGGTATTATTAAGCAGAACAAGCTAAGATGTTTTATTAATCTTAAAGTCTTGACGATAATTATAAGGAGGTCAATAACTCAAAGTATTCGATGTGCTGCCTTTGCCCATTCTCTGCCAGAGTGCCCCAACTTGTTAACCTACACAATTGTTTCAGAATGCCACTGTTATTCCTACATGCTGCTGATAGAATGTAGTCCTTCAAATCTATAACAGTTAGGTAATCTGCTTTTTTAAAGGAAAGTGCCAAATCTATTGGTGTGTTGATAATTTGGTAATGAGATAAGTTGCTGAACAAGATAGATTCATTCATTCGTTCATCAAATATTCATCAAGTGACAATTACATGGCACTGGGAACGCAATAGTGAACAAGAAAAAGTCCCTGCCATCATTGCATGTACATTCAATGGTGACAGATGGTTTAATAAATAAGCAAATTTAATAAATCAGCAAATAAATAAGGAAATAAGATCCAATGTAAAAAGTACTATAGAAAAAATAAGCCAGGGTAAAAAAAAAGAGAGCAACTGGAGGTGGTTATTTTTGCTAGTCATTTCTAGGGATTTTCAGATCAATAGGCACTTTTCCTCTTTGCATCTAGGGGTCTGTACTAAAAATTTCAAGCTTCCTTTCCTAACTGCCATCCAGATGTTAAGAGATTGAGGCTCAGGTGGGTGCTGTGGCTCATGCCTGTAATCCCAGCACTTTGAGAGGCCGAGGCGGGTGGATCATGAGGTCAGGAGTTTGAGACCAGCTGGCCAACATGGTGAAACTGTCTCTACTAAAAATACAAAAAAATTAGGGGGGAATGGTGGTGGGTGCCTGTCATCCCAGCTACTTGGGAGGCTGAGGCAGGAGAATCTCTTGAACCAAGGAGGCAGGGTTTGCAGTGAGCCAAGATCGCGCCCCTGCACTCCAGTCTGGGTGACAGAGTGAGACTCCATCTCAAGTAAAAAAAAAAAAAAAAAAGAGATTGAGGCTCAAGCTTAGTGTCTGATCTACTTGTTGTCCCTCAGACCACATGAAAATGATTGACAAATATTTCAGTTCTGCAGGGTTACTGAAAACAAACAAAACAATTCCAGGCACCTGTTATTTAAACAGAAAGAAACTCAAAGACTCTTTTGTTTTATTCATATTAAAAAGCTTCTCGTTACAACAGGTCTACCATGCCAATTAAACAAAATATGGTCTCAACTATGGGGGTCACATCTCATCAACAGTGGTTGAAATTTGAGGATCCAGCCTGTGGGATATGATCAAAAGTCATCTGAGTGTGATGAGACATTCAGCTCTAACATCTCTAACCCTGGCAGCTCCAACTCTTTCCAGGACACCAACAAACTCCCCAGGTGTAGCAGATGCCACGTGGTCAACACAGCCTCTTAAAGTCCTTCCAGTGGAATGTTGCTAGGTTCTGGCTGCTTATGAACTGATTAGAGTTCCTCTAATTTATAGTTTTGTACCTCTTGAAAACCCTTATTAACAGTAGGCATTTTGGCCGGGCACTATGGCTCATGCCTGTAATCCCAGCACTTTGGAGGCCAAGGCAGGTGGATCACTTGAGGTCAAGAGTTCGAGACCAGCCTGGCCAACATGGTAAAACCCCATCCCTACTAAAAATACAAATATTAGCCAGGTGCGGTATCATGCGCCTGTAGTCCCAGCTACTCAGGAGGCTGAGGCAGGAGAATGGCTTGAACCTGGGAGGTGGAGGTTGCAGTGAGCCAAGATCACGCCACTGCACTCTAGCCTGGGCGACAGAGTGAGACTTTGACTCAGAAAAAAAAAAAAAAAGAAGAAGTAGGCATTTTAAGGGCTACTCAGGGGTAATAAAAATATCCGGTTAGAAGATTTGAACTAATATCTATGAAACTTATATATCTAAAGCAGTGTTTCTCAAAGTTTGGCCTCCAAACCAGCAGCATAGTACCACCTGAGAACTTGTTAGAAAAGCAAATTATAAGACCCCACCCCACACATACTGAATCAGAAATTATGGGGGTGAGGCCCAGCAATCTGTATTCAACAAGGTTATTCTGACGCACACTAAAGTTTGAGAGCCCACTGATCAAAGGCATCCTAAAAAGACACTGTCAATATTATGAAGGAGAAGCATAGTAGTAAACAGTCTGATGGATAATGCACCTAAAAATTCCAAGAACATGGCAAGCTGATGGAAAAAGCAAATCATTTAACTTTGGTTTTTTCCTTTTCTAAGAATTGGGTGCTGGTAACACATGGAACCATTTAGTTCTCTGGTTTAAGAAGCTGGCCAGAATCTGGGTCCAGATCTGGACAGAAGACAGGGATGTTGGAGAGGCCAAAGAAGAAACTATAAAAGTTCCATAACACCAGCAGATCTTAATATTTTATGGTAGAACTGGGCATTTTCATGCTCCACCCCATACCATGGCACATTAAAAACATGCCCTTCTGCTTTAAGCACAATCCCACCCTGCTTGTAAATTATTTTTTTGACCCTAAATATGGCACACATTTAAAAAGACATCATTGCAGTTTATGGATCTGTGTTTTTTTGCAAATGCAGGGGCCATTAATTGCATTCACAGCTGTGGTCTTCCCCATGCTATATGCATTAGGCTGCCAGTAATGCATTCTCTGTGAGAGCCAAGAAGAAAAGCCTCCTGTGTCCCTCTTATGGAGTGGCTTCCTTAAGCTCTCAGGCCCAAGCAGCACAGAAATCTAGCCCCTTGATATTTTGTCAATAAAAATGGGAAAAAAAACCTAACAAATAAAAAATAAGAAATTACATTCTCCAAAATAACTGTCATTACCAACTAAAATAGATGATGCACTTGGAAGAGAAATACAGAACTTACAATCAAGCAAACTTGTGGCCCCAATTTCCAAACCCTGGACTAAACTACAAGAAAAGTCCCTTTCCAGGCTAATTTCAAAGATGAATAAAGAACTGGATTCAACAGCCTCAGGGACTTGAGAACTCAAATGGCAGGCAAAATGATAAAGACAATGAAATTCATCTTTGGTGCTCCATCTTACCCCCATTTCTGTAACCCTCTCCCACCTCCAGGTAACCCTTCCTCAACACCCACATCCAATCTGTCAAATTACTTCACCTGTGCAATGTCTCACTCATCACCTTGACCCAAATGTCTAAGGCTGTGTAAAAACAGCATTGTCAGATTTCATAAATGTGCAATGATGACTCAAACTGAAAAGAGACATTCTGTCACAAGGAAAACAGAGCTTGTCAAATAAACTCATATTAAGATTAGGTAGCTCTCAAATTACAGGTTAGAGAGCTTTATTTTTAGACATAAGTTTTATATTTTGTATTTTATCTCAAAAACTAAATTTTAATAAATGGTACTTCATTTTAAAAACCAGGATTAATATTCATCATGAATCCATTAAAATGTATATTTGTCAATAATTAAGACCATTTCTGTTCTTCAAGAATTTTCACTTTTGGACTCTATTCTACTTTCTCTTGAGATTGAATAGCTTTTTTTTTTTTTTTTTTTGCCCGTAAAACACTTCATTCTTTTGCCATGTCCAAAATAAACCAATGTATATGTCTTTTACATTCAAATACCAGTCACTTAGGAGTTGGTAAAATTTGGTGCACTGCCTTCAGTAAAGTCAGAGAGGTTCTCAACAATGCTTAAATGTCTATCACTGGATAGTCTACTTCTAGGAGTCAAGTTCCCAAGCTTTCTTTGAACTTTGGTTTTCTCTCATCTCTTCTTTTTTCTTTCTCTGTTTCTCCCTGACAGCAAAAGGTCTAAGGAAAATAAACTAGATGTGAAAATATTTACAGGGTGTAGCTCAGAGAATTTCCACCTTGGACTCCCCACTTGAAGGAAAGTGTGACATTCAGGACTTTCATTTCCTGGTTTCATTTTCCCCTTGGCCATGTGTGGAAGGTGCGCTTGGTTTTCTCTTCTTTGTCATCTTGGTGAGGACCGAACAAACCACTCTATATGGTAACCTCCATGCTGCCTAAGGAGAAGGAGACGGATCAGCATGTGAGGACACGCTAGAACAGTGTGCCCCCAGCAACCCTGCAGGGAAGAACAGACACTGCAAAGTCAACAGCAGCAACCCAACCTGCCTTGGCTGTCCCTTGTCCCTCAGAATTATACCCTCAGATAAATGTATATAGGGAGGGAGTGAAGCCCCTTGGACAGAACTCACCCACAGCAAGTCAGTTGATGTGGCCCTGCTCTAGAAGGGAAAGAACCTAGTAGGAGAAACGCCTCCCAGCAATGGGGCTTCCCAGCCTGCAGTGGAGAGTGGGTGGGGACAGCACGGTGCCCAGTTCTGTCAGTAACTGGTAGTTTTCCATTAGACAACACAAGGCCCTCCCCAAAGCTGCCCAGTGGTGTTCAATCCAGTATGCCAGAAAAGTAACAGTATTACAATTCAGCTGTTACAAAGGACAACAAGGACAACAGCACAACTTTCTGGGAAGGAAAGACTCCTTTATGGAGAAAAAAGAGGGAGGTACAAAGACATTAACTCTAAATAAATCAAAGAATCTAGGAGGAACAGTTCAGGAAATTTGGAATGATAACTAGAAAACTAAGAACTATGAAAGAATAGGAAACTATACAAGATATGCTGTAATTACGACTTTTTAAAAGAGAAGGCTAAGAAACGAATGAGTATGTTTAGGTCTTTGAGAGCTATTTTACAATTCATTGAAAAAATTAAGAAGGCATAGGTAAAGAA
The DNA here is from genome assembly GCF_000001405.40 of Homo sapiens. NCBI lineage: Eukaryota > Metazoa > Chordata > Mammalia > Primates > Hominidae > Homo > Homo sapiens. Next base: position 30,856,265 of record NC_000014.9, read on the forward strand.
TGAAAGGTTTAGGAGGTTATATAGTGAAAAGAACTTACAATGCATGTTGATACACATCAAAAAGAGTTATGGAGTAGTTGTGGAGTTTAATTATTTGGAGAAGTATAAAAAGTAGATTTTATTTATTTATTTATATTTTATTTTATTTTTTGAGATAGAGTCTCACTCTGTTGCCCAGGCTGGAGTGCAGCGGTGCAATCTCAGCTCACTGCAACCTCCGCCTCCCGGGTTCAAGCAATTCTCCTGCCTCAGCCTCCTGAGTAGCTGGGATTACAGGCGCCCACCACCATGCCCAGCTAATTTTTGTATTTTTAGTAGAGATGGGATTTCACCATGTTGGCCAGGCTGGTTTCAAACTCCTGATCTCAAGTGATCCACCCGCCTCGGCCTCCCAAAGCGTTAGGATTACAGGTGTGAGCCACCGCGCCCAGCCAGAAAAAGTGGATTTTTGTTTGTTTGTTTGTTTGTTTGGAGACGGCATCTCGCTCTGTCACCCAGGCTGGAGTGCAGTGTCACAATCTCAGCTCACTGCAAGCTCCGCCTCCCGGGTTCACACCATTCTCCTGCCTCAGCCTCCCAAGTAGCTGGGACTATGGGTGCCCACCACCATGTCTGGCTAATTTTTTTGTATTTTTAGTAGAGACGGGGTTTCACCATATTAGCCAGGACGGTCTCGATCTCCTGACCTCGTGATCCGCCCGCCTCGGCCTCCCAAAGAGCTGGAATTACAGGCGTGAGCCACCACGCCCAGCCCAGAAAAAGTGGATTTTAAAAATCAATTTTGTATGGCTGTTTGTCTAGCACTTTATAGTTGTCTGTCCTGACTACTTTGTAGGGTTGTTACAAGTCTCAAATAAGATAATATACCTGGACCAGGTTGGAAAAGAGCTCCTCTAGTTCTTTCCATTCAGCAGAATTTGTTGAATGAATGCTCCCCACACTCAACTAGGTTATAACTGGCATCTAGTCTAACCTCCATGACAACTCTGTGAGGTTGGTAGGAGACATCATAGTATTCTGTTTCACACTAAGGCTCACAGAAGCCAAGGGGTTGTCCTGTGTCACAGTCCTAGGTCACCTCTGAGATGGTGTGAAGCATAAACTCCCTGTAAAAGAATTTTTGAAAGTTATTACTGCTGGTTCCCACTTCAGAAAGTTCATTCACAATATACTTCCTTATAATAAGGTTGGGTAAGGAAAGAAACCTAACTCTTATCTAGTCCATTCACTAGGAAGAATGGGTATATCCTGTGACATCTTCCTAGCTTCTGAGAATCTGGGCACTTGTTAGATTTGGGAATCAGTGCTCAAGTGTTTTCCTAGAACCACTCTCAACCAACAGAGCTGATAATGAAAACACAGTGTGTTGCATTGATCACACTGAAACAAAAACTGCCTTTCACCACGACAGATAGTTGAAATGAAGTATTTTCTGAATAAATATTTTTGGTTTGCTAAGTCACAGTCAGCTTTCATATTATGCATCAAAACAGAAAGCCTCTTCCAAGTTTTTTTTTAAATTGCAGCTATTTTGTAAACAAAACATTAAGCAAGCATGAACTTGAATATCTCAGAACATCAGACCTGGGACCAAGCTTTGATGATTGATTCTAAATCCATTTGTTATAATTAATAAAAGTAATATCAATGATATAACTAGAATTTCTTGAATAATAGTTAACTCTAGATTATTCAGCTTTTGATTATTTGGGCTGTAAGCAACTTCCACCCAAGACCATGGAAGACAGCAAAGAAAACCAAAGTTATTTAATCATTCAAGTAGATCGCATCAACAGCTCTGGGTAAAAATGCAGGAAGAGTAAAGGAAGCAGATAGTGGAGGAAAGGTGCTGACATTGCTATGGACCAGACATTTAAATCCACTTAATCTGCATTAGTTTGCAAGATAGATTATTTTACTCTTGTTTTAGTGAAATGGAAACTGATTCACTGCAAAATTAAGTGACATGTCCAAGATCATAAATAAGAGAGGAAGCCAAGATTTGAATCCAGATATCTCAAATTTCCAAAGTTCGAATGACCAGAGTGCATAAGCTTGCACCTACCTACTTCTCCCAGTTTATTTTCCTCCTCCTCACTCACATACTCCAGCTTCAGTTACTATAGCAGAATAAGTTCTTTCCTTCAGGATAAGTAACCTCGTTTTCTTTTGCTGAGAAAACTCTTATTCCCACTCTACCTAGCTGGCTTTTTCTCATCTTTCAGTTTTCAGCATAAACATCATTCCTTCAGAAAGTGGTGCCTTGCATTAGGCTGTTGGTGCATTGCTATAACGGAATACTTGAGATCGGGTGATTTATAAGAATAGAGGGCTGGGCGCGGTGGCTCACGCCTGTAATCCCAGCACTTTGGGAGGCCAAGATGGGTGGATCAGGAGGTCAGGAGATCGAGACCATCCTGGCTAACACGGTGAAACCCCGTCTCTACTAAAAATACAAAAAATTATCTGGGCGTGGTGGCGGGCGCCTATAGTCCCAGCTACTTGGGAGGCTGAGGCAGGAGAATGGCGTGAACCCCGGGGGGCGGAGCTTGCAGTGAGCCGAGATTGCGCCACTGCACTCCAGCCTGGGTGACAGAGCGAGAATCCGTCTCAAAAAAAAAAAAAAAAAAAGAATAGAGGTTTAATTGGCTCACGATTCTACAGGCTGTACAGGGAGTATAGTGCCAACATCTGCTTCGTTTCTGGGGAGGCCTTAGGAAGCTTACAATCGTGGTAGAAGGTGAAGCGGGAGCAGACACTTTACGTGGTGAAAGCAAGAGCAAGACAGGGGAGGTGCCACACACTTTTAAAACAACCACATCTCATGAGAACTCACTCTCTCGAGGACAGCAGCAAGAGTATGGTGCTAAACCATTCATAAGAAATCTACCCTCATAATCCAATCACTTCCCACCAGACCGCACCTCCAATACTGGGGATTATAATTCCAGATGAGACTTAGGCAGGGATGAATATCCAACTATATCATGCCCCAGTCCAAAACACGCCCCCCGGTGTATGTCTTCACAGCACTGAGTTATTTTCCTTTTCGTTCCGTCATGTTTCATAATTATATATTTAATTGTGTTTCCTCCCCAACTAAACTACAAGCTTCAGGAGTATGGTGATCACATTTGTTTGTTCTTTATTTGATATCTGGGACTAGCATAGTGCCCAACAGGTAGACTGCATTCAATAAATATTTTTGAATAATTGAGAAAAGTGAGATATGGAAATTGTCTAAAAATATCCATTACCTAAGATGCCCCCAATTCTAGTTTATCTAATAAGGTTAAGTTAGCCAAGGTGGCAGAGGACTGTCTCTTCAGGCCTTATTGGTATGTCAAAATGAGATATTGGCAACGAGAAAGGAGACTATTACTCACTTTCTCTTAAAGCCGCTAATCAAGATACACATGAGAAGGTCATGGAAAACCTTAGGGTCCTGAAGCCCCTCACCCTGCTAGGAAACCAGCATTGTCTTGGTGAGCATTACTGTCACAGTCATCACAGTGTGTCTGTTCTGTGTTATCAAAAGTCTGGTGAAACTATGTGCCAGTCTCATTATCAACTCTTGGATATTAATGACTACAAAGTAATCCTGGTTAATCTTTTCAGGTCTGTTATTTAATGTTGTTCCTGACTTTAATTGTGGGCTTTAACTTACAACAAAATTTGCTTAGATAACTTCCCCGGGGGTGAAACGTTAATGCATTCTAGTTAAGCAAAGATTGAACTGCAGGTTAAAATACTTCAGTTCTCATTCAGTTCTGCTACCACCCAGTTATGTGCACTTGGAGGGCAAATAATTTTAACTCCTCTAATTTAACTGTTTTTACTTTCCCATTTGTAAAATTGTGATAACCACTTTGACAGACCTACAGCTGGTCTGAGGGCTTGATCCTCAGACATCCTCAAAGACATCCAGGTGACTGACCCTTGTGCTAATTCTGCAGCCCTAAGATCAGAAAAGGATGTGGACCAGACTGTGCTAGCCTGGGGAGAATGAAGGTGTTAAAAGATGGTTTGCTGATGCCTGGGTGCATGGTATTATCCACTCTCCATGGTCATATTGTGTAACATCAAGATTGACGAGGTGCTGCCTGGCATAGATCTGATCATAAAGATGCAGGTGGGCTTTGGAGGCAGTGGGGACATTTTGCCCACTGATCAGTGAAACTTTCCAGAAGTTCCAATGTGATCCTCACTCAATCAGACTTAATTATACACAATGATGTTGAAGCCCTTTTGGGGCACCCAGATGTTTATACATTGTGTCTGTTATTGGAGACATTGCTGATCTCTCTACTGTATATGCTGATAGTGCCCTTTCATTTGTGTGCTTTAGATAAATACATATCCACTTATTTCCCAGGTAGTATCTGTGTCTGGCCTCTATACTGGTCAGAACTCACTGTTGACACTTAACAGTATGATGGTAGCATAGCAAATGTGCTTTGAAGAAATAAAAAGTATTCCACAGATATGAATTATCATCACCAACTGCTTAGGAAGCCGATTTTTTTGAGACAGGGTCTTGCTGTGTCACCCAGGCTGGAGTGCAGTGGCGTAAACATGGCTCACTGCGGCTTCAACTTCCTGGGGTCAAGCAATCCTCCTCCCTCAGCCTCCCAAGTAGCTGGGACAACAGGTGCTTCCCCACCATACCCAGCTAATTTTTAGTTTTTTGTAGAGACAGAGTCTCCCTGTGTTGCCAAGGCTAGAAAATTAACTTAAAACTCTATATTCATCAGAACATTTTATGATGAAAATAACAGAAAATTGAATTCAAACCGGCTTAAATAATAGTGAGAATTCACCGGTTTTTGTAACTGAAAAGTCTCGGTAAGGTAAGTGTCAGGCATTGTTCACTGACGGCTCTGGCTCACTTCTCTGCAATTCTCTTCACTCTGTCCTGCTCCATATGTTGGCTTACCCTCACGCTGGCATCCTCATTGCTGCAAGATGGCTGCCAGCAGCTACCAGGGCTATGCAATTTCTCCTTTAAATCCAGGGAAGAGAAAATGTGACTTCTCACAGTGAACAAGAGTTCTCAGCTTTGGAGACCATTGAACTATGTGATAGAGTGTAGAACTGGAGAGACTGAATGGAGAGATGTTTCATAACAGGAAAGGGGGAAATGAATGTTGCAAAGACAACCACAATGTCCACCATGGTGGCACAATATATGCTTAGTGAATGACAGTGCATTCCAAAGTTGTTGTTTCAAGAAAATAAAATATCTATGAAGACATATTGAATTCTGAGGTTTCTAGGATCCTAATAAGCCCAGATGGCAGGGCACAACTGTGGTGAAGGGGCTAGCAGAGACCCTCTGAATACTCAACAGAAATCCCAAAGTGTAAGTCTGCCCAAGAGGGATCTCCACTGTCCCCTGGGGGCACCTTGGAGTTTGAGCACACCCTGGGTACTCCAGATGTGAGAATCAAGACGTAGTTCTTCCCTCCAATTCCGACAGCTCTGGAATCAAATGGAGAAGCAGAAGAACAATCTGCCACTGCTGGGCAAATTTTAAATGGTGAAAAATTCCTCTCCCTACTTTTCCAAGAAAATCTACAAACACTCCGTCGGTACCACTGAAAAACCAAAAGAAACACTGACACACATGGGTCTTTACTTAGAAAGTAAAAAGCCCCAAAGCAAAACATCTTCAGATTATTTCCTTAATAAAGCACTGGGTTGGATGTTGGGGCTCCTTTAAGTGTAAAGAATTGAAATCTACACAAGGTTCTTCAGCAAGAAAAGGGAAATTATTGGATGAATACTAAGTATCTCACCAGCAGAAGTATAGCCAGCCTCAGGAGGGACCGGATTCACTTGTCCACGAAGTGAATGCCCAGCGGCTTTAGTCTTCCCTCTGTCAAGGCTAGCTTTCCTGGCTTAATTTGTTTGTTCAAGAGCCAAACAAATGCTGAGTAGTTCCTATATGCCGATTTCAAATTCCTGGAAAAGCCTGCCTCTAGGGCCAGATGTCCATTCCTCAGCCAGTCAGCTAGGGCCGGGCGCAATCATTAGGTTGGTCTGCTGCACTCTCGGGAGGGTTGTTCAGCAGTCTCTGAGAGGAGGAGTGTGCAGGAAGGTCAAAATGACCAGTGTGCCTGTGGTAGACTTGTCAGTTTTTCCCTCACCTATCAAGTGCAGTCAGTATTACATAACTTCATAAAAACATCACAGACACAGAAACCAGTAGAGGAACATGGCCTTGGTCTGGACAACCAGTCTCTCAGCTTGACCTTATTCAAACTTTTTGGCCAGGCGTGGTGGCTCACGCCTGTAATCCCAGCACTTTGGGAGTCTGAGGTGGGCGGATCATAAGGTCAGGAGTTTGAGATCAGCCTGGCCAACATGGTGAAATCCCGTCTCTACTAAAAATACAAAAATTAGCTGGGCATGGTGGCGGGAGCCTGTAATCCCAGCTACTCAGGTGGCTGAGGCAGGAGAATTGCTTGAACCCGGTAGGCAGAGGTCGCAGTGAGCCAAGATCAGGACACTGAACTCCAGCCTAGGGACCGAGCAAGACTCTGTTTCAAAAAACAAAACCAAAAAAAAAAAACAAAAACCCTTTTTATGTATCCTTTGTACATCACAATTTCTTAGGGTTGCATTTTTTAATCTGTCAAAGATATTTATACTTGTCATTGTAACGCATAGGATTACAGAAAGGATAAAGAGATAATAGATGTGATAGTATTTTTAAATATTACAATGATGTTATTTATACTCTGCACACAATAAAGCACCTCTTCTGAATTCTAACTCAAATCCACTCTTTCTGTGGAAATACTTGTGAGTTCAAGGATCATCAGTAAAAACATCCATTTTGGATTAATTCTCCTAGGTGGATATAGATCCTTTGTCTACCATGTAACATAAGCGGTCATAAATGGTCAAAACTGCCATTTTGGATTAATTCTCCTAGGTAAATACAGATCTTATGTCTACCATTTGCAGTAGATGTATCACAAATTACATGGTGATATAGCATACACAAAGCAGGCACTGGAGAGGAGAGCTACAAAGATTAAAGAAAGGCAGAAAAATAGAAACAAAACAAAACAAAAAAACCAGCAAAGACAAAGTAAAAACAGGAAGGAAACCTCACCCTCAAGAAGACAAAAATAGGTAAGTTAACAATAGTCTGCAATTATATGTATTCCCTGTTCACAAAGGACAAAAAGAGTGAAAACAGGCTGCAAATGAGGAATTTGGCTTACGTATAAGAGAAAATTTTCTGGGAATGAGGGCTGCTAAGCATCCTCTACTAACAAAAGTATTCAGTTACTCCTTCCTATGCAGCAGATGATGTATTCATTGACAGCAGGATTTTGTTGTATTCATCCTTGTTTCTACACCGTCCAGCATGGCACCTGCCCCTGTAGCCACTCAGTTAATATTGTTGAGGACACAAATGTTCAAAGACTGAGAAGGAAGCACTACAGGGCAGTCATTCTTGTTCCTTCTCCCATCAAGAAGCCAGTTCCTTGGTACCATGCAAGAAAAGGGGAACATTTCATTTACCCTTCTCTCTTTTCATACAAAACATACCAAGCATGAGAATGTCCTTGTTTTTCTGGATCTAGAGGTGATCCCCAAATAGCAAATGTCCCTCTACATTATTATCTTTTTAGAGTAGCTGAATGCAAAAAGCCCATCATCAACCAAAAACCTCCTGCACTTGCTTTATGTCTCATGATCTGTTCACAAAACTCAGGTCCAAATTTGTCAATAAACAGCAGTCCTTGCTGCTATGTTCAGGAAAGTGATTGAGCATTCAGGCTGTGTTGTATACTAATAAGTGCCCAGAAACGGACTAGTTCTGATCTTGCCAGTAACTGGCTATACAGTCTTAGGCACCACACTCAGAATCTCCTGATTTGTTTCTCATCGCAAAATGGGACAATTAACAAGGTGCTCTCAATTCCATCACTCCAAGGTCCCAAATGGGGCACCAGGATCTTTAAGAGGTACTGTAATTAGAAAAAAAGTTATTGCTCAGAGGGAAGATAAAAGCAAAAGCAGTATCTCTTACATTTGTAACTTCCATATTTTTAGCGACTTCTGCGTCCATTTAAAGTCTAACTAAGTCTTATTCATTGTCTAAGGTGAAATGTTTTTGTCTTTGGGGGACTTAACTCCATCTTCTTTATCCCCATTACAATGAGGCAAAAATGGCAACACCACCAGCCTGGGCAATATAGGGAGACCCCCATCTCTACAAAAAATAAAATAAAGAAATAAGTAAAAAAGAAAAATAGCAACACCAAAATGCATTTAAAAAGTAAAAAATAAGAAGTTAACTTCACTATCAAAATGACTTAAAGAAGTCGATGAAAAAACAAATAAACACACTAAACAGCAAAATTACAGTCTGTCAAATACAGTAATGTGTGAGGAACACACCATGGTTGAATTAAACTCAATTACTAGCAGGTCCAAGCAAACAGATGTCACTGAGTATAGAAATGATCATCTCAATTATGCCTCAATCCAAAACAAATTTTTTAGATGGAAGGGAACCATATTGCTCCAAAGAACAAACAGAAACATCAAAACTTTCTTTAGCTTTTGTAGGAATAAATTCACCTAGCAAATTTTTTTTAATCTTAAACTTCTTCTGCCTAAAGGATTCAAAATCAATAGAATAATCTAAAGCAGTCCTTCCTAACTCATTCCCCAAGCTCTAATGCCTTAAGGCATCTATTGTTGGTAATGAACTAATTTCTCTCTTTTGCATCTAGAGTGGTACTTGTCATGTACCATCCTTGAGAGAACTGAGAAAGTAGCCACTTAAATACTTTTCTGGAAGCCCAGTTCAGGAAGGCCGACTTAACAAATTCAGTACTCAGCACTTACAATTCACCTCTTCTCAGTAGTTCGTGGTTCTTATAAACCACAAAATATGGCATGCTGACATAAATGGAGTCGGTGTCTGCCTCTATAGATTTATCAAATAGTCTTATTGAATTTCCTTAAACTTAAAATTATACACGAATGTGTATCTTTGTCATTTAGTTTTTGCTGGATTTTTTTGTAACTTGTCCGAAACTGGCTGACTTCCATAATAATACCTGAAGCAATGATTATACCAATCAAAAAAAGTAAATTATTTATTTTAAGTATTGTTACTCTGAAACTGCTTTCATGATGGAAATTAAATTATTGATTCAGGCTGGGTACAGTGGCTCATGCCTGTAATCCCAGAGCTTTGCGATGTGGAGATGGGAAGATCACTTAAGGCCAGGGGTTCAAGATCAGCCTGGTCAACATAGCAAGACCCAGTCTCTCCAAAAACAAAAACAAAAACATATATATATATAACCATTTTACAACCAACCCCCAATAAAATAATAGATCAAGGCAATAATTTAGTAATGGTTGAAAGCATCACAAAAGGAAAGATTTTTCAATACCCTCTGATGTTTCAAAAGTATAAACTGCCACCTATAGAGCCGTCTACACACATGTGAAACAAAATTATTTAAATCTTAACACTATTGAACTGTTTATTCAAAGTTGGGTAAGATGGTAAATTCAATATTATATGTTTTTTACCACAATTTTTAAAAAATGACCTGAATCTGATCAAACCTCTGTAGCTAACTCCAAATTTATAAGAAATTCAGGGGACAGAGAAACATGTTCATTGACACTATGGAGATATAATCAGCAAAATACAGACCATGAAGAAAGTTACAGAAAATGACCTAGATTTTTCAATAAAAACCAAAGAAAGAAAATTTTTAAAAGAGATGAAGAGAAATCCTATACATATCAAGAGACTTAAGAGAAACATCAATTATAATGCAGACATTATTTGATCTTGATTCAGCAAAATACCAATTTAATAACAAAATTTATAAGACAATTGAAGTAATATAAACCCTGAGTAGCTATGATACTAAGGAATTAGTAAATTTTAGGTATGATAATCGTAATATGGTTATATTTAAAGAGAATCCTTGCCTTGGACAAAAATCTTTAGTGATTAATGATTGTATTGTCTGGAGTTCCTTGAAAACAATCGGGGTAAGGGCACAAAAGAAACAAAAATGCCATAAACGATCATTGTTTCAAGTTGAGTGATATATAAAAAGGAGTACACTATACTATTTTATCCGCTTTTTGCATATGTCTGAAAATTTCCACAACAAAATATTTGTTTTTGTTTTTTAAAAAGGAAGAAATTGGGCCTAGTGCATAATTTGAATTAGCTTTGGTCCTAACAGCTTTATAACAATTTTTAAAACTATTGATCTTAAATAGCTCAATCTAAAGACAGCTGAAACTTGTGCTTTTCTTCTGCCATCCATGAAAATGATTTTTAGTACCAATTAAGTTTCAAATAATTGTGGCTTTTAGGGTAATATAAAGTTCAGCGCATCTCATTGCTACAAATGTCATACTTGGCACAACATTACTATTCAATTTGTTCTTTCATGTGAAATGTTGGCCAAGCAATTTAGATAAATTTAATTTCATTTTAAAATTTCTAAAGACATTGTTCAAATTTTCACTCATGCTTTCTGCTTTCAAGGGTGAAGAAATGGCCCAATAAAAATGTTTATCTTCTATAAAACCATTGTTAGGACAATGTCCACACATTGCCTTGAGCGCTTTATATATGTTCCAAATAAGTATTTCTTTTTATAACTCAGTTCCAGAAAAAAAAAAGTTGGTCTTTCCTGAGAGGGATAAATCCTTTTAATCATGCAATAAATAGTATAATAAATTTTCTTTATTTACCTAGTCTTCTAGGAATTCAAAGTTGAATTTAATTATTACTCTGTTTTTTAATGTTTCTCCTTCCTTTTTATGTAATTTAGTTATTTTTTTAGATTTTTATATGAATTATTTAGTGTAAAGATGTATTCTTTTAGAATTAGGAATAATATGTGTCATTGATTCTAAGATGCACATATTAAATATGTCTTGTAATCAGCGTAGTTTTTCCAAAGCATTTTTTCTTACTTAAAATTACATTAACAATGATGTGTCATATTTTATTGTAGCTTGGATTTGACATAATATTAAAATATCTTCAACAATTACTACAGTTTCATGGAAGAACTCAAGGGCCACACATGCTTAGAAGATCTCACCAACCATTCTTCACTCCGGGATTTTTTGAATTTTTCCAATTCTTATAGCACTTGTCATTTCTATCACCTTCTTGCATTTATTCAAACTTTTCCTTGTGGCTTTATTTGACTATAAAGAGGGAAAGCACAGTATGACCTGGTGGTTAAGAACAAGGGCTTTAGAGACCGAAATTTGAATTGTGGCTCTACTTTTAGCTGTGTGACTTAGGACAATCCCTTAATCAATCTGGACATCAGTATCTTCATTTATGAAATCACGATGATATCCATCTTGTAGGTATGTTGCAAACATTCAATTAGAACATGTATAAAGAACATGGCACAGTGTCCGGATCATTATTATTATTAGCACTTTGATTACACCTCTGCCAAGAGCCACATGGACAACATGGTGGCCCAAATCTCACTGTGAGAAAAAATAAGCCATCAGCAGAAAACCCCAGGACTGGAAGGTGGTAGACTGTCCTCTATTTCAGTAACTGAGCATCTAGCTACTCTGTACCCTAAAGCATTGTGCAAGTTATTGGGAGTATAGAGGAACATATGGAATAGTTTCTACCTTCAAAGAGCTTATAGCCTTTTATTTTTAGCCACAAATAAAAAACCAATGGTAAATAAACAAGGGAGAAGGGACAAATCTCCCATGCAGAAGAATTCTCTATAATTTTTTTTTTTTTTTTTTGAGACAGGGTCTTCCTGTCCCCCAGACTGGAGTGCAGTGGTGCGATTATGGCTCACTGCAGCCTTGACCTCCTGGGCTCAAGCAATCCTCCTCCCTCAGCCCCCCATGTAGCAGGGACCAAAGGCACACACCACCATGCCTTGCTAATTTTTTAAATTTTTTGACCAAAAAAAATTGTAAAAATGTGAGACACAGTCTCATTTTGTTGCCGAGGCTGGTCTCAGTCTCCTGAGCCCAAGCGATCCTCTCATCTAGGCCTCTCAAAGTGCTGGGATTACAGGTGTGAGCCACCACACCTGGCCAGAATTCTCAATAGTTTATGGATATTCTGTTCTCAAAGGAGTTGAACATAATTCTCCACTCCTTAAGGGTAAGCTTCTTAAGCCCTTAACTTGGCCAGGTGTGATGGGTTACACCTGTAATCCTAGCACTTTGGGAGGCCAAGGCAGGAGGATTGCTTGAGCCCAGGAGTTTGAGACCAGCTTGAGCAGCATGGCAAAAACCCTGTCTCTATAAAATAAATACAGAAAAATTAGCTGGGGGTAGTGGCATGCGCCTGAGTCCTAGCTACTTGTGGGGCTGAGGTTGGAGGACTGCTCGAGCCCAGAAGGTCGAGGCTGCATTGAGCTGAGATTGTACCACTGTTCTCCACCTGGGCGACAGATGAGACTCTATCTCAACAAACAAACAAAAAACAGTAATAAGTCATGTCAATAGTATATACCCTTGACATGGTGTGACAAGAATGTCATTTTACCTCTGTGGTCTTTCTCCTAAAAACAATAACCCTGGTCTAATAATGAGAAAAACATCAGGCAAATCCCAATTGAAGAACATTCTACGAAACAGCAGACCAGTACTCCACAAAACTGTGAAGGTCATCAAAAACAAGGAAAATCTGAGAAAGTGTCACAGCTAAGAGGAGCCTAATGAGACACGATGACTGAATATAATATGGTATCCTGGATGAGATTCTGGAACAGAGAAAAGATATTAGGTGAAAAATAAGGAAATCGGGCAGGCACAGTGCCTCACGCCTATAATCCCAGCATTTTAGGAGGCCGAGGTAGGCGGATTACCTGAGGTCAGGAGTGCGAGACCAGCGTGGCCAACATGGTGAAACCCTGTCTTTACTAAAAATACAAAAAAAAAAAAAAAAATAGTTGGGTGTGGTGGTGCATGCCTGTAATCCCAGCTATTCAGGAGGCTGAGGCAGGAGAATTGCTTGAACCTGAGAGGTGGAGGTTGCATTGAGCCAAGATCGCACCACTGCACTCCAGCCTGGGTGACAGAGCAAGACTCCATCTCAAAAAAAAAAAAAGAAAAAAAAAAGGAAATCTGAATAAAATATGGACTTCACTTAATGATAATGTATCAGTATTGGTTTGTTAATTGTGACAACTGTACAATACTAGTATAAGATGTTAATAATGGGGAACTAGGTTTGGAAACTGTACTATCTTATTAATTTTTCTGTAAACATAAAACTTCTAAAATAAAAATCTTTAAAAAATCAATATAAGGTAGCAAATGTCAAGACAGAATGAGATTGATTCATTCATCTAACAAGTATTTCTTGAGTACATATAGTGTGCTAGACAGTTTTGTTGGGAGTAGGCGTGCAGCAATGAACAAAAGGTAGAAAGATCCTTGCCTCTGATGAGTTTACATGAGATAAATGCCAAGCCTTGCAGAACTGATTTATGTTTCCCATCACAGCTTCCTCTCTTAGGAAGGAAGTCCTAGTGGCACTCCAGTGAAAATGTGACCTCATTACTTCTTGTTAAATAAGGGACAAACATGAGCCAGGCCATAGTTTAGCAGTGAGAGGTGAATAAAAAGAGACTTTGAGTAAGAAAGGATAAGTCCTGGGACAGCTGGGAGCCAGCTGGCACAGCCAGTGTTTCCTAATGCCTCCCAAACCCTGGAAGACAGCACAGCCCCCAGAGCCTATATATACCCAGGGAGCACTTGCCAGTCACAGAATGTGACCAGAGGAAAGTCTCTTCCAATCGCTGGTCTAATCCCCTTCACTTTATAGGAGAGGAAACTGAGATCTCATAGTCACAGGGATATCTCTGAATCAACTTTTTAATTTTCACTCCTCTGAGGCTGTAGACATTTATTCTCCTGCTAGACATCATCAAAAATGGAAAGGCTAGATAAATATACTTGCTTAGCATAAGATGTGAACAACAGAAAAGAATCAGAAAAACTAGATATAGAATAAACATCAATGTGGGTTTAATAATATAGGTGATAAGAGTTCCCAAGCTGCTTCTGCTCTATAATCTATCATAGAAACTTAAAGGATACTGCAGGATAAACATACACTTCCTAAAACTGAACAAACTCACTTTAAGGCAGGGGTTCCCAACTCCCCAACCGCAGGTGGGTACCAGTCTGTGGCCTGTTGGCAACTGGGCAGCACAGCAGGAGGTGAGCAGTGAATGGGCGAGTGAGCATTACTGCCTCCTGTCAGATCAGCAGTGGCATTAGATTCTCACAGGAGCTCGAGCCCTGTTGTAAACTGCACATGCGAGGGATCTAGGTTGCACATTCTTTATGAGAATCTAATGCCTGATAATCTGAAGTGGAACAGTTTCATCTCAAAACCATCCGCCCCCCACCAACCAACCCCGTGGAAAAATTATCATCCATGGAACCAGTTCCTGGTGCCAAAAAGGTTGGGGACAGCTGCTTTGAGGCCACCATAATCGAAATAAAACCGTGTTGCTATGCATTACATTGGCTAAGTAAAAGTTTACCGGGGAGCTTAAATGGTATAGAGGATAGAACAGGACTGGATACTCCTTTAAAAGGTAAAATAAAGTAAAAAAAGACCAACAACAAAAATATGAAAACTTCAGGGGCAGATTCATACCTAGGTAACAACGGAACAGAGACAGAGCCTATATAAACTAAGAGTTTTATCTGTGTAAGCACAAGCCAAATCCCATCAGGTAACTATGCCATCCTTGAGAAACTCTTTTAGGGCCATCAGCAGCATCCTGAAGCCTGACAATGCCACCCAGGTATCAGTGTTAGAGGCAGCTTATTTCCCTAACAATGCCAGCGCATTCTGCACAAAGTCAGAAATGTGACTGTGCAGCATTCCCAGGGAAAATTACTTTTGAAATTGAGTTTTCAATCTTTTTGTTAGGGATTGTTTTTAAACAACCATCAGGCCAGAAAATGCTTCCATTTTTTATCAGGGGAATGCAGTAGGCATATTAAAGTTGGATTTTAACGAAAAGATAATGAAAGAAGAATGAAAGATTAGCAGAATTAGCTTAACCTCTAACACTGAGCACCTGGACTGCACATTAGAATCACCTGGAGAGCTTTTAAAAATTCTAATGCCCTGGCCCCAGCCCAGACCAATTATATTAAAATCTCTGGGGTGGGACCCAGGCATGAGTATTTTTAAAGCTCTCCAGGTAGTTCCAACGTGCAGCCCAGACAGGAATCCACTGCTCTACACGGAGTTCATCTAAATTTTGAATATCAAATACTTCCCACTAAAGTAGGATAAAATCAGGCGCAGTGGCTCATGCCTATAATCCCCACATTTGGGGAGGCCCAGGCGGGAGGATCACGTGAGGTGAGGAGTTTGAAATCAGCCTGGGCAAATAATGAGACTACCTCTCTACAAAAAGTAAAAAATGAGCCAGTCATAGTGGTGTGTACCTGTAGACCCAGCTACTCAGGAGGGTGAGGTGGGAGGATCTCTTGAACATAGGAGTTTGAGGCCGCAGTGAGCTTTGATTGTGCCACTACACTCCAGCCTGGATGACAGAGTGAGAATAAGTCTCTAATAATAGTAATTAATAACAATATAATAAGATTAAATTAAATTAAAAATTAACAAATAATGAGGCCGGGCCTCACGCCTGTAATCCCAGCACTTTGGGAGGCCAAGGCAGGTGGATCACCTGAGGTCAGGAGTTGGAGACCAGCCTTGCCAACATAGTGAAACCCCATCTCTACTAAAAATACAAAATTAGCCAGTTGTGGTGGCACGTGCCTGTAATCCCAGCTACTCAGGAGGAGGCTGAGGCACGAGAATTGCTTGAACCTGGGAGGCAGAGGTAGGAGTGAGCCGAGATAGCGCCATTGCACCCCAGCCTGGGAGACAAGAGCAAAACTCCATCTCAAATAAAATAAAATAAAATAAAATATTTAAAAAAATAATAAAGCAGGATTAACCAGGCATCCTAGGAGTACGATTACCCTAAAATATCACCCAACTGAATACAAAACTCTGTCATTTTAACAATTTGTCTTTTTAAGTCAAATATACCTAGATTTGACTCTCTTCAGATATTTCCAAAGCAGAGGCAATTACCTCTTAAATTCAGATATTTTTCTTTAATATACTTATGGTGAGCATGAACTACAAACTAGCTAAGAATGAGAGTCTAAACCCCACTCTTCCACTCTCCTTGGTTGGCCTTACCAAAAAGAAAAAAATAGTAAAGACAGAGTAACTTCTCTTAAATGTTTCAAAACAAAATAATTAAGATGAATCTCAGTAAACAACCATGAAATTCAGTGAGGTATTTCCTTTATTTTTTAATGGTTACAGACTCAGGGTCTGTCATGGAAATAGCTGCATAGTTTTGACTCTGCCAAATCACTCACTGAAATTACATCACAGGAGGGCTGCCAGTGCCCTGTGGGGGCTCTGAATAGCATCTACCCCTTTGGCCATTTGGGACCTGCCTGCTGAGCTGTGAAGTGGCAGGTTTTTTCCAGCGTACAGACTCTTCCTAATTATATAGCATCATGACAATTTGTCCAGCCTAATTAGGGGAGGTTATCCAACCCTGATTGAGGACACTCAATAAACAATAATGGAAAAGACAGCTTTAATTGTCCTGAGGCTTGAAATTTCTCCCATGGAAAATATCAGGGGCAGTGGCTAGATTACTGGATTTCTAAGAAAAGGGTAATTCTCTATACCAGGGAAGGGAGTAAATCTTGAAAGCAGCCATGAAAATAAACATCAAAAACCTCCCAGCCCTCAAATGTTATTTGGTCTCTTTCCCTCCAGAAGACATTCAGGTAGTAAAGGGAATGAAATCAACACTCCTTAGTTGCCTGATACAAATACTAAGTCATTCCAATCAGGAAGATAGTTGTAATTAAGACTACTACACTAGTTGACTTCCAGGTGATGGTGGTGTATTTGTTTCTCAGTATAAAATGGCATGGGAATACTTTTCAACAATAAAAAGAAAGGAAGTACTGTTCTATAATGCCTCATGGATGAACCTCAAAAACATTCTGTGCAGTGAAGGAAGCCGCACAATGTATAATCCCATCTATAAGAAACGACCACTAAGAAAAATCTATAGAGACAGGAAATAGGTTAGTGATTGCCTAGGACTAGGAGTGGGAGAAGAGACTGACTGACAATGGCGAGGAGATCATTTTGGGGAGGATGAACCTGTTCTGAAATTGGCTTGTGGTGATGGTTGTACAGCTCTGAAAATTTACTAAACATCATTGAACTGTACACTCAAAACGGATGGATTTTATGGCATGTAAATTGTAACTAAATAAGGCTATTTGAAAAAGTTTATATTGTACCAGAAAGGTTAGCGTCTGGGCCTGGGTCTGGTTCTTCCGCTGCCATGCAGGTCGCCTGTCACTAACACTCCTCAAGAATTCTGCTCCTTCTCCATTTCCATTTGTAAAACGTTAGCAGGATGGTGCGGGGAGAAGGAGAACACATTATCAAATCTGAGATTCTGTGCAGTCACAAGACACCAAGTCTGGGAATTTCGAAAGGCAATCAGGCATAAATTCTTCCTGAGGTGAGAAAGAAGCAAAGGTACCGGCTGCTGGGGTCAGGGCTGTCTCACACGCGTGGCTCTAGGCAGGAGCACAAATTGAACCACTGGGGAAAGTAGGACTCCAGCAGAAACGAAGGCGCAAGGCCGAATCCCTAAGGTCCAACGAGCTAGCAGTCAGTTGACAGGGTTTCTAACAAAAACGCGGCATGCGTTTACCAAACCTAGGGTGGTTTTATTTCAGAAGTAGGAACTCTTTCCACGAGAGCACCAAGTTGAGAAGTTCGGTTCTCAGGCCGCGTGGACCTGACAGCTCTCAGAAGCTCCAGGCCTCGCTGGGTGGGGCGGGTAGCGGCCGCCGCTGCCTCAGCAGCCCTGGTCCCGGCAGAGCAGGGCTGGCGAGGCCGCTGCTGCCGCCGTCGGGGCCGCCGGCCCTCCACACTCGTTGAGACGCCGGCACGGGGACCTTCGTGCCCCTCTAGGGACTGGCGCCGCGTCCAGGTGGCCGAGCCTGCGCTGCTGGAGGAGGCGCCTCCGCGCCGGCCTCACCCCGGGGCCGGCAGGGGGCGAAGGCGGAGCTGGAAGTCGCCGCCGGGCCCCGGGGGACCGGCTCCCGCGCTTCCTCCCGCGCCCCCCGCACAGTGCTCATGCGCACGGCCCAGCCTTTATAGCGGCCGCGGGGGCCTTGCCTTCCGCACTCGGGCGCAGCCGGGTGGATCTCGAGCAGGTGCGGAGCCCCGGGCGGCGGGCGCGGGTGCGAGGGATCCCTGACGCCTCTGTCCCTGTTTCTTTGTCGCTCCCAGCCTGTCTGTCGTCGTTTTGGCGCCCCCGCCTCCCCGCGGTGCGGGGTTGCACACCGATCCTGGGCTTCGCTCGATTTGCCGCCGAGGCGCCTCCCAGACCTAGAGGGGCGCTGGCCTGGAGCAGCGGGTCGTCTGTGTCCTCTCTCCTCTGCGCCGCGCCCGGGGATCCGAAGGGTGCGGGGCTCTGAGGAGGTGACGCGCGGGGCCTCCCGCACCCTGGCCTTGCCCGCATTCTCCCTCTCTCCCAGGTGTGAGCAGCCTATCAGTCACCATGTCCGCAGCCTGGATCCCGGCTCTCGGCCTCGGTGGGTGCGCGCCCCTCACGACCCCGGCCCCTTGCTCCGCTGGGTGGAGGCTGGAGCCAGCCCTCACGCTTCTCTCTTCGCAGGTGTGTGTCTGCTGCTGCTGCCGGGGCCCGCGGGCAGCGAGGGAGCCGGTGAGTGGGGGAGCTGGGGTGCGTCCAGGCGGTCGCAGGGGCTGAGCACCAGCGGGTACAAGCGGGACTCAGATCCAGCCCCTTGGGCTTCAGCCCTACCGCCTGAGGAGGAAGGCGCGAAGGTTGAGCCGCCGCGTGGCGCGCCCGCGTTAACCCCTGCAGCCGATCTGCTCCTGCTCACCTGTTTCTCCCATGGTAGGGGGCCCCTGGGGTCCAGTGGGGGGACGTTCTCCAAGAGCACTAGGAAGAAGGCCTCCTCCAGGCCCACCCACAGCCCCAGACCCCGGGCCCGCTGAGCGCCGGCAGCAGGAGGTCGAGGAAGGAGGACTCCTTGAGCCTCACCGAGGAGCGCACCAGTCCTGGGCTCTGCTGCGTTTGGGGGTGGAGGAGAAGCCGCCCAGACCCGACTTCAGGTTGCCGTAGCCGAGAGAGAGGGAGGCGAACGTCGCTGTCCCACCTTGTTTGACTCGCTAGCTATGTTTCTAGGTGTAACCCCTATAATCAGAAGCACTCGCGGTCTCACTCTACACGCTAGAGAGTTTAAAAAGTTTGTACCACGTGTAGAGGTCCGGGTATGGGTGTGTGGTTTGGTGTATTTTCCAGTGTAAAAGGCAACGCTTTCCTAAGAGCTACCGTTTGTTTTCCTTGAAAGTAGGAATGAGGGTTAAGTATCCCTCATGGCTGTATTTCTCCCGCTCTACTTAACAAAAGTCAGTGTTCGCAACTAAAGGCGGTCGGTCTTGGCACCGGATTCCGATGCCGCCCCCATCTCAGCGGAAAATGGGAGGAAGGATTAAGGCTGTTTGATGATAGGTATGAGGCTGTTTAGGGGTAAGGATTTTAACCTCTCAGCTCTCTAGACTGCTTCAGAGCTAAGAAATGGGCATTGCGCCTGCATCCTTCCTTCTCTTCCATGGAATGTAAGGTACCTGTCACCACAAAGGGCACAGAGGAGGGTGCTTGTCACAGGCAAGGTACTCAGTTGGACAGTATGGCCAGAAAGTATTCCTCTGCCTTGGAAAAAAAAGGTTTTTAAAATTAATATATGTTTTAAAAAGGTTTGGATAACTACAACTTCCCATGTTTGAAAAATAGCATTTAATAACATTAATCTCAATTTAGTATCGACAGTAAATTCACAAATTAACATGTTGTATTATGTTATCTTGTTACTTGTTGCCAAGAGCTTGTCTCTTCCTAGCATCATTTATAGTAAAAACTGATTCTTTGTTAGGTTGACAGTGTAAAACTTGAGAATATTAACAGTGCTTTCTAAAAATGCATCCGCTGCTTGATAAATCTCACTGGACAGATCTGGAGCAGAAATAATCAGGTTCAATTAAGATAAAAATGCTGTATTCTGAAGGGATTCACTTTTCTGTTTTCTGTCCTTCGGGAGTTGTAGAATGTTGTTTGGGCAAATTAACCCCACGGCTTTAATTTTCTCATCTATAAAATGAACAATCAAGTTAGATAACTTTCTGTGAATCTAAGCATCTTTTTGTTGGCTTCCTTAATGTGTGAGTTTAAGGATCTGCATTTGTAGGCTAACTAGGATAAATGGTCCTATGAAGGAAAGGATGGCTTTGATTTGTGCACATGTCTATGAAAATGTTCCACAAAGGCTCAATCCAGATTTACTATCTTTACCTCAAGCAACTGTGTACATAGCGTCATCAAAGTTGAGATTTAAAAATTTTTTTTTTTCTTCTGGAGACAAGATCTTATTCTGTAACCCAGGATGGAGTGCAGTGATGCAATCATAGCTCATTGCAAGCTTGAACTCCCGGGCTCAAGCAATCCTCCCACCTCAGCCTCTCCAGTGGCGGAGAGTACAGGCATGCACCACCACGTGTGGCCATTTAAAAAAAATTTTTTTTTTTTAGAAGAGATGAGGTCTTGCTATGTTGTCCAGACTGGTCTTGACCTCCTGGACTCAAGCAAATCCTCTTGTCTTGGCCTGCTAAAGTGCTGGGATTATAGGCATGAGTCACCACGCCCAGCCAAGATTTTTTATATTTCTATAATTAATATTAAATGACTTTTATTTTCTAGTTCAGATATAGTTCCAATTATGTATTTCCAACCTGGTTAAGAACTGAGAAGCCAGGCACAGTGGCACACCTGTAATCCCAGCTACTAGGGAGTTGGAGGTGGATCACTTGAGCTCGGGAATTTGAGCCTAGCTTGGGCAACTTGGCGAGTCCCCATTTCAAAAACAAAAACGAAATAAAAACCCAGAACTTTCACATTAGAGTTTTATAGTGGCTGGGGACTATATTAAATTGGAAAACAACCTTGTGGCTTGCCAAAATCTGGAATGGTATGGAAGGGTATATAAGTCAATAGTCATAACTAGAAGTGTAGAAATTAGGGAAGTAAAACTTAAATCTCACACTGTAGTCTCCCCACCACTATGCCCCAAGAAGTCCTAAGAATGCTTACAATATTATCTCCTTTTTCTTCAGCTCCCATTGCTATCACATGTTTTACCAGAGGCTTGGACATCAGGAAAGAGAAAGCAGATGTCCTCTGCCCAGGGGGCTGCCCTCTTGAGGAATTCTCTGTGTATGGGAACATAGTATATGCTTCTGTATCGAGCATATGTGGGGCTGCTGTCCACAGGTAAGCCCAAACACACCAGGGTGGGAGAGAAATGCAGACGTGATTATTTCCTTTCCTGCTTTACCCATCTGGATCCCTTTCCTCCCTGCATTCTTTCTTTTGTTGCCATTGTGGCCACAGAAAATGGATATATTTTCACGGTTCTCCTGGATATACTTGAAACACCAAATACACATGGAAAGCTTTCTGACAAAAGGCAAATAGCATTACCTCTTGATGGCTAGATTGCTATGATTCCAAAACATTCCTAATCATGTGATATATTACTGAGTTATTACTATGTGCCACCTATTGTTTTAACTTCCACCACAACTCTACAAGGTAGGTAGAATTTTACTCCAGTTACAGATGAAGAAACTGAACTCAGAGAGTTGTCAAGTATCTTGCCCAAGGTGACTATTGTTAGCAAGTGCCATGCTATCCTGTAGTAGAATAGCCAGTATAATACTTCTAAAAAAATTCAGTCCAAAGGCATGTAGCTAAAGTGAGTATCTTAGGAAAATTGTTTGGTGCTCTGAATTTCTAAGTTGTGGGTAATGGGATATTACAAATGTGTTCTTATCAACACTTAAGAAGTTCAACAGCACAAAACCATTTTTTTCCAGGCAAATTTTGTTCTTGTGTAAGCAAGTTTTTAAAAGGCTAGCAGCAGCTGGGAGTGGTGGCTCACACCTGTAATCCCACCACTTTGGGAGGCTGAGGCGGATGGACCACTTGAGGTCAGGAGTTCGAGACCTAGCCAACATGGTGAAACCCTGTCTCTACTAAAAATACAAAAATTAGCCAGGTATGGTGGTGCATGCCTGTAATCCCAGCTACTTGGGAGGCTGAGGCAGGAGAATCACTTGAATCCTGGAGGTGGAGGTTGCAGTGAGCCGAGATCGCGCCACTGCACTCCATCCTGGGCTACAGAGCGAGACGCCATCAAATAAATAAATAAATAAAGCAGAATCTTTAGATGACTTCCCTGATGAGCTATTTTCTTGATTAATCAAAGCAATAGATACAACATGGCACTATAAGTCAGTGGGATGCCCTGAAAAAGTGTGGATAGCATCTCAGCTGCTATTCTTGTGTTACAGGGGAGTAATCAGCAACTCAGGGGGACCTGTACGAGTCTATAGCCTACCTGGTCGAGAAAACTATTCCTCAGTAGATGCCAATGGCATCCAGTCTCAAATGCTTTCTAGATGGTCTGCTTCTTTCACAGTAACTAGTAGGTATAATTATTGTTCTCATTCTGTAATATTCTCCCACCCCCCAAACGTTTTCTGCTTTTTTTAGCTCAGCCTCTTTAACCTTGATGGAAAAACCTGTGATCAAGACTAAAGCTGACCTATAGAGGTAAACTGTAGGTTAGACTGAGGGGTCAAGTACCCACTGAAGCCAAATTTGGGTGAATAGAAGACAATCTTACTGACAGATGATGGCAATAGAAACTTGAATTATTTGCAGTCAGAATGCCCGGACACTTACCAAGGAACTGAAAAACTACTAAATACATTTTTGATGATCCTTTGAAGATATAATGGATAAGCATTTTGGTTCTCTGAAACTAGCATGCAGCAGGATGTTTGTAACTACAATCACCATTACCCTATTACATTTGTCATTGTAGAGAGCTCTAAATTAGATTCATAATACTTTGGTAAAGAAGGAAAAGGAAAAAAATAAGCTTATTTTTATTTTAACAGAAGGCAAAAGTAGTACACAGGAGGCCACAGGACAAGCAGTGTCCACAGCACATCCACCAACAGGTATGAACTATGAAACCTATCTCCTAGTTGCCCGGCACAGCATTTGGAAGTTATGAATAAACGTGTTGTTGGTAGAAGCTTTTCTTAAAGAAATTTGATATTAAAGAGAAACAAAGCAAATACCTTAAGTTTACTGGTATATTACATATGGAAACATTCATTATGTGTATATTTTAAAGACAGGGTCTCACTCTGTTGCTCAGGCTGGAGTACAGTGGTGCAATCATAGCTCACTGCAGCCTTAACCTCCTAGGCTCAAGCAATCTTCTCACCTTGGCCTCCTGAGTAGGTGGTACTACAGGCACATGCCACCACACCCAGCCAATTTTTTTGATTTTTAATTTTTTTTATTTTTATTTTTTTAGACAGGTCTAGCTATGATGCCCAGGCTGGTTTTGAACTCCTGACCTCAGGCAGTCCTCCCACTTCAGCCTCCCAAAGTTCAGGGATTACAGGCATGAGCCACTGCACCCAGCCTAATAATTCTCTAAAAGTCCTATTTTCTCCCAGATTTGATAAACCACGCCTAAGAACTGGTCAAAGTACCATGAACTTCTAGTTCCATTTGCTTCATTAAATTCCTTTAATTACTGCACTGTCATGTGACTAAAAGGAATGTGTGTCTATTGTAAGAAATAGCCAGGGATCCCCTTTTGTATGACGATGGCAGTTTTAAAGTCAAAGATATTAAGAACATTAGGATTTAATGTTGAGTTCCTGCCTCACCTGTGGGTTTGGGGTATTAAAGTCCTGGATTAGGGCATATCAAATATGTAGGCCTACATACTGATTTGTTTATTTGTTGGGTCATTGCTTTCCCTAGTCCAGAAAATCCTGAGGAAATTAATTTTTTTAAAAAAGTCCTTTCAAGAATGGCACTCTGTTGTTATGAGCTTCTCCCCATGTGGGTTTCTTGCTATGTAACTGTCTTCCTTTTGTTAATGCCAAGTGCATCTTTTATTTCAGGTAAACGACTAAAGAAAACACCCGAGAAGAAAACTGGCAATAAAGGTAAGAATCAAGATCTCCATTTGGGAAGGTAGCATTTTCCCTCCCTCCTCTTGAGACTGCTAATGAGGGGACTGGTTTGGTTGTTCGCAGATTGTAAAGCAGACATTGCATTTCTGATTGATGGAAGCTTTAATATTGGGCAGCGCCGATTTAATTTACAGAAGAATTTTGTTGGAAAAGTGGCTCTAATGTTGGGAATTGGAACAGAAGGACCACATGTGGGCCTTGTTCAAGCCAGGTACCAACCTTGTTAAAATGGGAGATTTAAAAAAAAAATTATTTTGTAATTGACACATAATAATTATATATACTTATGGGGTACATAGTGATGTTTTCATACATACAATGTATAGTGGTCAAATCAGAGTAATTAGCATATCCATCACCTCAAACATTGATCATTTCTTTGTGTTGGATACATTCAAAATCAAATGAGGCCGGGTGCAGTGGCTCACGCCTGTAATTCCAGCACTTTGGAGGCCAAGTGGGTGTGTGGATCACCTGAGGTCAGGAGTTCAAAACCAGTCTGGCCAACATGTGAAACACCGTCTCTACTAAAAATACAAAAATTAGCCAGATGTGGTGGCATGCACCTGTAATCCTAGCTACTTGGGAGGCTGAGGCAGGAGAATCACTTGGACTCGGGAGGCAGAGGTTACAATGAGCCGAGATTGCACCACTGCACTCCAGCCTGGGCAACAGTGAGACTATGTCTCAAAAAAAAAAAAAAAAAAGAAAAAAATCAAATGAGAGGAGATTTGAATGAGTCTTGAATGATGACAAATGATCAGTTCTTTTAGTGGGTACATGTCAGTTCAGTATAAACATTTGAGTTATGGACACACTGGGTTCCCAAACTGTAAGTTCAGGATCTAAGACTGCCTGGGCAGACTGAGTAGATCTGAGTGCCTCCTTTTTGGAATAAAAGAATTTAGAAAACTGTGTGCTATCTATATAAGAACCAGAAGGTAGACTGGAGAGTCCTGTTGCTTACACAAGTCACCTCTGCTTATCTACTCTGCTCAATTCCTAATTTCTCTCTTCTGAAGGAAGAAGCAGTGATATGTCTATTCCACCTCCCTATTCTGTTATTCTTTTTAGCTCTTTCCATATTCTCTTGGTTGGTGATCTGAAGCACGACCTTTCTATTTTATTCATTTAAAAATATTTATTAATTGCTGGCCAGGTGCGGTGGCTCACGCCTGTAATCCCAGCACTTTGGGAGGCCGAGGCGGATGGATCACGGGGTCAGGAGATTGAGACCATCCTGGCTAACACGGGGAAACCCCGTCTCTACTAAAAATACAAAAAAAAAAAATTAGCCGGGCGTGGTGGCAGGCGCCTGTAGTCCCAGCTACTCGGGAGGCTGAGGCAGGAGAATGGCGTGAACCCAGGAGGTGGAGCTTGCAGTGAGCCAAGATCGTGCCACTGCACTCCAGCCTGGGCAACAGAGCAAGACTCTGTTTCAAAAAATAAAAATAAAAATAAATAAATAAATAAATATTTATTTATTAATTGCTTTTAGAAATAGAATATGCTCATTATAGAAAGCTTGAAAATACATAGAGCACAAAAAAAGAAATGCTCTAAATCATATGCCCTAGAGATAATCACTATAAAATGGTTTTTTTTTTTTTTTTTTTTTTTTTTTGAGACGGAGTTTTGCTCTGTCACCGAGGCTGGAATGCAATGGCACGATCTTTGTTCACTACAACCTCTGCCTCCTGGATTTAAGTGATTCTCCTGCCTCAGCCTCCTGAGTAGCTGGGATCACAGGTGTGCACTACTACGCCTGGCTAATTTTTGTATTTTTAGTAGAGACAAGGTTTCACCATGTTGGCCAGCCTGGTCTCGAGCTCCTGACCTCAGGTGATCCACCTGCCTCGGACTCCCAAAGTGCTAGGATTACAGGTGTGAGCTACCACGCCTGGCCCCTTCAGTATTTTAAGGAAATATTTGACTGTATTATTTTTTAAAAACTCAGACTATTAAAAATGCCCTGCATCCTGTTTTTTTCATCCTTTAGTATTTTTAGCATTTTCTCATATCACAAATATTCATCAAAAATATTTCATAATATTCCGCTGCATGATTAGTCATTCTTATTATTTCTTCACTACATTACACACTACACTGTGATGAACATCCTTATATCATCTTTGTGCCCATCTCTGATTATTTCATCAGGTTAGATTTCTAAAAGTGAGGTTCTGACTTAAAGCCTCTGATATAAATAGTGAAATTGAGCCATGCACAGTGGCTCATGCCTGTAGTGCCAGCTGCTCAGGAGGCTGAGGTGTGAGGATCTCTCAAGCCCAGGAGTTCAAAGCTGCAGTGAGCTATGATGGCACCACTCTACTCCAGCCTGGACAACAGAGAAAGACCCCATCTCTAAAAAAACAAATAAATAGCGAAATTGCTTCCTAGAAAGGTGAAGTAGTTTAAACTACTATCAGCAGTGTGTAAGGTTGTATAAACAGTGCTATTACAAATATTAATTTCCATTTCATTTCTGTTATTTTTTACAAGTGGCTCTGCTCTTAGATTAGATAGAATTTTTTTGGCATGAGAAGAAAATTTAACTGTTTTAACATAATTTAACCATTTGTCTCTCACCCTTAAAAAAAATGTGTTCCTTGTTTCATTGACTTATGGTATCACATTTATACCTGAGTTTGAGCAAGTCTATTTCTTTGATTCATATGCTAATCCTTACATATTTTTTTCTACGCTGCTTTGATTATCACAGTTTTATTGCACATTTTAACATCCCATGAGGCAAATTCCCCTGCAGTACTTTTTGTCTTGTACTTTTTTCTGACTACTTTGACCCAATTCTTTTTGAAGATGAATTCTTCATTACCTTGTAGACTCATACAAAGTTTTGTAGTTTTTCTGTTTTAGAAAGACCATTAGAATAGGTAAACCATGTCAAGTTTATATGTATGTAAGTCAAAGAACAGAATATATCAAGGATACAAAAATGAGACTAATTTCATAAGTCATAATCTGGATAGTTGAAAAGTGACCACAAGTGAAAAGGTTTTCAACCCATGAAATCTGATTTTATGACCCAATATTCCATCAGGTATGTATGCAGAAATACAGTCAGTGTTCTACTTCTCCCTCAAAAAATCTTGAATAAAATGGCTACTGATAATGCTAAGATCTTAAATTTTGCACTAGGAAATACTGACTCATCTAGAAACTAAACACAACAGATTGTGCTGTGGTTGTTTATACTCAAAACGGTCTCTGCTGAACACAGAGTAGTTATATAAAAGTGAGCTGAAATTCCTTTAATATTAAATATAGGAAATGAGATCTCAAAACTCTTACAATACACATAATTTTAAGGTGCACAAATGTCATTGTCATTATAAGAAAAACTCAATATTGTAACTTTATAATTCATTTCACCTTTGTCCCTTTAAAAAAATGTTGACGGTCACATCAATGAAATTGTTTCTCCTGAACAGAGAGCTCTGAGTTAATAGATCCACACTACTTAGAGCCTCTGGGGTCCCACACTGGAACAGACCCTAGTCTCATACCCAGCCACTTCCTCATTTAGTTTAGCTACCTGGTGCCCAACTCTGCGGACTTCTGTTAAACCCGAGGCTCTGAGCCAAGCCCGATTTCAAGTTCTCCGTATAGTTTAGGCATGGACTTTGCAGCCAGACAACTTGAACTTAAAATGCAGCTGTGTTTCATCAGGCAAACTCCCTAAATGCTCTGAGACTCAGTTTCTTCATTTACATAATTGGGATAATTCCAACCTTATAGAGCTATGATGAAATGAGGTTTTACATGTGTTATGCTTTTGGCTTATTACCCAGAATATAATAAATCCTCAATATGGCAATTATTTGTTACACCTCTGAAATATCTCCAATAATTCAAGTAAGGATGCAATGCCTCAGTTGACTATGTACTATGGAATTAAGAAAGAAACTTGTGTGTTGTCTGGTTTTAAAACTGTTTTTTAAGGCATGTAATGTTGCTTATTTTACCTTTTTAATTCTCCCTGAATAACATTTTCTTTCTTCCACTCAGTGAACATCCCAAAATAGAATTTTACTTGAAAAACTTTACATCAGCCAAAGATGTTTTGTTTGCCATAAAGGAAGTAGGTTTCAGAGGGGGTAATTCCAATACAGGTAAGTAGACTTTGATACCTGGGATGTAACATAGGAGAGGGTTATCAGTGATCAGACATGTAAAACAGTATTATGCTATTTTATATGAGCAGATGTGAAATCCTCCTGGAACTGAAATCTTGGCTAGGTCTGCATTTGATCATCTGAGATAAATTTTCAATTTATAATGGAAGTATACCAAAGTGTTGATATTTCTTATTTTAAAAAATATAAAGCATGGTGATTTAGAATTCTCATACATTGGATTGACTAGATATAACATTGGAGAAGTATCTCTTTGTAATGCTAAAAAGAAGTGAAAATCAACAGACTTATCTAATGAATGCAGATGTGGCAGAAAGAATGAGTAGCACTACCGTTGACTCTGAAGAGAGACTTCTTAGAGGTACTAATCAGTCACCAAAGGGCTACATAGAGAGCACATGCATGGAAGTGGGAATCAGTTTTGTGTTTCTAACTGGCGATTGATGTGGGGTAAACAAATGTGAGGCTTCTAGGAGGTGGAGGGGGAACTAATATGGCTTGTGAAGATAAATAGGCCTGGTAGATAATTAAACTTTCCCAGCTGATGCATCTGTTACAGAACTGGGTTCTATATAATTCTTTTTTGTGTGCCCCGCCCCACTGCCAGTTCTATATATAATTCTTAAACTTTGCAGCATCAAATGCTACAGGGAAACAGAAATGTGGTTTGAGCAGTGGTAAAGGCTATTTGTTTGCTTCTTTTTCAAATTTAGGAAAAGCCTTGAAGCATACTGCTCAGAAATTCTTCACGGTAGATGCTGGAGTAAGAAAAGGGATCCCCAAAGTGGTGGTGGTATTTATTGATGGTTGGCCTTCTGATGACATCGAGGAAGCAGGCATTGTGGCCAGAGAGTTTGGTGTCAATGTATTTATAGTTTCTGTGGCCAAGCCTATCCCTGAAGAACTGGGGATGGTTCAGGATGTCACATTTGTTGACAAGGTAAAGTGGTGAGGGTTATCTTCTGTTACAGTGATGGGTATTCCATTTTGGACCTCTAAGTGCAGTGCTGACTGCCTCTTATCTAGATTAACTTGAAACATTCAGGATTTTCCAGTTTTTAAGAAGAAACAACTTTTGATCCTTTTGGATATCTTTTATGTGTCTCCCCCATTAGGCTGTCTGTCGGAATAATGGCTTCTTCTCTTACCACATGCCCAACTGGTTTGGCACCACAAAATACGTAAAGCCTCTGGTACAGAAGCTGTGCACTCATGAACAAATGATGTGCAGCAAGACCTGTTATAACTCAGTGAACATTGCCTTTCTAATTGATGGCTCCAGCAGTGTTGGAGATAGCAATTTCCGCCTCATGCTTGAATTTGTTTCCAACATAGCCAAGACTTTTGAAATCTCGGACATTGGTGCCAAGATAGCTGCTGTACAGTTTACTTATGATCAGCGCACGGAGTTCAGTTTCACTGACTATAGCACCAAAGAGAATGTCCTAGCTGTCATCAGAAACATCCGCTATATGAGTGGTGGAACAGCTACTGGTGATGCCATTTCCTTCACTGTTAGAAATGTGTTTGGCCCTATAAGGGAGAGCCCCAACAAGAACTTCCTAGTAATTGTCACAGATGGGCAGTCCTATGATGATGTCCAAGGCCCTGCAGCTGCTGCACATGATGCAGGTAAGGTCCTTGTTCTTTATAGGAGAAGGGAACAGAAAAAACGGTTCAGTGAATTTAGGAGTAAATAAAAATTTAAGCATTTATTTCATTAAACAAACACCTGTGGCTTTACCCAATATTAACTGTTAAAGCAGCCCTACTCATCTCATTCTACAGATAAGGAAGCAAACTTCCTGGAAATGACATTTCTAGTAAGTGGCAAGGCCAAGATCCAAACCCAGGCATTCTGGCTCCAGAGTGCACATTCCTAACCACTGTATTGTTGGGAGAATTGCCATGAGAACCATGTCACATTAAGGAAATATGCTTATACATATACAATTAAGGTGCTCATATTTAGCTCAAACTTGGACTATATCTCCAAATAGCCAGCTTATAACCTACCATGAATCTGCCATTCAGTAATTTATCCTAACTTTCTTGTGTATGAAACAGGTAATTGCTCTGTCACCAGGCTGGAGTGCAGTGGCATGTAGTGAGCTACAACCTCCAACTATTGGGCTCAAGCAATCCTCCTGTGTCAGCCTTCCAAATAGCTAGGACGACAGGCACATGCCACTGCCCCTGGCTAATTTTTAAATTTTTTTGGGGAGAGACGGGGGTCTCACTTTGTTGCCCAGGCTGATCTCAAACTCCTGGGCTCAAGCAATCCTCACACCTTGGCCTCCCAAAGTGCTGGGATTACAGGCATAAGCCACCACACCCAACCCTAACTTTTATTTTAGTCAAGTTTTGTCTGGCATGAGTTTCCTAAGATAAGGTCTCCCATAGACTTTACCTATCCCATCAAAATTTCCTTGGCCAGGTGCAGTGGCTCACATCTGTAATTCAGCACTTTGGGAGGCTGAGGTGGGCGGGATCACCTGAGGTCAGGAGTTCAAGACCAGCCGGGCCAACATGGTAAAACCCAGTCTCTATTAAAAATACAAAAATTAGCTGGGTGTGGTAACATACACCTGTAATCCCAGCTACTCAGGAGGCTGAGGCACGAGAATCACTTGAACCCAGGAGGCAGAGGTTGCAATGAACTGAGATCGTGCCATTGTACTCCAGCCTGGGCGACAGAGTGAGACTCTGTCTCAAAAAGAAAAAAAAAAAAAAAAAAAAACTTTTTCCCCCCCGCTTAAGATAATAAAAACACACTCTGGTGTTATAAAAGGGTATAAGAAGGGTTTCTTTCTTCCTCACCCCAGCCTTAATATTACTTTTGGCACAGGCCTCGTTCCTGAAGACATTAACGTAATGTGTTAGAGATCAAATAGGCCAACAAAAAGCTAAGATTCCCTTTCTGAGGATATAACTGAGTGACAGGAGGGAAGAATCAATGGACTTGTTTTTTTTAACACTCTTCTGTACCTCATTTTCCCTACTTAATTCCTAATGACATAACCTTTTTCCTTTCTACACATTAGTACCTCTGCCAATGTACTCACATATTTTTACAGATACTGATGAAAGATTATTCTTAAAACAGAGAACACATGCAATTTAAGTTCCACATCTAGCTTGTAAAAAGTATTTTTTATACATCAGCAACTAGCCTGTGAAGTAAAGACCTGTTTACTATCATATTCCTTAATACTTAGCTTACTGAACTTATAGTTAACAGGATTGTATTCAGGCTATAAAGTGATTAGGTTGATTAAAGTTCAGGAGGCTGGACTACACCAATATTGATTCGTGAAAATTATCCCTTAGTGATATTGAAAGTTGCAAAAGCCAGAAAATAGGGTAGGATTTTAGGGGTAGATCACAACAGTTTTTATTTATTTTCAGGGTCTTGCTCTGTCACCCAGGCTGGAGTACAGTGGTGTGATTATTTTTTTTTTTAACTGTAATTATATGCTGGGCTTGAGCTAAACAATCTGAACTAGAATGTAGAACTGAAAAGAAGTGAGGAAAACTGAGGGGGAGGAAAAAAATATTTTGACTTTTTTTTTTTTTAACCAGGGAGTGAGAGTCAGGAAAAGGAGACTGGAACAATTGGACATTGTTCCAAGTAGCTTTTACATCATCTAAACCTGCTGCATATCTTAGGTATTTACCACTCTGAGCACTGTATACCACTAGAAGGGGAATGAAACCTTAGATCTGTAGAGGAAAACTATTACAGAAACTCCAAAAGTTATAGAAAATTGCACCCAGCATTAGATAGATGGTACTCTACACTAAGAATCTGCTAAATGAGGCCAGGTGTGGTGGCTTATGCCTGTAATCCCAGCACTTTGGGAGGCCGAGGCAGATGGATCGCTTGAGCCCTGGAGTTCGAGATGAGACCAGCCTGAACAACATGGTGAAACCCCATCTCTACAAAGAAATTTAAAAATTAGCTGGGCTTAGTGGCATGCGCTTGTAGTCCCAGCTATTTGAGGATGGGGGTGCTGAGGAGGATAGTTTGAGCCCAGGAAGTTGAGGCTGCAGTGAGCCTTGATTGTACCACTGCACTCCAGCATGGGCAAAAGAGCCAGACCCTGTCTGAGAAAAAAAAAAAAAAAAGATTAAATGAAAACTTCTACAATTGGGATTGGGGTGAATCCAACTAATGTATTATTACCCTAAATGTACAGTTGTACTAAAAGCCTTCTAGTAACTAAAGTGAATGGAAATAGAATACCTCAATGAAACTGGAAGAAATTACTCCAGTTTCATAAGATCCCTCTTGGGCAGTACTTTTTAGTCACTAGTTTTGCTTTGGGATTATAGGCTGACATTTTCTGATTATTAGACAGTTTGCCAATATAAAGATTGAAATGGAAGAGGATTTTTCATTATCAGAGGACTAGTCACCATTCCTCAAACAATGCAACCTTTGAACACTTTTGCTATTTACTTATCCCATCTCTTGTGCCATTCTTCCTTGCTTTAATGGATTGTGACTCTGACTCCAGTATACTGTTTGATGCAGGCCAACCTCATACGGAAAATTTTCACCATCCGCATTTACTGTAGGATTTTAAAAAAGATACTGTGGATCAGGTTAAAAGTCTTCTTCTATTCCTAGTTTATAGGTGTGTTCTGTCATTAATGGATATTGAACTTTATCAAATTATTTCTTATCAGTGATGACTTACCTGTTAATGTGGCGAATTACAGATATAGCAGAGTTTCTGGTTTGGACCACTCTTTTGCCACTCTCGTCACAATGACTGTGAAAACTTAATTTGTTCAGGGGATTTAATTGTCCAGAAATTAGTAAGCAGTTTTCGCTGCAACTATGTAACAGTGTATGGAAAACATATAGACATAATTCCATATATTAGCTAGACCTGATTTTCAATTCACTTTAAAATGTTTTCATTGTAGGAATCACTATCTTCTCTGTTGGTGTGGCTTGGGCACCTCTGGATGACCTGAAAGATATGGCTTCTAAACCGAAGGAGTCTCATGCTTTCTTCACAAGAGAGTTCACAGGATTAGAACCAATTGTTTCTGATGTCATCAGAGGCATTTGTAGAGATTTCTTAGAATCCCAGCAATAATGGTAACATTTTGACAACTGAAAGAAAAAGTACAAGGGGATCCAGTGTGTAAATTGTATTCTCATAATACTGAAATGCTTTAGCATACTAGAATCAGATACAAAACTATTAAGTATGTCAACAGCCATTTAGGCAAATAAGCACTCCTTTAAAGCCGCTGCCTTCTGGTTACAATTTACAGTGTACTTTGTTAAAAACACTGCTGAGGCTTCATAATCATGGCTCTTAGAAACTCAGGAAAGAGGAGATAATGTGGATTAAAACCTTAAGAGTTCTAACCATGCCTACTAAATGTACAGATATGCAAATTCCATAGCTCAATAAAAGAATCTGATACTTAGACCAAAAGCAACATTCGTTCTCTAACCATTCTGTATTGATTATATAAGCAAAATGAAAAGAGAAACTTAAATGAACACAGCTCTTTAACATGGTTCAGGTACACATATTTTGACCCAAGTGGATATTTTCTTAAAACCAATCAATAATAGCTAGCTATTACTGCAGACTATAAAATCTGGATATAGAAAGGAGACCTGTATCAAACTGCTTTTGTAGTGTGTTTTCATAACAACTTATGACTAAAAATATCACACTGAATAAGAGAGCAGGATTGCCAGGTATTTTTCTATTTCTCTCCTTAATTTTATATGTATATAGATATATTTGGCTTATATTCTAAGTCACCTAAGTACTTAAAAGTTAAGTTGGTAAAGTATTTACTGACTGCTTATAAACATTTAAAGACAAAGACATTTCAAATAACTGCAGAAAAAATATTGTAGTTTGAATATTTAAGCAATAAAACTGCTAGTGAGTTATTGTAAGCTGGCTTACTTTTATTACTGCTAGTGTCTCCCCTGAGGATATGGTAAAAATTCATGTGGAAAGACCAATCTGAATTGTTTTTTAAATCATGTAATAATACCAAGAATATTTTTTCTTTGATTCAATTATTTATTGAGGCCAAGCACAGTGGCTCATGCCTGTAATCCCAGCACTTTGGGAGGCTGAAGCAGGAGGACTGCTTGAGGCCAAGAATTCAAGACCAGCCTGGGCAACATAGTGAGAACCCCCTCTACAAAAAAGAAAAAAAAATTAGCCGGGTGGGATGGTGCATGTCTGTAGTCTGAGCTACTTGGGAGGCTGAGGTGGGAGGACTGCTTGAGCCGAGGAGGTCAAGGCTACAGTGAGCCATGATCACACCACTGCACTCCAGCTTGGGTGACAGAGCAAGACCCTATCTCCAAAATAAAAAAAAAAATAAAAAGACACAAGTTTATCGAATACCTACTGTCCTAGGCATTATACACAGCCACTACCTGATTAAACAGTATAAGATATTTTTGAGTACTTGCTTCACCAGAAATGTTTTGTAATTGACATCATTTTTTACTTAAAAATGCTTGTGAAGTTGGTTCCTATGAAAGGAGAACATCAGGACTCCCTTAATGTGACTTAGATGATTCGCTTACCAAGGCCTCTCCCAAAAGACAGAGGTGCTCTATCATCCCACCTTGTCTGTCTTTTCTAAAGATAGGTCCTATCTCCTCCTCTCATCCACCTAAGCCCCCTGAAATGTGTTAACTGGTTAGAATAATATACTCCAGTAAATCTTCTGAGTCTTACAATTTTATACCCTGCATAAGAGGAATAAAAGGACTACATGCAGGGAGAAACAAACTGGAATTGACTTTTTCACTACATAAAAATTTGAATTTGAAAATAGAGTTTGAGAAGACAACCTCCCCTTTTATAAAATGCTTCAAACATGACTGAATCATGTAACAGGGATAATTTTAATTAAACATCATAAAAACTGGGTTTAGCATAGTATGATTTTTCCCCAGTAAGTAGACCAAAAACTCTCAGCTAGGAGTACAACCCCTTGGAAAATTAAGCTCTAATGAAAACCCAGCTACCACTCATTAGCCCTTTTAAGAAAGTGGTTTTTTCTTTAATTTTATAAAGGACCAAGTTTTGAGTCACCTGAAGTAACCAGGGAATAGCAGCAAGACAGCAGAAATCAGAACTGTAGGTTACTATCAATAATTATGTAAGTAAACATAATCAGGATAAAGGTTATTTACAGGAGACAGAGTAAAAAGGAAATACGTATTACAATCCAACTTAAGCAAACATGCTTAGATTTCAAATATGCTGGCCCATTTATAACTTAATGCATTAAATGCAATGTTAGTCTTCAACAGGTAAGTTACCTAGTTTGAAATAATGAGAAAAACAACATGAAATGAGAGGCAGAATATGATTAACTATTGAAGAAATCAACATATTAAGATTTGTATAAAGTACTATTTAATAGTGAAATTAATCTAATTTCCCATGTGTCAAATGGAAGCACACATAATGAAAATAAGACATTATTTTTGCATACCTTTAGTCTCTTCCAAATGTTTAATACTGCAGAGAAAAATACAACCAAAGGAGATAGAACAAAATAAACATATATACTAATTTTTATCCATTTCAGTTTTAATACATTCCAAAATACGTCAATGTTTATGCATTCCAATAATCATCACATTTCAGATCAATGATAATGTACTGGGTTGGAATAGGTGCTAGAAACAATTCTAGCTTTGGAAAAGCTTATTCTTTATTTCAAAAAAGAAGAAACAGAAGAGGAGAAAAGTACCCCCTTTAATTTGTCCTTTAGTTGAATGTTCAGTTCAGAAAAACAAAAAAAATGGTATTTAAAAAAAACTTGCTGGGCACGGTGGCTCACGCCTGTAATCCCAGCCAGCACTTTGGGAGGCCGAGGCGGGTGGATCACCTGAGGTGACTCAGGAGTTTGAGACCTGCCTGACCAACATGGTAAAGCCCTGTCTCTACTAAAAATACAAAATTAACCAGGTATGGTGGCGCATGCCTGTAATCCCAGCTACTTGGGAGGCTGAGGCACAAGAATCACTTGAACCTGGGAGACGGAGGTTGCAGCGTGCCGAGATCGCACCATTGCACTCCAGCCTGGGCAACAAGAGTGAAACTCCGCTCCATCTCAAAAAAAAAAAACAAAAAACTTGAAAAGTTTTAGATTTTCGTCAATGACTAAAATTGCCACTTAGATTTTTATGGTAGATGACAAAATTTCTCAGTGTACAATGTAATTTCTTCCCCCAGCAACAGCAGCAAGCATTCAAATTGAATTTCACACGTAAGTTTTCTAGTGTTCCCTTCTAATTTCATCTGCAATTCCCTTCAAAGGATATTACCTTATTGAAGAAAAGTTTCAAAATATTGTTTAACATTATAAGACAACTTTTAACTAACATGTTGGTGCAAAAGTAATTGCCATTGAAATGGCAAAAACCACAATTACAAACGGCAAAAACCACAATTTTTTTTTTTTTTTTTTTTTTTTGAGACGGAGTCTCTGTCACCCAGGCTGGAGTGCAGTGGCGTGATCTCAGCTCACTGCAAGCTCCGCCTCCCGGACTCACACCTCAGCCTCAGCCTCCCGAGTAGCTGGGACCATAGGCACCCGCCACCACGCCCGGCTAATTTTGTGTGTGTGTGTTTTTAGTAGAGACGGGGTTTCATCGTGTTAGCCAGGATGGTCTTGATCTCCTGACCTCATGATCCACCCACCTCGGCCTCCCAAAGTGCTGGGATTATAGGCCTGAGCCACCGCGCCCGGCCAAAAACCGCAATTACTTTTGCACCAACTAACCTAAATATTCAATGTAGTTTATTCCTTGCTGAATTTTTTTGTGGGAACAGGTATGGCAAATAGAACAACACTGCCATTAATTGAAATTCAGATTTAATAATGTAACAGGATGTCTAAGCAAATTACTTAAAACTGCACCTGTGCATTTCTGGGGGTTATTTTGAATTGCATAATTTAATGCAAGACTTTTTCTTAATCTTCAAGTGGGGTGAAATACTTAGACATTATTAATAGTGTTAGTGATCTACTCTTATTAGAATATCAATAAGTAGGACAAAGTTTGAAAGAACAGCATAAAAATGAAGGACTCACTAAGAAATCTCCATTTCCTAGTTTAATTATGGAGAATAAAGTATTGCACTTTATTATTCAACACAAAATGATGTAGCCAACAGTAACATACAGGTACACAATTTAATATTTATTATATGCATTTTATATACATTATTTTTCAACAGCTGTATGTTTGCTATGTGGTACAATCTTAAAAATTTGCTGATTCATAGTTTGTAAAACAAAAACCTTACAAAACTCATCAAAACTCGCAAACTGATCAGAAAAGTTTCTCGGAAGACTAGAAAAAATACTTTATTGTCTTAATCATGCATTACACAAACAAAATCTTTAGTTACACCATAAAATTAAGCACATCTAAAAAAATAAAACAGGGATAACTAGTCAAAACACAGCAGATTTCTGTATCCTGATTCAACTATTTTTGTATCCTATTTGTAATGCAAATAAAACTTTACTCCAAATATTTTTAAACAAGTTAGTTTTGTTTGGAATCATGGTAAACCAAGATATATATCTTAGGGGGAACCACCTTGGTTTGTAATTTAAACTATAAAATACTCCATTTTTAGTCTATTTTAGACTATTCAAAGAGTTCCAAAATAGATATACAGGTTCCTTTAGCACATTAATAAAAGGATATAAAGACCAACAAAAAGTGAAATAAATAATAGGCCATTAGCAAGATGGATAATCCTTGATAAATAAACTTGTAAATACAGTAAGATGTACAAAATATCACATAGTGATAGGATGCCAAGATTAGTTTTTTTCTTTAAGAGTTCATTTGGAGTACTAAACCCCACTGTTTCATTTTAATACACTTAATAGTCCTTGGTTTATGAAGACATTTATGTGATGATGAAAGTTATTTAGCATCTTTATGGAAGGACTTAGCTGAGCTGTATTAGGCAAAAGAAGGAAAGAAAGTGGTTACAGGGCAACGGGTCAGTGAGATCTCTGTGTTTTAGGGTTGTATAATGCAGAAAAACTTCAATACAATCTTGAGCACTGTTGTGACAGGCTAAATATATAAAAAGACTTATAAAAACTAGAATTTTATCCAAACATTTTGTGCAACTAATGCTAAAATATTTTAAGTTAAATTTTCTTTTTCTTTTTTTTTTTTTTTAAAGCAAAATAAGTTTAAAAGGGAATCTGTGGCATTCAACCGATAAACAGAAGATCACTAAGAGATGAAAAAAAGCTACTCTTGGAGCTCACTTCCCCCAACAAGAGCACCACATTCCTAACCCCTAAGGCAGCACACAGAGTCCAAAAAAAAAAAAAAAAAAAAAAAAAAGAAGAAGAAGAAGAGAAAAAAAAAAACTTTTTTGAAAGATCAGACTCCACATTGGCTTAAAGACACCTAAAAACAGATATACGCTCAGTTCACATCCAGTACAGGCCACAAATACTGGAGTCCTTTTTTCTTTGTCCCACAAAATACAGTAATTACAGTTAACTTAATGAGCTTGACATTAAGATGTGATTTCCACCAATTTGTGCCTGCCCCAGATAGCCTTCACCAGGCAGATCACATGTAGTGTCATATCAGTAACCTTTCTGATGGCAGTGATGCAGACCCTCTTTCTGTCCAAGCAAATCTTGTTACGATGCAAGTTTTTGTTGATTCATACAAATACTTTGGCAAGAGCATCAGCTCCTGCACTAGCTATATATGCTTTTGACGAGTGGAAAGCAACATCATAAATTGATTCATCCAATTTCTTTCTGTGAGCTGTTATTTCTTGCACACATGTCTTGCTGTCTAAATTCCATAATCTGATGGAACAGTCATGGCCTGTAAAAGAACAAATAAAATTTGTTACTGAGTAACAATCTTTTATAAAGTTTGTGGGCAGTACAGGACTTTAAGACTTACTTCCAGACATCAAATAGATTCCATTAGGATCTACTGCTAGACTTGTAACAGCATCCAAGTGAGCTACCATAGAATGGATCATTTTACCTAAACAAAACATAACAGAGAACTGATTAAGTTTTCACAAATACTAACTCGAGACAACAGAAACTACAATATAGCATCAACATAAAACAATCATTATAGCAACTTTTTTATTGTGGTAAAATATACACAACATAAAATTTACCACTGTAAACATCTGAGTACACAATCCTGTGTCTTTTAGAACATTCACAATGTTACACAACCATCACCATTCTCTAGAGTTCCGAACATTTTCATCACTGGAAAAGGAAACCCCATACCCAATTAAGCAGTCACTCCTATTTGCCCCTCCAACCCCTGACCACTAATCGACTCTTTCTATAGACTGGCCTATTCTGGATACTTCGTATAAGTGAACTCATACAATACGTGGCTTTTTGTGTCTGGCTTCTTTCACTTAATATAATGTTTTAAGGGTACATCCACCACTACGGTAATGTTTTCAAGAGAATTTTAATTCAAATGCATAACTTTCTCTAATAATTACTCCTAAAAAAGACATCTGTGTAACATGTATCTGACAATATCTGATAGACACTGTAAAGCAATGACAATAGGATTGCATCAAAGGCTCAAGATCGTGTAAACTGGAATTAAATAAGCCAAGTGTGGTGAGGTGTGCCTGTAGTTCCAAGCTACTCAGGAGGCTGAGGTTGTGGAATCACTTGAACCCAGGAGTTCAAGGCTGCAGTGCACTATGACTGTGCCTGTGAGTGGCCACTGTACTCTAGCTAGCCTGGGCAACATAGTGAAATGCTGTCAAGAAAGGAAAGGCAAGGAAAATGGGAAGGAAAGAGAAAAGAGAAGAAAGAAAAGAAAGGGAAGGGGAGGGGAGGGGAGGGGAGGGAAGAAGGAAGGAAAAGTGTCAGTGAAAGACCTTAAGACTATTTTATATACTGGGCTAACAATAAATAAATCACCAGAAAATATGTTTCTACCTAAACATTCCATTATCAAGTTCAGTTCACTTATCCTTTGAAATATAATCATTTTACATACTCTAAAAAAGAAAGGAGTAAACAAATTACTCTAGATTTCCCCAGATATTAACAAAAACACTGCTCTGGAAAATGTGACTTAATGAGTATCTTCAGTGAAGATTTGGCAAGCAAATGGAATTCAACAGCAAGTAGAATTTAAAAGACAAGTTGTGAACACAAAGTTGTATTGCACAAATACTTTGGGGCAAGGGCATCCTGCAATGGTAATATATGCTTTGGATGGATAGAAAGCATTATAAACTGATTCACTAGGCAGGCAATAAAATATAAATACTGATACTTTTATAAGTTACTCTCCTTTCACTCAGCAATGAGTCTTTATTACTCAAATGCCTGGGATGTCCCTAATGAAAGATAGAGGCTTTTTCCAAAATTCTAGTTATAATCATTAGCCATGCCTCTGGTCCCATGATGATACTCTACACTAGGATATGAAAGAGGTCTAGTTTTGTTATTTGTGATGGGGCTATAGCTGTTGACCTGAATACAAAACCACAACATAATAAAATGTGTAAAAATACACTCCAAAAAACCTATAAAAAGTAATATAGTAGGCCAGCTGTGGGGGATCATGCCTGTAATCCCAGCACTTTGGGAGGCTGAAGCGGGCAGATCACCTGAGGGCAGGAGTTCAAGACCAGCCT
Organism: Homo sapiens; assembly: GCF_000001405.40. Classification (NCBI taxonomy): domain Eukaryota; kingdom Metazoa; phylum Chordata; class Mammalia; order Primates; family Hominidae; genus Homo; species Homo sapiens. The sequence goes on from NC_000014.9 coordinate 30,897,394, forward strand.
GGCCAACATGGGGAAACCTTGCCTCTACTAAAAATACAAAAATTAGCTGGGTGTGGTGGTTAGCACCTGTAATCCCAGCTACTAGGGAGGCTGAGACAGGAGAATCGCTTGAACCCGGGAGGTGGAGGCTGCAGTGAGCTGAGATCGTGCCACTGCACTTCAGCCTGGGTGACAGAGTGAGACTCCGTCTCAAAAAAGAAGAAAAGTCCTATCACTTTCCAGCACTATTAAACACTTATCAGTTGAAGACAAAATTTAAAAAAATTAAAGTCAAAAATTTAAGACAAAATTAAAGTCTCTCATTTCAAACCACAACTCTCATTAATACTAAGAGTAATAAACAAAATAGTCTTAGAAATTCTACTCTGCTAGCCCAAAGAACAGAAAAGTCTTCAACAAACTATCTTCAATTGTTTAGTTCAACATAATTTATCTTCCAGTTCTAGAATCCACTCCTCTCAAAATTCCTATAAAAGACCACAGTGTATAAAATGGTTGGCCTCCATGACAATACTTTCAAAATATTAGGGGTTAAATACCAGGTATCATTAGCTTTCCTTATGTTAAATCTGTGATGGTAAGTTTTATTTTTAAAATTTATTTTATTTGTATTTTTGAGACAGGGCCTTGCTCTGTCACTCAGGCCAGAGTACAGTGGCACCATCATGGCTCACTGCAACCTTATTCCTGGGCTCAAGCAACCCTCTCACTTAACTGGTACTAGAGGCACACGACACCATGCCTGGCTAATTTTTAAATTTTTTGTAGAGACAGAATCCCGTATTGTTGCCTAGGCTGGTCTCAAACTCCTGGTGTCAAGCGATTCTCCTGCCTCAGTCTCTCAAAGTGCTGGGTTTACAGGCATGACCCATCACACCTAGCCTTGATGGTAAGTTTCAATTCACAGATCTAGTTCAAACTTCTCTCTTGAGAATGATCCTCTATCTCCTAAGTTTAACATCTCTAAACCAAAAGACTTTTTTCCAATACAAGAGCTACACATTTCTTTAAGGATGCTATAATTTTCCAAGTTTAACTCCAGCTCTCCAGCCTGTGCACTAAACTAACCCTCACCCTGATTATCTTAAGTCAATTGAGAGTTAACCCTTCTTCTCCACAGAGTCACAAAAATCACTTCAAAATGTGAGTAATCCCTTCAGATGGACCATGAATAGAGAACACAATGCTGGACCAAGTTGTATGTTGGGCTTTCACTGGTGACCACATAAATCACAAAGCTTCTGACCCCTTCCAGTAACGAGGACCTCTCCTTCACTAACATATACCTGCAGCTTCTCACATCTAACCAATTTCATTTTGGCCTCGTGCTTCTGCTAATACTCTACCAAAACTAATCCTAATTTTTTCCTCTTATGACTAAGGAAATAAAGGCTGGACAGATGCCACTGCACATGCCCATTCTCCCCTCCCTGGCACCTTAAGCCCTTTTACTGGCTAACACTGTGGGCCTCTATTAAATGGAGAGAAAATAAAGATGTCAAATGTAAACTACGGAAACAAACTGTGTGAGTTTAAATACTGCACAAGTCACTTAACTTCTTTAAGCCCTTCAACCTCATGTGTAAAATGGGGATAATAATAGTACTATATCTACCTTACAGAGTTATTAGAAAAGCAAATGAGTTAGAACAATGTCTCACACAGAATAGACAATATACCACTAGTCTGTAGCTCCAAGAGGACAGGACATTTTATTCTGTTCACCAAGCTTCAAGAACTGTGCCAAGAATATGGCAGATAGTCTAGACATTTTGCTGAATGAATGAGTCCACAGCTGATACAAGATCTTCCTCCCACTCCTCCACATCCCTCATTCATACTATAAGGTTCTTCCAGAATCACTCACTACCTAAGTCTTTCAGACACAGTATAGGAAACTCAAATTTGTAACTCTACCAAAATTTTAGAAACCATGGGTCCTGAAGATCTCTCTGAAATAAATAGTAGAAATTGAAAACTTTAAATCCTTTAAAGTCAAGAATCTATCATATAGTGCAAAATGTGACTTGATTAGTTTTTCTAAACCAATTTTGCAAGCCCTGTTGTTCAAATATTTTTAGTGGTTCCTACACATACAGCATAGATAAAAATTCAATATTCTTAACCTGGTTCTAAAAGTCCTCCTCAATAGATTCTATTTTCCTTCCCCAAACTTTGTCTTTGGCTTTGTCTATAAGAAACTTCTGTTCCTGAGAAAGTTTCCACCACTGCACCTCTGCTCAAAATATCCCCATACCTGTAACTTCCTACTACCACTTCCTTCACTTAAAAACCAACCAACCCCAAACACCTTTCCATTCCTAAGGCAAAGCTTCATCTTGCACATACCCCCCCCACCCCCTCTTATTTCCTCTAGACAACAAGCCCACAGAAATCAGGAACCATATCTTATACATGATAGTATCCAGTGCAGTATAGTACAAAATGCTGAATACATTTTTATTAAAATGGTTTACTCATTTAAATAATTATTGAACCTATTCATAGCATAAAGTTCTATCATGTTTCAGATATAAAAGCTCAATAAATTTAATACTCATTTTATAAAGTAATACTCTATTAAAAACAACTTAGCTAACCGGAAACAGCAGTTACGGGGACAATCTATTTTACCACAATTAAATGAGTTTTTAAAGAACTTCTCTGAAAACACCATATCCAGGCCGGGCGCAGTGGCTCACACCTATAATCCCAGCACTTTGGGAGGCCAAGGTGGGCGGATCACCTGAGGTCAGGAGTTCAAGACCAGCCTGGCCAACATGCTGAAAGCCTGTCTCTACTAAAAATATAAAAAATTAGACAGGCGTGGTAGCAGACGCCTATAATCCCAGCTACTCAGGAGGGTGAGCCGGGAGAATCACTTGAACCCAGGAGGCAGAGGTTGCAGTGAGCCGTGATCGTGCCACTGCACTCCAACCTGGGCAATAAGAATGAAACTCCATCTCAAAAAAAAAAAAAAAACCACACCAAAAAAACATACATCTGAAGACAACTCATAGTTTCATGTAACTCAACGGGGGGTGTGGGGCGGGGGGGGGCGGTGTGTGTGTGTGTTCAGGCACAGTGGCTTACGCCTGTAATCCCAGAACTTTGGGAGACTGAGGCGGGTAGATCACTTGAGCCCAGGAGTTCAAGACCAGCCTGGCCAACTTGGTGAAAATACAAAAATTAGCTGGACATGGTGGCACACACCTGTAGTCCCACCCTGTAGTCCCACCCAGCTATGTGGGAGGCTGAGGCACCAGAATCAATTGAACCCAAGAGGCGGAGGTTACAGTGAGCTGAGATGGTGCCACTGCACTATAGCTCTGGGCAACAGAGCAAGACTGGCTCAAAAAAAAAAAAAAAGGATTTTTTTTTCTATTATTTGGAGCCTACTGCTTCAATTATCTTCATACTACAGGTAAGGTACTAGTTAACAGAAATAATAAATAGGTGAAATTTGGAAACAATTTGAAAGACTATATGCTGCTTATTTGATATTGAGTAAGCTTTTACTGACCACTTTCTTGATTTCTGCTAATAAAATAGCTTTTCAGATGCTCACCTTTTGCTTTTAATATAACTACTAAAATTCCTGAACTTTCCCATATAACTGTAAATCTTCAATAATTAATAAACAGGAATCTTTTTAGAAACACAAAGGAAATTAACCTCTTTGCTCTTGCAGCAGAGAAAAACATTATCGGTTTCATAAAAATAGTTCAAAGGATTGATTTGATGAAGTGTTAAATTGGGAACACTGGCCAGGAGCAGTGGCTCATGCCTGTAATCCCAGCATTTTGGGAGGCTGACATGGGAGGACTACTTGAGCCCAGGAGTTTAAGACCAGCCTGGGCAACACAGTGAGACCCTGTCTCTATAAAAAAAAAAAAAAATTTAAATATTTTTTTTAAAAAGAACATCCACTTGAATCTTATGTCCTGTGCACAATGTAGACCTGTAAATATTCACTTTGTCTGCAATTTGTTAAAAAGAATCTGTCCATGAAAGTAATGTTTGAACAAAAGGGTCTCATTGTTAAGACTACAGACTAAAACATATTGCCATTTTCTATATAATCTTCAAAGAGAAACCTATAATTCTGGGTCACTGTCTTACTTGATAATTTGTTACCCTGTAACAATGTTGCAATTAACATTTACATTTCTTATTTAGAAGTCCTTCAGTACCCTGACTGTTTTAGCCTCTCCTCAAAGTAGCCTTCCTAGCTGTCAGACCTTTCCTGAAAGAGAGCAAGCTATCTATTATCTATTATTCTAGGTAATGACTAGATAAAAAAGAGGCCCAAAACAAACAAACAAACAAACAAAAAACAACCACACATCTATGGCTAAGTTAAAATCTGATTCGACTTCAATACAACTGGTATATTTCCCTACAACAAGAAATACAGGGAAGATGATAATAAACACTATGCACTATAATGTCATTTGATCCACTGAGACATAGTTGTAAGAACATATTGGACGACCGGGCGCGGTGGCTCATGCCTGTAATCCCAGCACTTTGGGAGGCCAAGGCAGGTGGATCATCTGAGGTCAGGAGTTCGAGACCAGCCTGACCAACATGGAGAAACCCCGTCTCTACTAAAAATACAAAAAAAATTAGCCAGGTATGGTGGTGCATGCCTGTAATCCCAGCGACTCGGGAGGCTGAGGCAGGATAATCGCTTGAACTCAAGAGGCCGAGATTGCAGTGAGCTGAGATTGCACCATTGCACACCAGCCTGGGCAACAAGAGCAAAACTCCGCCTCAAAAAAAAAAAAAAAAAAAAAAAAAAAAAAAAAAAAATGGAAATGCCAAACACCAGAAAGAGATCTACCTCTTCCATCATACTTATTCATAACAGAATATGAGGGAAAAATTTCAAATGGAAGGATCTACATTTAACTAACATGACTTGAAGAAATCGTAATAGCTAGGCAAGGTATTATGTCTAGTTAAGGATAAAATAACAAATCATAAGCGTGCAACATTAAGAAAAGCAAAAATCTGAGTTAAAATGGTTTCATTTGGCAATTTCGTATCTGAAAAGTCAATATATCTTACATAAAACAGCATTTTTGATCATCTCAAATTTACAGTATTACTAATATGAAAAGAAGACAATTTGCTTACCCGTTTTATTGTCAAAAAATTTGATGTGTCTATCTTCATGAGCAGTTATTGTAACAGGAAGTGTGGGATGACTTACTACTCTGTTGATATGATTATTAGATTGTAAACCTGAAAAATAAAGGAAGACAATAAGTTAAAATTCAAACCTTTAATAAGAAGTTGGATAATGGCCTTTTTAATCGTGCTAAAATATAAAAATCATTAAAAACTAAACCTTTTGCATAAAACAAAAAATCTGAGAACCAAACAAGGACTCTAGAGAGATTTTTAAAAAATAAACATTTACATTATTATGTCCTATAATATAGACTGTACTAGGCTCAAATTTAGAAAAACTGAGAAGTGTTTTAATGCCACCCTTTATTATAGGTAGTTTAGAATTTTTAAAAGATCCACAATTATTACTTCTAATACACAGTCCATATAAGAGTTATAAGCATTTAAAGAAGGAAAACATTCACAATTGCTAGTCAGATGTTTGTAAGGAACAACCCCCATCTACCTACACTGACAAAAACAAAAAAACAAAGAACTGGAATTAATGATCTTTAAAGATGAGATTTTTTTCTTTACCAGTAAGCTCTTACTAACTTTTTATTAAAGATGAGAGAGAACAGAGAAATATCAAAACAAATAAATGGGGGGAAACTCCTCAATATTAATAGACTTTAGATCATTCATTCTGCTTATGTATCGCAACTCATATATTACACCTAAACATATAAAAAATACATATATATATATAGTTACCTATGTAGAGTAATTAAAAAAATAGGTTTGAGGAGATACTGGGAAAGAGACTTAGAAGATAATTTTGGTTTAAGATCTGACCATGGCACCATGTAAATATTTTACATAATTATAAAACAATTTTTTTTGTTTAAGAGACAAGGACTCACTCTGTCACCTAGGCTGGAGTGCAATGGTGCAATCATAGCTCACTGTAACCTTGAACTCCTGAGCTCAAGGGCTTCTCCTGCTTCAGTCTCCAAAGCTAGGACTACAGGCACACATCACCATGCCCACCTAATTTTTTAAGTTTTTGGTAGAGATGGGGTCTCACTATGTTGCCCAGACTGGTCTCTACTCCTAGCCTCAAGCTATCTTCCCACATTGGCCTCCCAAAGTGGTGAGATTACAGGCATGAGCCAATGCGCCCAGCCAACAGTTGTTTTTCTAAAAGAAATTAATGAAAATCAAAAGTAAAATTAAACAAATGAACTTAAGTATATCCAACTGGTGGTGTAACTACAAAGGAAGGAACTATTCCAAGTGACTTTAAAGCATAGAAATTAGATTGTATATCACTAGTGGAATATACCCTAATTACAAAGTTTTATTATCAATATTTGATCTTTTGGTGGTAATGGTATTATTACTGAGACGATTCTGTGTACACTGTGGGGTAAATAAAATGAGAAACAATTTTGTTGAGAACCAAGATAAATCTGAAGTTGAAGTATTTTACTTTTTAAAAAATGTTTATTTCTTAGCTCTGTCCATTGAAAAAGCCTAACACAATGAACAACCCAGGAGCCATGAAGACCATGAGGATCAACTCAACAGCCTAGTACCCCAACTGTAGTCTCTAAATACCATTTCCCACTAAAAGAAACCACAACTCCTTAGATAAATAGCTGATTTCAGATCTAGGGCACAAAATGAACAACATGAACCTAGAAGATCTTGTCATATGTCATATCAGGAAGCTATCAACAACAACCAAAGTCATGGCAAAAGGACTCAGGAGCCAACATGAGCCCCACTGAGTAAGCCCCACTGGCCAAAATCAAAGGATCTGAACAGCAATAAATAAAGATAATACCTGCAATGGATCAAAACACATCAAATACATTTATATCCATGAGAGAGTATGATGATACCAAAAACACCACCCAAGACAAACTGGTCACCTTTAGAGGGTGCTAGCAAACCAACTCATTATTTTAAAAACTGGTAAATAAAGGGGAAAACCAAAACCCAATCATTTATCTTGCCTTTTTCCTTAATACACACTAACTCCAAGGTAACCAAATTGTTGATAAAGAGATGTTCTTTTTTATAGGAATAATCTAGCTAATAAATGGAGAGGGAATGATAAAATTAGAAAATCTTTCAATAGAAAATGAATGAACCCAGGAAATAATCCAGACTGAAAACATCACAAAAACATGAACAACCAGAAAATACTCACCTCTGATAAAAGCTTACAAATTACTTATGAAGTAAAGTTGCCAAGAACATTTAAAAATTTTTAAAAGAAAAAAACAGTGAACCTGAATTTGAATAAGTCTTTAGATCTATAATCAATTCACAGGAGAACTGTGAATAGAAATAGAGAAGCACATTAAATAACACAGGAATGCAACTAGCAAAATCCAGACTGTCGGAAACTTGACAAGACAAAGTAGCCAATTTCGTCAATTAAAAAAAAAAAAAAAAGAACATAAAAGAGATGAAGGGGAATCTATGGATGAAGAGAGACCTGAGAGACCTATCAAACAACTGCAATACATAAATCTTATGTGATCCCTATCTAAATAAACTGTAAAACACCACATAATGCATGTGTAATACTGGGCATTTATAGATAGGTATTAAAACTGAATGCTGAGTACATTAAGTTCATTATGTTATTTTCTCTACTTTCACCTTCATATTGCTCTAGACATTCCTCTTTTCCCATATGTCCACCCAAGCTTTTAAGCAAAATTTGAAGAAAAAGCAGACATAATATAAATAAGTATAACTGTAACATTATGAAACTAATTATTTTGCCATCCTAAATTCAAATAGTGAAAATATGAAAATTAGCTAAAAGATCACCCTCTATTGTGTAATAACCCTTTTTAAGGTTTCAAAGAAACTCCATGAAAACTTACCAGAATCTACCTGTGATGAAAGTATCACCAATGACTGTGATGTTTCTAAATCATAAATTACTGCACTACCAGTGTTGAAAGAGGTTACCATATGAGCTGGATCACAGCCTATAAAGTCAACTGATGTAGGTATTCCATGCTCTGAAATGAGCCCAAAGACAGACAATGTAAACAAAGTAAAATTACTATGAAATCTCTACTTTTTGAAATCTCTGTTTTTCTAATCAGAAAAAGGAATTCAAATAGTCTTGAAATACTGTTAATAATGAAAAGGAACACAACTGTGTCAGGATGGTGAGATAAGAAATATCTTTTCCTCAATTATTTAAAAACTTTATAGCATTCTATTTAATATTGTAAGAAAAATATAACTACAGAGCTCATAAAGAGTAAATACATGCAAAAGTTATTTGTTCTATTACACGTTTTCTTCTAAGGGATTAAATAAAATCCTAGTCTTTTGGCCAATTTGCCAATTATACTTCTTACTGTAAAATGATAAATTAGCATTCTCACATAACTTTGGGAGACTGGTTCACCTATCAGAGATCTGTAGGCCTTATCAAGCAGCTAATACAAGTCAGATTTTTGGACTCATGAAAATGGCTTGGACTCTGGAATCAGCTGATGCAGTACTTTACCCTAAAATGGCCTGAGCAGCAATTTCTCTCTTTAACATACTAAATTAAACTAGCCAGATCAATGCACAATTAGATGGAATATGGAGCCAAGCTATTAACTATCTAGATGAAGCCAGAAACAAATACCTAAATGAATTCTTACCTCTAAAGCTTGGATAACTGAAAATTAGTACAATCACTACGGTGTCTAAGAGACACAAAATTATATATTTACTATTCACCTAAAATGTTTTAAAACAATATGTATTTTTATGTACAAATAAAAGGTCTAATTAAAAAAATTTAAAATGACTTGGAAAATAAGACCAGTAAATGTCTTCAAAAGGTAAACTGGTTAAAGCCTTTTTAAATAGGAAAATATTTAAAATCATGAAAATAACCCAATTTGTACTGTTCCAGTTAGGGGTTCAGTGACTATGGCTGGACTACTCAACTAGTGTGCTCGAGGTAATGGAACACAGGGTTTATAGGTATGCTTGAGACTGTGATCCCTTCGGTCTTTGTGGGGTAGTCGTCTGGAACAGGTGGTGTGCCTCCTGTTGTCCCTATGAGTATCCTCATTTGTCTATTCCACTGTTATATACAATAGTTTTACATTTTTAAAAAATGGAATACAAAAAAGGTAAAAAAGCATTGCACTACAGGACATAGTTGCAAAGCACTTCAAAAAAATGAGTAAAAAGTTTATCCTAACTTTTACAAAATTCATTCAATATATCTCTTTGGAACAGTAAAGAAATACATCAATTACTTTGTCCTTTATATATTCCAATTTTTTAAAAAAACTAACTTTTCTCACAGATGCAAAATTTACTTACTTTTATCTCCATTGTAAGTGCAAATACATGGCAATTTTTCTTGTGGATTCCATAACCTAACAGTGCCATCTGCTGAACAAGACAGTAATTGATTTTTTATGCCACTATAAGCAAGACCCCAAACTGCATCTGTATGACCAACTAAAGTGCCAGCTAGAACATTTGGCTCTGGGGAAAAAACAAACAAACAAAAAATTAGGTAAAAGAAGTTTAAAAGAAACTTTGATACATAAAGAAAACTTACCATATAACTGAGCATAAAGAACACACATAAAGGCCACAAGAAGATAAACTAAAGTGTACATAGTGGCTATATCTAAGAGTAGAGTTATGGCCTACTTTTATACCCTCCTCCCATCAACATTTTTCTGTATTTTCACAATTTTCTATAAAGAAACATATGCTTTTTTTTTTTTTTAAAACAGCTTTCTTGAGATACAGATATAATTTACATACCATACAACTCTCTCATTTAAAGTGTATACTTCAATGATTTTTGGTATGTTGTTCACAGAGTTATACAACCATCATGACAATCAATTTTAGGGTACTTTCATCACTCATTAGTCACTTCCCCCAATTCCTCCTCCCCACCTTTCCACAAGTCTAGGCAACAACTAATGCTCTGTCTCTATAGATGTGTCTTTCTGAACATTTTCTATAAATGGAATCATACAATATGTGGTCTTTTGTGACTGGGTTCTTTCACTGAGTATGTTTTCTTTTTTTCTTTTTGAAATAGGGTCTTGCTCTATCACCCAGGCTGGAGTACAGTGGCATGGTCACAGTCCACTGCAGCCTTGAACTCCTGGTCACTGAACATGTTTTCAAGGTTTATCCATGTTGGAGCATGTATCAGTACTCCATTTATTTTTAGTGCCAAATAATATTCTGCTGTATGGATATACCATATTTTATTTATCTGTTCCTTAACTGACAGACATTTGACAGCTGATAACATTGAGCATAATTTGTCTGACAATCCTGTTTTTCTAGTAAACTCCTCCCACTTTCCATGAATGGTTCTTATCATCTCCACAATTCTCACAGCTCCCAACCTCTCTTCCTCATGAATGACTATGCCTCATATTTCACTGAGAAAATATAGCATTCAAATAATGCTGCATGTTTCTTATCCCCCATCTTCTTGCTGCGTAATATATAAATGATTAGTGTCTAAAGGTATCTTCTCCTAGCTTCCAGATACAAGCAAGGAATCTGTCCTCCATCCTATCAAAGGCTAATACCAGATGTCACTAACTTGCTGTAATGTTTACTGCTTCTCTACTACACAAATTCTCCTCCTTGGAATCATTACCATAGTGAAAAAAAACTTGTTCCAGAATCTCTTCAACAAAAAATCTTCATTAATCCTATCCTACCACCCCTTCCACCCAGCAATAGAAATATGCTTTTCACTTCCTGTTTACTCTTCAAATCACTCCAATTTGGTTTCTGATACCACTACCACACCAAAACAATCCTTGCTAATGATGATCCCTACACTATCAAATTTAATACTTTTCTTTGATGATACAAAACATTTTGTTGTTGTTCCCATTATATTGCTTTTCATCCATATAGTCTGACATGAAAGATTATCCAGAGGTCCCTTCATTCTTCAGTCTTAGCTGCAGCGTCCAAACTCTGTCTGGCCAAGACCTGGGTGACCTGCTAGTCACTTATAAAAAGGAAACTTTATATCATATTATTGGACCTCTCAGCAACATTCGAAAGTGCAGACTGCTTCTTTCTTCTCAAAATTGTTTCTTCTTTAGTGTGCGCTTCCATGATTTCGCACCCTCTCCTGCACTTCCTTCTGTCTCTTGGGTCACACCTCCTCAGTTTCCTTTCTTGGCTCTCTTGCTCTAGCCACTCTTCCAGTGTCAGAGTTACTGAGGACTTTAGTCCCAGGTTGTCTTCTCTTCTTACACCAAACAATACACTCCCCCAGTATTGCCCATTCTTATAGTTTAATGTATTATTTGTATAGAGAAGACTGTCCATGTTTTTAACTTCAATCGAGATCTCTTTGGGCTCCTTATTTGTATATTACCTACTTGATATTTGTCATCCTTTAACATGCCTAAAATCTGAACTCACCATCTTAAATCTCCTCACACCTGTTCTGTCCTCGTTTCAATAAATGCTCCCATCACATGCTCAGTTACTCACATCAAACAGGACTGAATGTTCTGAATGTTTGAAATGTTCTGAAATTAGTGATGATGGCTGTAAAACTTTGTGAATGTTCTGAAATTAGTGATGATGGCTGTACAACTTTGTGAACATAGTAAAAACTACTGAACTGTAGACTTTAATTTTTTTTTAGAGATGGGGTCTTGTGGCTGCACATAGTGGCTCATGCCTGTGATCCCAATACTTTGGGAGGCTGAGGCAGGCAGATCACTTGAGCCCAGGAGTTTAAGACCACCCCGGGCAACATGGCCACCATTTCTACAAAAAATACAAAAATTAGTGCGGTGTGGTGGCTCACACCTGTGGTCCCAGCTCCTCAGCCTGGGAGGCGGAGGTTGCAGTAAGCCAAGATCACGCCACTGCCCTCCAGCCTAGGAGACAGAGCAAGACTGTTTCCAAAAAAGAAAGAGAGAGAGAGAGAGAGATTGGGTCTCACTCTCTTCCCAGGCTGGAGTACACTGGCACCATCATAGCTCACTACAGCCTTTACTTCTCACACTCAAGTGATCCTCCCAGCTCAGCCTCCCGAGTGTCTGGGACTATAGGCATGTGACACCCCATCTGGCAAATCTTTAAATTTTTGGCAGACATGAGGTCTCACTGTGTTGCCCAGGCTGGTCTTGAACTCCTGGCCTCAAGTGATCCACCCACTTCGGCCTCCCAAAGTGGTGGGATTACAGGCATGGACCATTGTGTCCAGCCTGAACTGTATACTTTAAAAGGGTGAATTTTGTGATATGTAAATTATCTCAGTAAAGCAGTTAAACACATACAAATTAAGAGTCACTCACCCATCACTTTATCTACTCAACATAATTTATCAATAAATCCTGTCTATTCTACCACACTCCCTCAGCGTATCTTAAAACCACTTCTAAATGCTGTGCTACCACCACTCTAATCTTGGCAATGTCGTTTGTCACCTAGTTTACTGGACTACTTTATGACAGCAGCCTCCTAACTGGTATTTCTCTTTCCACTCTTCTCGCCCCCAATTTATTCTTCTCACAACAGACACAGTCACCTTTTTAAAACCTTACATTTATCAGATAACTTTCTGGCTTAAAACTCTTTACTGAAAGTTTCCTCTTATCCTTCAGATTTTGGCTTGAATGTCACTATTTTAGAAAGACCTTTCTTGACTAACTCTTCTAGAGAAGGTTCTGCCTGTTACGCCCTCTCAACAGTACTCTATCTTCTTATCATTTATCACAATTTGTAACCATAGATCCCATCCCTTCGCTTATCTGTTTTATGTCTCTACTTTCCATTAGTCTAAATCTTATTTCTTGACATAGTGCTTACCACAATGCCTAGCTAATGTAGGCACAATGTGTGTGTTAAATAAAAAGAACAAAGAGTTCATAAACATTTTGTTTTAACGTTTTATAATTATTAACAGTGCCCTTACAAATATATTTGAACACAGGTACAGGTAGGTGTTTCTGTAGAACAGATTTCTAAAAGCTACATTTGCAAGTCAAAGGAGGTTTCCTTTCTTTTTTTTTTTCTTCCATTTTGAAATTAAGAATGTTTTTGTAGATATGAGCTAAGAATAACAAAAAAAATTTTTGGCTCCAAAAAGTTTTAATGATTTATACCCCTGATGTTGGTTCCATTGTCTTTTGCTTAATATTTTTAAAATATATAAACTATTTCTTAAGTTCAAAATTTTGTTACTTAGATTACATTTTGTTTCCTCCTTCTTTTTGTAACTACTACCTAAATTAACATTTTAATTAATATAGTTTTTTAAACAACAGAGAAAGTATCAATTCATAGGCTTAAATACCCATGGCATGACATTTCCTAATTTTTCTCTTTAATAAAGCAATTTATTAGCAAATGGAAGAACTAAATGAGGTGACTAATATAGGTTTAAATAACCTTGTAATCATATTTGAGGTATTTACTTTTGTCAGCTCCATTCACTTAAAAAAAATACATTTTGATCATTTTACTTACCATATGTATCATATGGATCTACACTGGGACTCGGCATATTCCACCACTGGATGGTTGCATCAATACCACCACTAAAACACTGTTCTCCATTAGAACTAATAGCTAATGACAGAACAGGGCCGCTATTGTAGGAAGAGAGGAAAAACAAATTACTGATAAATTCTAAGAAGAAACTCAAATCTCCATTCCCCCAACCTCTGAATTTATGTAATATCTAAAAACTGTTTTAAGAGAACATGTACACCTGACTGGTACTTTTTTTTTTTTTTTTTTTTTGGAGACAGGGTCTCACTCTGTCACCAGCCCAGACTGGAATGCAGTGGTGATCTCTGCTCAGTAAAACCTCCACCTCCCAGGTTCGAGCGATTCTCCTGCCTCAGCCTACTGAGTTGCTGAGACTACAAGCGCACGCCAACATGCCCAGCTAATTTTTGTATTTTGTGGTAGAGACGGAGTTTCACCATGTTGGCCAGGCTGGTCTCGAACTCCTGACCTCAAGTGATCTGCCCGCCTCAGCCTCCGAAAATCCTCAGATTACAGGCATGAACTACTGCATCTGGCCTGAATGGTACTATTATATTCATAGTCTCACCAATACAATTATTAAATAGCTATTATTCAAGTAATACATCTTTTCTAATACAAAACATTGAGAAAATTACAAGGTTTGAGGACCGATAAATAATATTTAACAATAATGATGATGTTAATTAAATACCAATTCAGTAAAACTTACATGTGGGCCCTAAATGTGTAGATAGGCTCTACATCTAAAGAGGCACTCCTAAAAGAGGGGGAAAAAGGGTAGGGGAAGAGAAGGCAATTAAATAACTATGAATCACTGGTTGATATTAAATAGTCATTAGATCAAATGTGTGCATTAAAGACATGCAACAATAATGAGGAATAATTACTTATATTAGCAAAATTGGAAGAAATACACCAGGCTAACACTAAAATACTTGCTTTTTGGCAGGAACTGTTTTTTGCAGGTTCCAAAGTTTCAGGGTATGGTCCTCAGAAGCAGTAACCAGCACAGGTTCTACAGGATGAAAAGCTAATGCCCGTACTCCATCAAAATGGCTACGTAGTGTATACTTGGGATTCCATGTCTTTCGAAAGGCATCTTTATTAGCAGGCAACTAAAAGGAAAGAGCACAATATTTAGTGGTAAAAGTAGTAAACTGGAAGGCATGTGGAGTGTTTGTTCGTTTCTTTTTGGTGTGTTTAACACATATATTTAAAACTGTTGGCTAAAATGTCCAGTGGAAATTTAATGTACCTTTAAAACTTTCTAAAAAAACTTTATCATTTAATAATAACTCAGAATAATTTCATTCGCCTTACAAATAGCCTAGGTCAAATGAAGAGTTCCTTAATCTGTTTTTACCTATTAAGCTAAACCCAAAGCTCCCATTAAATGTCAGATGAGAACAAAATAACTACCATTGCTGCAATACTTTACATGAAAAATAATTACATAAGTTATTACAAATATCCAACGGTACAGTATTAACAGTAAAGTTGTCATTTAGAAAACGTATTAGCATGTGAAATTATTAAAGGCAGCAAGTTAAGGTACTTTCTGAAAGTCTGAACTAAAGACCCTTTAAGAATATTTTTATCCCATTTTCATAATTCTTGATATTGACAGAGGTTTATCTTTTTACCTTCACATTTCTCCATCTGTAAAGATAGGCTGTGAAACCACTTCTAAAGCAGTCAAAAGTTTACTGGAATTTAGTCACTTATATACTTAAAAAAATATATTAATGAGAATAATCCAGCCCACCAAAGGCTGTCTCTAAGCATGCTAATGTTAAGTATAAAACGTGGAAAAAAGAAACTCATTATAAAAAGAAAAAAAAATTGCTGAAAAACTGCAATTAACATAAAGATCTAACAAGTATAGTTAACTCTCAATTGAAATATTAATGACTAGAAAAAATTAAATCCAAGACAAGTTTCACCTCTAACACTGGACTCCCCACTCCCCAACCCTTCCATCCACTCCCCAATCCTCTAATGAAGGAGTTAAGTATTCAGGAAATGATGCAAGCTAACTTTAAAATGTTCAGAAACTTTAAAATATTTCCTTAAGAAAATAAAAGTTCAAAAATAAAACATGCTTTTTAAGAAGTACTCTGAAGGCAAATATATGATTCAGGTTATTTTTTTTCTTGTTAACACCAAAATATGGCTTAATTTGAGATAATTGAGAGTTGACTACTCAAGATGTATTTACTGACCAATATATTAATCATCTCAAACTTCTAGTTAATCCACCAAAATACCTAAAAAAAAAATTTAAATACCACAAAGAGAGTAGTTATAAAAGAAAAACATGTCACTTCAAATCAACACATTGACACAAACTTATCTTTTCCATGCACCTTGATATTAATTCTGTTTTATAAGTGATTCCAAAAAATAAGGAGCCTTCTATTAAATCATTAAAAAATTAAAAATAAAACTGCACTTACATCATAACTATAGTCTGCATCATTTGTTACCGTCAAGTCTGCAAGGTCTCCAAGGCCCAGTACACTTAACAAAACATCATCAGAACCCATAATAAATGACTTGCCTCCTCCAGATGGAAACGTTATTGGTTCAGCTATAAAGAACAAAACCGCTTCTTAAATGCTGAAAAATCATACAGTACAAGACAATATTGTGGGGAAAATTTAAGCACTTAACAGTTACAATATTCAGTAATATAATTAATTTTTATTTTCCCACTTCTACTCAAAAAATCCTGTTACTAAGCAGTGTTAAACAAATGTGTTGGAACTGTGGTGTATTAACTGTCCACAAATAAAATGTGCACTAGATATATTATTCTGGGGTGGAAGCTAGGGCACAAAAGCTTTGTCTGTCTAAATCTCTTATCACTTCAGTACAATTATAACTATAGTTTACATGTTAAATAAGAAATAGGACAAATTTTGATTAAATAATGGAGTTAAATATCAGATTTTTGCATTCATGAGGGGAAACCTCTACCATGGACCTCAAGGACCTCAAAGTAGTCATATAGTATTTTTTAAATGTTAATAGGTTGTCACCAAGTCCTTTTGCTTTCTAAAGAAGTACTAGGCATCCTAGTCCCTGATAAAAACTAGTACAAACATTGAAATGTAAATGGTTTACAGTCAGCTATATACTATATCAGTTCACTAGAATGAAGCTTTAATTGTTCAGATTCCTTTAGTAACAGCAATGGTCTAGGAAAAAATTCTTCCACCAACAATGTCAGTTTCCTTTCTATAAAAGGTTAATCCACGTGGTCTTCAGAATGTCTTCCAGCTTTATTTATTTATTTATTTAGAGACACAGTCTTGCTCTGTCGCCCAGGCTGGAGTGCAGTGGTGCGATCTCGGTTCACTGCAACCTCCACCTCCTAGGTTCAAGCAATTCTCCTGTCTCGGTCTCCCAAGTAGCTGGGATTACAGGCGCCCGCCACCACGCCCGGCTAATTTTTCTGTTTTTAGTAGAGATGGGCTTTCACCATGTTGGCCAGGCTGGTCTTGACTCCTGACCTCAAGTGATCCACCTGCCTCGGCCTCCCAAAGTGCTGGGATTACAGGCGTGAGCCACCGCGCCCAGCCTGTCTTCCAGCTTTAAAGCTTTGACTATGACTTTTATTTTAATGTCCCATTCTAGTTACCATGACACTCTAAAATGAAGCAAGTAATCTTGACCACAGAGCTTTAATTTCTGATCAGATTTGCCATTTCAATTTCAAACTAAACTCAGGTTGAGCTTCACTTAGTTTTCTCAACTATATCATGTGCATTATTACAGCTTTTCATGTTAATATTAACAGTTCCAATTATTTAAAATGCGTTTTCCTTTCTATACATACTACTGACCAATTAAACTCTGCCATAATTGAATGACTATTATCTAAATATTTTGTTGTAACAGTCATAGTTTAAGCAACAACCTTCAATATCATTTCAAATATGCTTTGAAAGCAAAATTTTAACATTAAGATAACAAGGGAGAAATACTCAAATCATAATATAAAACTCAATATATCAAAACACACTTAAAATTCATGAGCAAATTTAAAAGGGACACATTATACAAAAAATCAAGCTGATTATCAATTTTAAAAAAATTCCCATGAAAAATGATATAAATATGCTACAGGAAACACAACAGGTGTAATGAAACTTGACAGTCATCACTAAACTACTGGAAATAATTCTGAGAAGACACAATTCATATATATACTATGGCAAAATAAAATTCAACTGTACTTAGAATATCTTGTTATTTTATTATTTTATCCTATCAAAATAAGCTATATAATCTGACTCAAATAGGGCTCTAAAATGCAGCTCTGATTCAGTTACTTGATCTAAAATGAATCTGAAAGCACCTGACAGAAAATATATAGAGATATTAAGTAGTATTTAATCTTTCAATGATGACACTTATTGAATCTGAATAATCTGTAGCATTGATCTTTTGATCTTTTCCTACCAATTATTAGTATGCAGTTATTGGCAATACCAGAAGCAGCTAAAAACTATAAAATCAATAATTTAAACTTATGTTTAAGGATAATTATATAAAAGTCATTATATAATATTTACTCAAAGCATTTTTCTCTAGACAAAGAAATATTTTTACTTTAAGCTCAGGGAATTTGTTTCTAAGAGAAGTCAGAACAAAATGCCACAGTTCCTCCCACTCACAATTATACAAACATTCACTGACACAAATCTCAAAAGCCCAATAAAATAACTTTAACGTAACAAATGATTTTGCAAGACTATCTCTGATCAGCCAGACCAATTTAGGAGCATGTGAAGGGAAGTGTCTGGACATTAGTTTTACTCGAGTTTTGGCTTAATTGTACTTAACAAAAAATTAGTATTATACTCATTTCTAATTAATCATATGACCACATTTCTGTCCTTTTTCTCTATATACACACATATATTTTATGACATATTTATGTACCTATTGCAAGCTATTCTGCTTAATCACTATTTACACATATATGTGCAAAAATTCTTTTACACTACTACCTCTGCTTTCCATATTACCCATCACTGTGGCATATGGTAATCACAGCAGCTACTCATCTGTTTGCCCTTATTTCCCTGCAGAGGGAATTAATTTCTATCCTATTCATTTTATTAATGGTAATATAATTACCCATAATATAAAAATGTCATTAGTAATTCAAAGAAAAATGTAATTATTTAAACAAGTAGTTTTTTTGGTTTTTTTTTTTTTTGAAGTCTTGCTCTGTCGCCCTGGCTGGAGTGCAGTGGCGCGATCTCGGCTCACTGCAAGCTCTGCCTCCCAGGTTCACGCCATTCTCCTGCCTCAACCTCCTGAATAGCTGGGACTACAGGCGCCCGCCACCACGCCCAGCTAATTTTTTTGTATTTTTAGTAGAGACAGGGTTTCACCGTGTTAGCCAGGATGGTCTCGATCTCCTGACCTCGTGATCCACCAGTCTCGGCCTCCCAAAGTGCTGGGATTACAGGTGTGAGCCACCGCGCCCGGCCTAAAAAAAGTAGTTTTAATATCTTCTTTTTTTTTCTAATAGAGACAGAGTTTGCTATGTTGCCCAGGCTGGTCTTGAATTCCTGGGCTCAAGTGATCCTCCTGCCTTGGGCTCCCAAAGTGCTGGAATTACAGGCATGAGCTACTATGCCTGCCCTAGTTTTTAATTTAATGATGGAAATTTAGGAGGCCTAAGAGATTTCATCAAGTAAGATAACAATACTAGTATAACGGGTCTATAAAATACAAGGTCTTTTTCAGACTTTTGTAACTAATCTTCCTTTTGATGGACACTTATGATGAAGGAAACCTGTAGCTCGCATATTGAACTCTTTTTCCCAAGAACTTAGTCCAGGTAACAGATTCCATTTATACCAGTGGCAACATGGTAGGTCTCAAGTCTTTAGCAGCAATAGTCTAGAAGATTGTAATGTTGAAGTTCCACTCCTAGAAAACAGACATTTGTTCTTTATAAAATGAGGTAGGACATGGACTTCAAAAGTAAAGAAGGAAGTTGGGGACTGCCACTGAAAATAAGGAGACTGTATACTCCAAAGCTGCCTTCTTAGCTTGAAGTCAAACTCACACCTCTTTAAATAACAAATTCCAGGAAGATCGATACTTCAAAAACTGTAATGAAGTTCACACTTATCAAATCTCTCCCCTCGCCCTCCTACCAGCATCAAGAAACAGATCACTGACCTATATTCTTTCTTTAAAACACACACATAACACATAAACAAACACACATAGAGAGTTCTAAGTTGGTTTTTGTGTAGAGTGTGCCTTGACTGGCTTTTTCCGTTAAGTCATTGGTTTGAAACATTTAAAAGGGTCCACATTGCTAACGTGGCTTTGCCTTAAATTGCAAAACCTGCACTTTAAATGTACATTAATTACAAAAATTTTAGCAAGTTGTACTATGCATATTTGGCAAAACAGACCAAAAACGAAGCAAAATCACCACTAAATGCATAAAATTAAAAAAAAAAAAAGGAGTTGCTATGTGTATTTTAGAAAATACTTCTAAAGTAAAACAGGAATATATCTCAATAGTGGAAATGAGATCTGAAAAAATTAACAGACACTATTTTATTTTTCATTCATTTTGTTTTGAATGATTTTGTTACTTTAGTGATTTTTTTTAAGGTGAGTGAAGTAAATGGTAAATTATGAGAGGGAAAAAATGCAAAATTATTTAACTGTAAGGAAACTGTGCCACTAGGGAAATCTTAAAAGGGAACAAGATGTATTTAAAATTTTTTGACTGGGACATCAAACAAATCCCCTTTACAGAGCAAAGGCAATAACATCAATTAAACTTAATACATATGCCAAATTACTGTATCTCATATGTCACAATAATCTTTGGTTAAAAATTCAGATTTAATACTTATAAATATCTAGACTTAGAGTTATACATGATTCAAGTATACCCATATATCTTCGGCTAAAATCAATTTTGGAAAAAATGTTTAAGTAGTACTTTCATTTCCTACACATTTCTGGTTTAGGCAAATTTTATAAAATTCATTACTAGGTAGCGTATACTTGCTACCAAGTTAAAGAATAATGATGCTGCCTTATTCTCAAATGATTAATTTAGGTAACAGTTACATATATTTTTTGAAGTAATATATATTTAATGTAACAGATTGGGCACTGTGGCTCACACCTGTAATCCCAGCGCCTTGGGAGCCAAGGTAGGCAGATCACTTGAGGTCAGGAGTTCGAGACCAGCCTGGCCAACATGGTAATATTCTGTCTCTACTAAAAATACAAAAAATTGGCCGGGGAATGGTGGTGTGCGCCTATAGTCCCAGCTACTTGGGAGGCTGAGGCAGGAGACTCGCTTGACCCCAGGAGGCGGAGGTTGCAGTGAGCCGAGATCATGCCACTGCACTCCAGCCTGGGAGACAGAGTGAGACTCTGTCTCAAGGAAAAAAAAAGAAAAAAAAAAAGGTTCCAAGCACAATGCCTGGCACCATAGTTGTCTTCTAGTAAGTGGTAATTACTATTAGTTCCTAAATTTAAGCAATAAGACAAAATGAGTAGTTTTTTCCATATGTATTATTTTAAGTTTGTTTTTATAAATTACTATTTTCCCATTACTGGATCTGTAGCTAAAATTAGATTTAAGAAAAGACTCTGAATTCACCTATGATGGAAACAACAACTCCTCACATTAAAAACAAAAACAAAATATAAAGAAATAGAAACCAGAAATGTCAAAATCCCTAAATTAGTTACATCAAGAGCTTGCCCAACACCTTCTCTAAAGATCATATAAAATGATCATCAGCATTTTATAACAGTAGCCTAGTTGCATTAAGATGTGATTTGGATTTAAGGTCTTCTGAAATGTAAATAAACATGGTAGCTAAATTTTGTACCTTCCTCTGCTCTTGCACCTTCATGATCAGTCATTCTAGTAGAGGCTGACCTAGACTGATTAATGATTCCTGAAGGGATGTGGGGCAGCTCATCATCTCCCAGATCAGCTATCATGTCGTAGAGTTTTGTCCTGTTGGCCCCTGTAAATTAATGTCAGCAGTAGAGGTTCATTTAATGGCTACCGCTTGACTTTCCGGCAGCCTTTAAAACCAATTTATTAACAAAACAGACTATTAAGAAGTCCCAGTTATTAAAATATCAGAAAATTAAAGATGTCTTCCATTTTCCATACCATCCCCCAAAACACATTGAGTTTAAATATTTACTATTTCTGTGGAGAGAGAGATATATATAAAGATACATATCTATATTACATATATGTCTCTCTCTAAAGAGATATATATATATATATATATCTCCACAGAATACTTTAGAGAGTTCTTTAAAGTTCTGTAAGCTCACAGACACAGAAGGTATCATTAAAACAAAGGAAAATTTTGGTGTTTAAGGTTAACATTTACCAGTGTAAAGAATAAAACAAGGGCTTTTCAACATAATTCACTGTTTTAAAAACTTAACAAAGGAATAAGTACGAGTAATTTTTATGAGGGTGCAACAAACAATTAACTTTACCTGGTGTTTCCATGGATATTTTCCTGCCATGTTAGTACAAATTTGTCATTAACAAATCAACCCCAATTTCTTTCAAAAATTTTTTCATTTTTCCCAAATTTGAAAAACCTGATTTATCCATGAGATAGATCTCTGAGTTTCTCATAATGATATGAAAAGTCAGCACTGTCATAAGCCATAAATATAAGGGAAGAATTTTGGCTGTTGCCTGGATAATTCAGGCCAAAATATATAAAACTCAAAAGCTTCTGTACCATTGTGGAATATTCTTTAACTCTGAACTTTAGAAATAGCAGAATTATTTATTTTGAACCATATATTTTGAAAGAAAATAAGTTTTAAGAATGTCAGAAAAAAACTTTGAAAAGACAATGCTTTATAATCTACATAAGTTTAAAAAAATAAAATAGGTAAGTCCAAGGTCAAACATTATGACGTTATATTTACTAACATCAACATTAATGGAAGAATCCGACTGCTATATATTAAGTTCACTGTGGCTATTTGAGTGTAAGTAACTCTAAGAACTATTACGCATCTATGTATCCTTAACAAAATGCCTGGCAGTTAAGATGGTAAAACTTAGTGGAAATAGGTGGACTTTTATACATTTATTGGTCCTATTTTACAGTAATTTCTAATTTCTTAGAAATGCTTAAACAATTTTACTTCTGGATTAGGTAATATGTTACGTAGTCTGAATTTCCTAACTAATAATAATGAAGAAACTCAGTGTTACCTGAGGATTTCCCCCCCACAGAGAAATGACTGTAAACAAATTCTCCAATAAACAAAAAACTGTCTACTGGATGTCCAACCACCAGTTACATTCAACGTAAAAGAACATAAACATTATTCTTTCTCACAAAATAGCTCCCTTTTGTAACCTTGCCACTTAAATGACTACCACCACCATTTATTTAATTTCGCTTCCTAAAATTTTGCAACCACATCTTAATTCTTCTTCAACTTGTAAAATTATAAAACGGTGGGGGCTGGTTTTAAAAAAGAATCTCCCTTTAAAGTATTCTCCAAGTTTATCTCTCTATTGACTTTAATCAAGGCTTTCAATCTTATGAATTACTACAACAGACTCCTAATTGGTTTTTCTATCTCCAAGCTCCATTTACCTTCAATCACATTTATATACTACAACTAAATTAATTTTCCAAAATTATCACATTTATTATATCTCCCTTCACTCAGAAACCACAAGTAGCAGCACTTCCACACTCTTTGGATCAAAGTTAACTAAAATCATGTACTTAACCTTTCATGTGCTTCATGATCTGATCCTATTTTTTCTACCCCATCTTATCTTTTAATGATCCACAATACAAACTCCCTTCATTTTCCAGTCAAAGCAATTTCCACATAGTTTCAGTGTTCACTGAGGTTACTTCTGCAGTATTTTGTCATATTTATCCTCACCCATTCTCAGAAAGGTGAGAAGGCTTTCTACACATACATATACACACACACACACACACACACACACACACACACACTTCCTTATCTTCTAACATGCACCTCAGCCTATCCAAATTCTACCCATTCCTCCACACCAGTTCCATCTCTTCTGTAAAGCTTTTGTTGATCTTTCAATGTTCTCTTATTTGTGTGTAACATAAAATGACTTTATTAAATACTACCTTGTAAATAATTTAATTATATGATAGTTAATGTGAAACATAATAAAGGCTTGACAAAGTTTTGTTACAGATAATGTAAAGTTAAAATCTTCTGTACACATGAACTGGGAGATATAGAAGGGAAAGAAATTAGGAGATATTATGGAACCTACTGTTCAAACTGACGATCCCAAATTATATAATATTATTTACATACTATAGCCTGATAGCTTCAGTGTGACACAGTGCCAAGTTGAGGAAATGATGCAACTTCCCTGCTCTAATCCTAGTTTCTCAAAAGGTGCCAAAAGATGAAAGCAGATTTCATTTAGTAGTAGTCTTTACTCTATTGTGCAGAGCATCTTTCAACTGCAAATTTAATGTCTTTGTTTTCTTTCTAAACCTATCCAATATTCTAAATATAATAAATGCAATGAAACAATTTCAAATAAAAAACCTGAAGTCTTATCAGCAATAAGAAAACTGTAGTAGTATAACAGGATACTAGACAATATTAATACCAATATGTAAAGGCATATTGAAGGCCCATTAAGCACTAATTAAATAAAAACTGAAATTTATAGAAGTACAAATACCTTTTCTAATTCTTATGGCAAGAAAAACTTTTATTTATTTTTTAATTTTTATTATTATTTGTGAGACAAGGTCTTGCCCTGTCACCCAGGCTAGAATGCAGTGACACAAACATGGCTCTCTACAGCCTTGATCTCCTTGGCTCTTGACCTCCTGGATTCAAGTGATCCTTCCGCCTCAGCCTGCCCAGTAGCTGGGACCACAGGCACGTACCATCAAGCTTGGCTAATTTAAAAAAAAATTTTGTAGAGACAGGGTCTCACCATGTTGTCCAGGCTGGTCTTGAACTCTTAGGCTCAGGCAATCCACCTACCTCAGTCTCCAGAGTAGCTGGGACCACAGGCATGCACTACCACACTCAGCTAATTTTTGTATTTTTTATTTTTGTAGAGATGGTCTCACCATGCTGCCTAGCCTGGTATTGAGCTCCTGGGGTCAAGCAATCCTCTCTCCTAAGCATCCCAAAGTGCTAGGATTGCAGGCATGAGCCACCATGCCCAGCTAGAAAAACTTTTCTACTACTATGAATACAACCCACCTACCTCTTAACAAATACAAAGTCCTATATAAATGCATAATCCTCTAGACTGACACAATGAAAAACATACTAATTATGCCACGTGTAAGCCAAACTATAGACTACTGTTACATTTTCAAATTCCGCTCAAACACACATACTCATGCCATGAAATTTATCTTCCTACGCCCTATATAACTGTAAGTAAAATAGTACTTTTGAACAAATCTAACATTTCCCCTTTCTCAAATGAGCCCTCCCTTTGTTGATCAACTTTTATATTCTGAAGCTTAACTGTTAGCAGGCAAACAATCTGGAAAAGATACGCTTATTTTAGCACAAAAATTTAGTTAAGTCATGTTTGCTAGATCTGTTCTATTTTCTATCATAATTAAAGCTTTCACAGCTTTATTTAATTTATTTAAGACAATTGTTGTCTTAAATAAATATGAGATCACAATAATAAGAAAAAATAACTTCAGCTGCAAAGTGACTCTTCGGTTTTAAAAAGTGCACTGATTAGAGTATCAATCTGATACATTCTGATCCTAGGCAAAATACCTAAGTTATTTTCTTGAAAGAAAAAAATCCCGAGTTAAAGGACATGAATGTTTGTTTTTAAAGAATGAAATTAAAGCCAGTAACATAAAACCACATGCCTAGTTGAAAATAACATCTCTTTGCTATGAAACAATTTTGTTTTTGTCTTTGAGGGAGGAGAGAGAATATAACTATTTTGTGGGCTCTTCGAATTAGTACTATGTGCTAAACGGAAGTAGCTTAATCATAACAGATAATTTGTAGTGTGAGCAAAGGTGTTTTTAAAAGCCTACTTAAGAGTAAGTTCTTCTTAAATGTATTCAAATACCTAATTTTGGATATTTGGCTTCAAGTCACACTTTAAACAACTGTATTTCCTGGTGACAACATGTTTTCTTGGATCTGGAATAGTAAATGACAAATATTAATACAAAACTTTAAAAATAAAAATTAGAAAATGACTTGGGGGAGCTCACTTATGATTTATATTAAAAGAAATGTTGAAAAAGTTACAAGACTTCCCCCTTTTCAAATGTATTGATAATCAGGCCAGAAGGTGCATAGCAATTCTGCAACACCAGTAACGGAGAGAAGGGAAATGGCAAAAAAGTCATATTCCATATATAGAAAAGACAGAAAAGTTAAGATAAACGAGAATAATTAGGAAAATTAAGATAAGTCCACTCACTAAGAACCAGGAATGCAAACATACATATTCCCCAAATATGAATTTTTAAAATGGGGAAAGCCTATACATCTTTTCAAGAAAGGAAATGAAATAATCTTTTCTTGGTAAGTTTAAATTTTATAGGTATAATATAGCTTAAGAGTAACAACAGGCTATAAGAATAACAGCTCCTATCAAAGGAAAATACATTATTATAATCCACAGTTTAAATTGTCCATGTTGAAAAAGAGTAACAAATATCAAAGAAAGTCTTAAAAGATTTTTAGCTGCTCTCTCATATTCTAACTAAAGCCTCCATATTTCAGATGCTTCGTTCATACTGTGATTTTTAATCATTGATTTATATGTTTTTACTAAGATATAAAATACAGCACAAATGGAGACCTTAAAAAGTTAGAAAAATGCTACCAGCCCAAAATTTTTACAAAAGATTAATTCAAGCTCCTCCCAAATTACAGAAAACATAGAAATTATTAAAAAGTGAAAGAAAACTGAGTTTTAGCTTAGATATTAGTATTGCATCAACACTTACTTCTTGATTTTCATGACTGTACTGTGGTCATACATGAGAGTATCTTTGTTTAAATATATACTAATATATTTAAAGAGCAACATGTCTACAACTTAGTTTTCTGAACTACTCAAAAAAAAAAAAACAAAAAAACAAAAAACAACAAAAAAAAAACATGGCCAGGTACAATGGCTCATGCCTTAAATCTTTTTTTTTTTTTTTTTTTTGAGATGGTCTCCCTCTGTCGCCCAGGCTGGAGTGCAGTGGCGCGATCCTGACTCACTGCAACCTCCGTCTCCTGGGTTCAAGCGATTCTCCTGCCTCAGCCTCCCCAAGTAGCTGGGACTACAGGCATGAGCCACCACGCCCAGCTAATTTTTTTTGTATTTTTAGTAGAGACAAGGTCTCACCATGTTGGCCAGGCTGATCTCAAACTCTTGACCTCAGGTGATCTGCCCGCCTCAGCCTCCCAAAGTGCTGGGATTACATGCATGAACCACTGCACCCAGCCTCATGCTTGAAATCTTAATGCTTTTGGAGGTTGAGGTGAGATGATCAGTTGAGGCCAGGAGTTTGAGATCCGCCTGGGCAACATACAGAGATCCTGTCTATTAAAAAATGTAAAAATTAGCCAGGCATAGTGGTGCACACCTGTGGTCCCAGCAAGGCGGGAGTGGAAAGATTGCTTGAGCTCAGGAGTTTGAGGTTGCAGTGAGCTACAATGTGCTACTGTACTCCATCCGAGGCAGCAGAGTGACAGCCTGTCTCAAAATAAAAAAGAATATATTTACAGAAAGGAAAGGGAAAAGCAAGTGTGGTAAAGTGTTAACATTTGGTGGGTAACCTGGGTGAAAAGTATATGGAATTCTCTGTACTATTCTCACAAAATTTTCTTAAGTCAGAAATTATGTCAAAATAAAAAGTTAAAAGGAAAAGAAAGCTTAACCCTTTGAAGCCTGAGACCAAAATAACTGCATCAAGCCTCTTTAGTTTCTTAGTTTCAAGGTACTGACTCTTAGAGTACTAATAAGATAAAGTGCATCTCAATTATATTGTATATCTCACTTAGTAAGAAAGAAATACTGAAGTGGGTCTACGTTCCAAGACAAGGCTGTCACTTTTAACCCCTTTTCCTCTTGCTGGGGGGAGGGGGCGGGCAGGGGGGTAAAAAAAAGAAGGGTGAGATGGAGTGAACGAGTTGGGAGACACAGAAACTTTAACTTAGCACTTTTAACTTAGCATTTAAAAGTCAAATCTTGAATGGGTCTTTACAAAGTTAAGAAGTCAGTATTCTTGCCATTTTTCTCTTTCCCTTCCAAAAAAAAAGAAAAAAGACTGGATTACATCTGCTGATTCCATATGGTAAAGTTAGCAAATAGTTTTCTTCCCTCTAAGAAGCTGCAGTGAAAAATCTGTAGAAGCTTATGCTAATTCAGTAGGTGTGACTTATTAACAAATTCTGGAATAAAGAAAAAAAATCAAGGTTGGTAAATGTATACAAATTTACATTTACATAGGTAGAATAAGTTCTGGTTCAATTACACAGTAGGGTGACTACAGCTAATGATAACGTATTCTATATTTCAAGATAGCTAGAAAAAAAGGATATGAGTGCTGTAACCACAAAGAAATGATGAATATGCTAACTACTCTGATTTTTATTATTCAATGTTTAAATGTATTAAAATGTCACACTGTGTCCCATAAATATTTATAATTATGTGTCATTTATAAGCAAAAATTTTTTTAAAGAAATCAAAAGGCTACAGATAATGAATTATTCTAACTTGTACAAAGCTACGTAAGGAGAACATCAGAATAATAACATGGACTAGATAAAAATGCTAAGAAATTCATGAATTACCTTTTCATGTAAAATTATATCTTAGTATTAACATGATGAGCTATTTGAATTAAGATCATTAGAAGTTTGTGATCCATAAACAGAAAAAAAAAGAAAGTTTTTATTTTCTTAAACTCTAATTTCACGGCAAGGATTCAGAGCCAACATTTTCACACTGAATTCTGTATTAAAGAGTGAAAAGTTTTCAATTTATAAACCTTCATAAAGGAAGTATAAAAAAGAAACATAATTTATTTCTGAATTCTCTTTCCTGAGACACTTTGCTAAAGACCTTATCCCTGGATCTACTTACATTAGTAGCCTCAAAGACAGTAATATTTACAAAAATGTTTAAAAATTAGAAACAAATCTATAGGTTTAACTAATGGAAGCTAAGTTAAATACACAAAAATTATATTTTAAATGACTATGAAACATTAAGAAATAATGAGTTAAATTACAACAATAATATTCTAGTTAAAATATTAAAAAGGAGGTTTTACGTATAAAGACTTTTAAGAAAAGATGGATGAATATGTGCCAAATAAATAGTCTCTGAGTGGTAGGATTGCAGGTGATTTTTATAGTTTTTCTTTATATTCCTACTTCTTATATTACTTCTTATAATACTTCTTATAATTACTTCTTATAAGTACTTCTTATAATACTTCTTATATTATCTGAATCTTATATTACTTCTTATAAGTACTTCTTATAATACTTCTTATATTATCTGAATAACAAGCATGTGTTATTTTTATGATTATATAAGCAAAATTCATTTTTTTGAAAAAACAGATATGAAATCAAAATTAAAGTGGAATGGGCTGAATAACAGAATACCTATCTAGAGAGTAAGATGTTATTGAGACATGAAAGCCTTAAGTTATGAATTTGGGGTCTCCAGTACTGATTCAGTCAAAGAAGTCCACTTTCATCCATTTCATATACTGAGTTCCTCTCTGTTGTTTAGAAAGAAGAAAAAATACAAACATATATAAAGGAATTATTTGTTGACATAAAATGATGTTTTCTATGATGGTAGTAGGCAAATTATAATATTGTGTGTACTAAGGTCCAATTAAAAAAAAAACATAAGGTCAAGCACGGTGGCTCGTGCCTATAATCTTAACACTCTGAAAAGCTGAGGTGGAAGAATGGCCTGAGGCCAAGAGTTCGAGACCAGCTTGGGCAATACAGAGAAACCCCATCTCTACAAAAAATTTTTAAAAATAAAATATTAGCCAGGTGTGGTGGCACGTGCCTATAGTCCCAGCTACTCAGGAGGCTGAGGTGGGAGGATATCTTGAGGACAGGAGAGTTTGAGGCTACAGTGAGCTATGATTTACACTACTGCACTCCAACCTGGGTTCTAAAAAAAATAAATTTTGTTTAATTTTTTAGTTTATCTGTTTCTAATATTTCTTAAACATACTTTTTTTAATTAAAAAAAAAATTTTAAGAAAAGTTTAAAAGCAAGAACTAAAAAAGACCTTGACTTACATCTTATTTGTAGACCTCAAAAAGATATAGGTCTAGTCACAGTCTATCAGAGGGGGAAAATGGAATACTTCTATTTTAAATTAGAAGCAACATTATCTAACATTTCAAAAGAAATCTTCAGCAGATTAAGTCAGTTTATGATACTATATATAAAATAAGCAATCCACTAGTAAAATAAGCTACTTTATTTCTTTAAAAAAAAAAAAATTAAACCCTAGGCCAGGCATAGTGGCTCACGCCTGTAATCCCAGCACTTTGGGAGGCCAAGGCAGGCAGATTACGACAATGTCAGGAGATTGAGACCATCCTGGCTAACGCAGTAAATCTCCGTCTCTACTAAAAATATAAAAAATTAGCCAGGCATGGTGGCACGTGCCTATACTATAGTCCCAGCTACTCAGGAGACTGAGGCCGAAGAATTGCTTGAACCCGGGAGGCAGAGGTTGCAGTGAGCCGAGATTGCACCGCTGCACTCCAGCCAGGGCGACAGAGCGAGACTCCGTCAAAAAAAAAAAAAAAAAAAAAAAAATTAAACCCTAAAATTCTAATGTCATTTTGTCTATTCTAACATAGTCAATCATGCAAATGTACTTTTATACTCAGCATGCTTGCATTATAGGTAAATGATGTTAGAACTAAACACAACCCCAGCCCAGTATCAAATGTTTTTAAATACAATAAGCAGTTCACTCTATAGTCTTTTAATTCACATGCAATAACAAAAGCTATCATAAAGTTAGAAAAGAAAATTGTGTAACAGGTGAAACCCCCAAAACTTCACTTATTAGCCTCCACAGTAAATGAAATCACTCAAAAAGGTTTTACTGAAAGAAACTCGCACACGTTTCCATTACACCTACCATTTAATATATGAATGTATTTGTCACCAAAGAAACACAAAAGAATGTCTATATTGCTTTTGCCTTTTTCTCACACTATTTTCTCCTTTATATAGTCAAAATGTTAGACAAGCAGGGGTCACTGGCTAGTTCAAATGAGTCCCAAAAATAAGTTTCAAGTCTCTCCAGTTAATAGTCATAGATCTGAAGATATTTTTATGTGGCAACTTTTAAGTTTGCTTCACCAAATGGAAATGAATTGCTACTTTGAGAGAGGTACTATAGCAGATTTACATTTTAATAAGTAAATTGATTAATATACAACATAGTGAAAAATACATCCAGGCACCAAGACACCCAGCAATGACTAAACAAACCCTACTGCCACCACTAACCTCCCACTTCTGGTTTCCTTCACCACAGTAGCCAAAAAATACTACCCAAGAGATTCTTTTTGCTATTGTTGTTGTTAGTAGTTGGATTAAGACCAGAAAGCAGAAACTACAGAAAGGGCTTTCCTATTCACTGTAGGTAAGGATTCCCAAACTAAGAAATGTAACCTGGATATGAGTTGTTTATAGCTATACTCTATGTATCAAAAATGGAGAAATTTATACTTTTCTCCCTTTTGAAAAATCTTTATTTTTTATTCCAATGCCAATATTCCAAACAATTTGGTAAAGTTTTTAAAGCTTAAAAACAATCCTCAAAATCTTTCCTTTACCCTTCTCATATATTTTAAATGATTTTCTACTTGATCAATAACACATCCTAAATTATATACAAACAAATTTCAATTATACAACAGACAAAGTTTAAAGTTAGTTGCCCCCTTTATGAAACAAAAAATTAAGTTACACAAAGAAACAGAATTGAAGAACTTTTTTCTCAATTATTGGTATACAAAAATTATAATAGTCAGAATCTGCACTTACTCTTCACCCCTTTCTTCCCCTTTCGTTCCTTCTTGTACTGTTCCTTCAGTTTACTTATTAGTCCCTGGTCTACATCCCAAACCTCAGCAGTTGGGGAGAGGTCATCTTTATCTACATGCAGCATATTATTAAAAGAAAAAAAATCAGCAGTTGGCAATGCAAGCTGTTGGCAGTAAACTGTTATAGCTTTACATAATCATAATAAAATGTACTAATAGCATATACTCAAAATACTTTAAAGGTGCAGTCTCAGTTCTGGTATTCACAACTCAAACTCTAAATGCCCATGTCATAAGTTTCTAAACATTTAATATCAACAGTTAAATGGTGCTTCATTTTCATGAACCACAAATTTGAAGGTTATCATTCATTCAATAGACTGACATTAGAAATCTAATGTTATAAAAATAGATCACTGCATCTTTATAAAAATGTTAATAAAAAATTATTCAGCCAGCATCATAAAAGCAAATGAATGAAATACATGCGAACTACTCGGAAAAGTGCAAGCTAGAAAGGTAAGTGCTGTTTCATTGATGAAAATATTCATGCACCTTCTGTCATACTGATTCTGCATGCACAGGATTAACTGTACTAATGGAGAGGCATTCTAGTCCAATATAATACATATAGTTCAAAAATACAATGTCTTGAATAATCCATACAAAGCATTCAGAGTCCCACCTCTGCCCCACCCACCCAAATAGTTCAACATCTCATTACCTTCTTCCATTGGTCTACAACTAAGATTAGCAAAAAAAAAAAAAAAAAAAAAAAAACTCAAATTCCACTGAAGAATTTTTTTAGAATTGATTTTTTTTCAGGATAAAACTAGTGATCAGCATGGAGAAGTGAAAACATACATTGCTGTACAACTGCTAAAGCTACATCAGCTATTTTAGCTGAATAATAAATCTGTATTTAACTAAATACTTGTGACTGAGAAAAATTTACTCATAGTCAACTAGAGGAAAAACAGCACTAAAAAGAGGCAGCATAAAAATAATTAAGTCTTTGAGAATTATTTTAAATATTGAGGATTTTTCCTTCCTTTGTGTGGTTTTAAAACAGCTCATAAGGAAGTTTAACACTCTGACTTGTTAAGTTTTTGATAACTCAGTATATTCTGGCTAACAAGTTTTATAAGAGACACCCTAGGCCTCACTGACTTAATCTATAAAGTAGACATAAAAAGCCTTTCTCTTCCTTTATAGATTGCTATATGCACCAAACTTAAGAAATTCTCATATTTGAATGGCACACGGAAATGCAAATATTTACTGCGCCTTGAGTTTTTCCTGCTACAATTGTCATAACTTTTTCCCTGATGGTATGATCACAGGTGGTCGGTCAGTATGTGAAAAGCTAAATCCTAAGTTTGAAATTAATCTGCTAACTTGAATCACTTGAAACTAGGTTACTCATGACTAAAACTTACACCTAAGATTATCTATCTGTCAAATCCACAAATTATAATGCTGTTTGTAATACAGTTGTAAAGAGAAAATTCACTTTACTCAATTCGCATGTATTCAAATCATGAAGTTTCCTGAAAATTATGCTGCATCAGGAATCTTTCTGTAAACTTATTGAATATACCAAGAAAAACGGGATCTCAACAATTAATCATTTGCACTCATCTTAATGAAGTTAATAATTCTTAATTTCAACTACTTAAAGCAAGACAAATTGATACATTATGAGCAAATATTTTTAAACCTCACAGAGACCAAAAAAACCCTTAAGTTGTATGAAGTTTATATAGGAAATTAGATAGAACAGAAAAATTTAATAAGAGCCAAATAGTTTTCTAAAAGACCTGTGTAGAGAGAATAAAACTGTGAATAGCTCTAACTATAGTTGACAAAGAAAGTGGAGTGAAAATGCATAGGGAATAAAAAAAGGATAAGCTTAAGGAAAAAAATATTACTTGCAAGATAATCTCAAATCTAGAAAATAAAAGTAAATTTAGGCAGTGCAAAGAACAGGTTGGTGAATGCATATGTGCACAAACAACATCCTGAAACTTGCCTGGTAAGTAACAGCTGTTTGATATTGCTTATAAGAAATAGGTAAGAGCAAAAGGGAAGAGACAGCAAAATCTTCTACATATTAATCCTTTTTTT
This sequence comes from Homo sapiens, assembly GCF_000001405.40. Lineage (NCBI taxonomy): Eukaryota > Metazoa > Chordata > Mammalia > Primates > Hominidae > Homo > Homo sapiens. The sequence goes on from NC_000014.9 coordinate 30,931,327, forward strand.
AAAAAATCTAGGGGGAAAAAATACCAAGAAATGACGTTGAATCATTTACAGTAACTTTTTTGTCTAAAAGAAAACACAAATATGCGTAAGAAAGTTGACTCCTGACAGCTCAAACCCACAAAAACACGAAATTCTATTACGGCAATTCTGATTACCAAAGCAGATGAATTATACAAATCTATTAACTGTAGCATAAATTTGTAACTAACTTTATGCAAATACTCATACTTTATCAATTATACTTAAGTACAAACATTCAGGTGCTAATTGTATTTTGTAGTTCTATAAATCTCTACAGATCAAAGATAGGAGACAATAAATGAACATTCTTAAAATGCCTAGTCTCCATGAAAGAAAAAGCAAAATAGAAATGCCAACTATTGCTTTTGACAATGAGAAGAACTAAAAATAACTAATATTAAACTCAGACTATCTAACACAGATGACAGTGAAAACAGCGTTAGAAAGCTTGCCAAAAGGCAGTGGTTTCATAAGATAAAAAAATTTAAAGTCAGAGATACAAAGTTAATTGTTGATTGCTAATAGACAAAATAAAAACCAGATTCTCTAATGTGAGTAAGGACTAGAGTATGTTTCATTAAGACAAGACTTACTTTTTAAAAAAATCAGTGCTCTTTTACTCAATAATTTAAATCTGGGCTGGGCATCATGGCTCACACCTGTAATCCCAGCACTTTGGGAGGCCGTGGCGGGTGGATCACCTGAGGTCAGCAGTTCAAGACCAGCCTGGCCAACATGGTGAAAACCTGTCTCTATTAAAAATACAAAAACTGGCCGGGCGTGGTGGCATGCGCCTGTAATCCCAGCTACTCTGGAGTCTGAGGCAGGAGAATCGCTTGAATCCGGGAGGTGGAGGTTGCAGTGAGCTGAGATGGTTCCATTGCACTCCAGCCTGGGTAACAGAGTGAGACTCCGTCTCAAAAAAAAGAAAAAAAAAATCTGAAAGCTACCACTTTCCTATTTATAAATATATTCAAATTTCTGGCAAATGAATTCCATAAATATAAAGAGTGTTTGCATATTCATCCTCTTTGCTTTGGAAAAAATGACTATAACATCTTGTTGAGTAGAAATGATGAACTTTGGAAATACTGCATAAATCACTTGACAGTTTTCATTTCTTACAAAAATAAACTATTTGAACGATCTTGTACTTAAATGAGTTATTTTCCTTCACTAAGAACTTAAAATGTTTTAAAGATAATATTTCCGTCTCGTCTGGAAGTAAGGGACCTTTTCGATTACTTCCACTTACACAGGAGACACAGGTACTGTCAAATATTGATAGTAAAAAGCTAAATATTGAGAGTTGTCTTAAAACTCTGCTCTACCATCAAAAGTCTTCAGACAGAAAGACCAATCGGTTGTACATAATATAGAAACTATTATCAAAGAAATAATGCCATTCCATATAAATTAAATTCCTGAGTTTTTTCTTTATCCTTATGATTAAATTTCTAGCAACTTTAGGCTAAGGAAACAGGAATGAATATGTGTCAAGATTTAGCTAAAAAGATATTTGATAAGTTATTTCGATCATTTTCTTTTTAATGAAAATAAGCTAAATGTGCATCATAGAGCTCTGGTTAAATAAAATTATGGCACATTATTGACAGAATGTTATCCAGCTATTAAAAATGATGCTGACTGGGCATGGTGGCTCATGCCTGTAATCCCAGCACTTTGGGAGGCCAAGGCAGGCAGACTGCTTGAGTCCACGAGTTCAAGACTAGCCTGAGCAACATGGCCAAACTCCGTCTCTACAAAAAAAAAAAATGCAAAAATTAGCCAGGTGTGGTCACACGCCTGTGGTCTCAGTTATTCAGGAGACTGAGGTGGGAAGACCCCTTGAGCCTGGGAGGTGAAGGTCACAGACAGCCAAGATTGCACCACGGCACCCCAGCCTGGGCAATAAAGCGAGACCCTGTTTCATAAAAAAAAAAAAAAAAAAAAAAAAACGATGCAGAAGAACCATGTATTAAGTGAAAAGTGTGCATTACAAATCAACATTTAGCAAAATCCTGTTAACTAAATAAGTAAATATATATACATATACTTATAAAATATTCATCTTCACATGTATTTGTAGGTTCTAAGTTTTTTAAAACATATTTGTATTACAAAATAATTATATAATTATAAAACAATCAGGAAAAAACAATACTTTTGAAGTTACTGGAAAAAGATAAGGTATTTCCAACATTGAATGTCTGCACAGAGAAGCTAAAAGAAAAGTTAAATATTTTTGCTGTTTCTCCTGAGCAATGCTGATTTTGAAGAAAGGTACCCTTCTAAACCACAATCATTTTCAAATAGTAAGTACAAAAATGTAGTCTAGAAAGTAATTGTGGAGTTTTCTCATGTTTGAATTAATGTGTCTCTTCTATTTCCACTTAGAAGAAGAAAGAAGTGAAGGTCTGAAAATAATGCTTGAGAATTATAATAAGAAAATTGGTGGCAAAATTCAAATCTTTTAAGTACTTGATTCATTTTTTATATCAAGATAGTCAATAAATGTATTACATATTAGGTTTTTTCTCTCTTGCTATTAGCAATACTTAGTTTAAACACATAAATGAGGCATCTTTTAAAATCCAAGTGTTTGCTATCAAAGTTGTTTTTTAAAAAAAATCTAGTGATTATTCCTCTAGCTTGTAATTAAGCAAAACTTTGATGTATTAAAATAACCTTCTCCAGGCCAGGCGCGGTGGTTCATGCCTGTAATCCCAGTACTTTGGGAGGCCAAGGCGGGCGGATCGCGATGTCAAGAGATCGAGACCATCCTGGCCAACAAGGTAAAACCCCGCCTCTACTAAAAATACAAAGAGTAGCTGGGTGTGGTGGTGCACGCCTGTAATCCCAGCTACTTGGGTGGCCAAGGTAGGAGAATCACTTGAACGTGGGAGACGGAGGTTGCAGTGAGCCAAGATTGCACCACTGCATTGCAGCCTGGCGACAGAGCGAGACTCTGTCTCAAAAAATAATAATAATAACAATAATAATAACAACCTTCTCCAATATAGCTCAGTAAACACACTTTGTTCTACCTACCACACAACATGCTGATATTAAATGAGGATTGCATGAATGTATTTACTAGGAAAAACATAAATGACGTCAGCTATTACCTTAAAATATTTTTACACTTATTTTACTTCCTAATGGGGTTTTTAACCATGTACAGATAGAGAATGGTTTTCTCTTAGTTATGGCTGAATTATTATTAGCACAATGTACCACTTCCAAAGTTTAGGCCCTAACATTTTGCACACTGAATATTATAGGCAATAAAGTTTAGTATCTTCATTAAATTGTGCTCAATATAGAGCTATAATTCAGGATGAGTAGCTTTATTCTTTCTAATTACTTTCTAATTACTAATTTCTAATTACTGACTAATTACTAATTCTAGTAATTAGTCAGATAACACTATATGGACATACAGAGAGTTAAATCTTCCTAAATCTAGAATACCAAATTAAACAACGGGAATGTTTAAAACTGAATACATAAATTTTTAAAAATTGACTAAAGGGAAAGAAATTGGATTTCCAAATCAATTAAATGTTTCAACTTTAAATCCAGACAAATTCCAAAAATCAAAATCCACCAAAAGCCATATATATTAAATAGTTTAGTCACCAAATTTAAGTAAATTGGTACAAAATACCTTGATATTATTCAAAACCACTTCCCCTTGCTCTCCGTTTAACTGCCACCATATATTTATACACACATTCCACATATAATATTTAATAATAACCCATCATTAAGGGCTAGATTTCCTCCCACCCGGTATTTCTTTATCACCTTACCCCATTCTGTGCCATCCCCCGAACTCCGTGCTTCTCCAGCTCCTTCACCATCTTCAGCAGTCACTAAAAAATCAAATTCTTTCAGTGCTTCCTCAGTATCAGGATCGTCAGTTAGGTCAGCAGCTAAACCTTCATTACCTATCTGTAAATAGAATATAAACCAAGAATTACTTTTATCCTAAATGGAAAAGGGATGCTTTAATATTGTCACATAACTACATTTACACACCCATTTTAAAATTACTTGGATCAAAAATTTTAGATCTCCTATGTAATTCACAAATCCCAAATTATACTTCAGATAAATGGTTCAACAGTGCTGTGCCAAGATTGATCTAAGTAATGTGGCACTAAAAATGGTTTAAATGCTAATCATCAAGAACAGTTAACTTCTTAAATTACAGTACATTCACAGTTAGTCCTCCATTAAAGAACCAGTCACTTATTTGCATTCTGATGTTATCTTGAATTGACCTCATAAATGGGAACTGCATGATTCGTCCTTCACTCATAGAGATATGGCATAGTAACTAATTTAAATTCATAGCTGTGATAATTATAATAGTGCTTTACCTTCCAGAACAAAAAAATTAAAAGGATCAAAATCTCTATTCACCCAAATAGACTACGTTATACATATAGAATGTGTCAAAAAAGACTGAAAACTGATTTTGTAGACCAGAGACTTTTGTGGAACACTGTCATTTTTTTCTTATGTTACCGTAAAATCTCAAATACCAACAACTAAACCTACCCACTTTTTTCTATGGTTGAAATGCTGTACACTACTTTGGTAATCCACGAATGGACGATCAACTCTACTTTGGCTTCTACAGCAAGCCCCTCAAACCACTCAAATAGATAAACCTGTTTCTTAGGTTATGAGCAAAAGTAAATTTTTATTATTCTTTACTAAAATACAAGAATGTTGAGACTTATTTATAATTCACAGATTACTCCCTCACCCAGGGTGGAAGTATTCCCATTGCAACTTCAGTTAATTTATCACTGGTGTGCTGTACATGAAGAGACAGACTTCAGCAGTGATTCTCAACTGTAGCAGAAGTGGAAAGGGCATTGCTTTAAAAAGGTTTCAAAATCAATGGACTAGTCCTATAAATACAGACCTTTTCTTGCCCATTTAGTGAATAATATAGCAAACAATTCCTACTCTATGTGTGTAATGCAAAAAGAGCTGACCACATAAAACTTTTAACCAATATGTAAAGTAAAGATGATCAATCACTCCCAATGTAACTTAAGATATCTTAAAAATTCCCATTCCAACTACATGAATATATAGCTAATAAGAATATAAAATGTAATTCCTACTTTATGTTTATTCATCCGATGTTTGTCTTTTCCTTCTGGGATGCCTTCGATCATGTCATTTTCCTCATCTTCATCACTGTCATCGGCATTTTCTAAGAAATTGAACGTCTCAAGAACATCACCAGAGGACCTGTGCGAAGGAAAAAAAGATAAATCCAACTATTCCAATGGTTGGTTCTAATATTTCTTTCTGGTTCCCATTTTAAATCAATTCTTAAAACTAGAGAGATTCGAATGACTACCTACTGTCTGAGGGCTTTATTCAAGAAAAGAAGTTTGAAAGATTTATGTTCTACAACTGAAATAAAAGTAATTATTCTCTGCTGACTTTCTCCAAAGTTCATTGTCCAAAATATTTTAGGTAATTACTGCAACAAAATAAAATCCTATAGTATTAGACACTCAAACACATATTATTAGTTCTCAAAATAAAACCATCATAAACAAGCAACTGAAACTTGGCCTTTCTTATAACTACAACCTCTTACAGTTTGGTCTAAATGTTTGAGGACTAAAACAGTAAATACCAAAGTTTATCAGGCGGGGCCAGGGACAGTGCTTCATGCCTGTAATCCCAGCACTTTGGGAGGTGAAGAGGGGAAGATCGCTTGAGCCTAGAGTTCAACACCATCCTGGGCAACACAGTGAAACCCATCTTCAAAAAAAAAAATTACCTGGGTATGGTGGTGTGTGCCTATAGTCTCAGCTACTCAGGAGGCTGAGATAGGAGGATTATTTGAACCCAGGAGGTTGAGGCTGCAGTGAGCTATGACTATATACTGCATTCCAGCCTGGGTGACAGAGCAAGACCCAGTCTCAAAATGAAAACAAAAAAACTTAAAAATAATTTATCAAGCAGCCCAGATTTATAGTAAATCAGATATAAAACAACCCAATCCATTTCACAGACTGTCTTAGCTAGAAAAAATAACTCAAAATCTATTAAATAAATACTTTTAAGTCTTGCAGAATCACTTATTTAACAGGTAATAGGGACAATATATATATTTTATCCACTTAACTAAATCTTTTAACTAATTTGAGTTTCTCTATGCACACACAAAAAAAGGTTTTCATACAGTTGTTTAAGTGTCTAACAATAAAGGCAGCAACAAAACAGTAGAAAATTCAGCTGAACAAAGACTTTCACCATGAAAATTCTCTGCTCTGCCACTAAGCAGCTGCTTGAATTTGGCCAAACCATTTAAATCTTTTGGCCTCAATTTCTTTACCTGTAAATTGTGGGGGCTGAATTAGATTATCTCAAATGTTTTTAAATGTCTTTACTAAGAGTACATGGTAACAAAAAGAAAAATAATATAAAACTCAGGGAGGGTTTTTGCCCCCCTCTCTGACTGGTTCCCTCCATTAGTCCAAATTAAGCATGTAATACAATTCAGATTATAGTCGTCCCTTGGTTTCCATGAGGCAGTGGTTCTAGCATACATACCTCCCTATCATGCTGAAGTCCCTACGCACATTCTCCCTGTAGTATACTTTAAATCATCTCTAGATTATTTATAATACCTAATACACTGTAAATACTACGTAAATAGGTGTCACACTGTATTTTTAAATTTGTATTATTTTATTTTTTAATTGTCGTTTTTTTTTTCAATGTGGTATTTTCAATCCATAGATGTAGAACCTACAGATAGAAAGGGTTGACTATATTTTTTAAATAGCATTAACAAAGAGTTTTAATAGGTTGTACTATATCCCACCCAATCCAGCACACTGTTTAAAGGAACTGTATAATGACTGAATGTAGGAGATGGTTTCTTCAAATGCAAATTAGTAAAAACAACCACAAATCTACCACAACAAAATATACTTTCAGCTCAAAATTTACAATATAACTTAATATTTGGAGAGTAAGTGAAAGGCAATGAATGCATTTGACAAAAGTAGCATATCAATGATACAATAATTTAAAAGAATTTTTTTTAAAGATATATTTGTTTTGAACTTTGAAAAATTAAGTACTGCTGCTCCTTGGATAGAAATTTCTGTCTCTAAAGTAAGAGTACCTCCTGTTTCCAGGTTTTAAAACTGTATTTAATCACAGCAATACATGTGCATGGCTTTAAAAGTCAAATGGAACACAATGCATAAAAGAAAGAATTGGTCAATCAGATTTCACCAAAATTAACATTCGCTCTTTGAAAGACACCAAGAGAATGTAAAGAAAAGCCTATAAATTGTGAAAAAATATTTGCAAGTTATATTTCATGAAAAACTTGTGTCAAGGGGTATATAAAGAACACTTAAACCTTAACAGTAACAAAACAATAAAAAATGGGGAAATATTTCAAATAGACATTGCATCATAACGATAGGTGGAATGCAAATAAGCATATGAACAGATGCTCAACATCATTAGTCTTTAGGGAAATAAAAATTAAAGGATCATAGACTATGAAAGGTCTCAGGTTTTTCCCTGCCTTCATGCTAACAACCTAGCCTATTACTGTTTCATGGATCCTGAAATAAGTCATAAAATTGAGTCAGAGACAAGAATTCTCCTCAGGAGCACAGAAAGTAATAGGATCATGTTTGCTGAATTTCCTTTGCCCAAGTCCCACAAGGGTGGCAAGGAGGTAATCAGGTAGATGTTACACTTACATTTCATTTGAATTATAGCGGAGGAACTCTGAGCTTAGGGAACTTGAATCATTTATACTGAACAGTAAGCATGACTTCCCAGAAGACTGTCTCTATCTTACAAGGTTGTTTGTTATATAAATATCCTTAAATAGATAGTCCAGAATAAAAGGGCAATATGTGTCTCTGCTCACAGGATGTTTAGAAACAGATCAGTGGAGAATTGTCTCTAAAAAACAAAACAAAAATGAGGTAGGGTCACAAACTTATAAGAATGACTAAAATTAAGGAACGCAGTCTGGAGTGGAGTTGATGAAGAGTAGAAAAAGATTAGAAGAGTTGCTGAGCTGAAGAATGAAATAAGGAATCAGCCAGTGAAGAAAAAGAAAAGGTTTGTCAGGCAACTTTTAGAGCTCTACTGAAGTTAGCTAAGAATAATTTGGGGATCATGAGTATCGTCAATCTTTTGCTGTTGCTGCTGTTGCTGCAGTTGCTAAAATGAAGTTCTGCTTGCTAGGAAATACTTAGGAGAAAAAAAGCCAAATAGTTCTAAATAAATTGACAAGGCATACAATGAGTAACAAGAGAGTCCCCTGCCCCATCCTTCTCTATCTTTGATTCCTACACACTAGGAACAACCATTTTTAAACTTATTTTTAAAGAAGCTTCCCTTTGTTATTTACCCTATTTTTTCTAAATAACATGCTCAGATTGCTATTTCTTGATAAAAATGTAGTTCCCTTACAGTCTCCATCCCACATCCACACTTCCTCCCATAACAGTAATATAGTTACATCAGTTTACTTTTGGCTTTATTAATATTCCATGGTTACACTGTAAGTACATATTAGTATGTCCATGTAAATCACATTACAATGACTCTACTTCCTTTCTTTTATATATAGTTTTCCTGAAATAACTGCCTAGTGTGTTTTTTTTTTAATTGCCTGGTTTTCCAAGGATGTTACCACTATTCTCCTCTGAAATTTTCCAGCAGAACTGTACATCTCCTTTCAAAATCCTCAAACACATAAAGCAATGTATTAATTTCATATTTTCTAAGAAACGTTCCTTCCAGTGTTCTGTCCTCCTTCCATTCTACTCTGGCTAATGTCCAGGCCCACTGCACAACTGTTTCCTGAAATTTCCTTTGCCTCTCTTTATTAGATATCTTTTTTCTTGGATCCTACACTTTCTTCCTTCTTGACTTAGTCTCTCAGAATTCTGAGAAACATCTCCAATAGCTTCCTGAGAAAAAATGAAGGGTAAATTTGAGGCTTTCATATCTAAATGTCTCTTTTTGCTATTAATACTTTCACAAACAATACAGTACTTGGCTCAGTATACAAATCTAAATGGAACTCACTTTCCCTCAGAATCTTTAAGGCACTGCTCTCCTATATTCCAGCTTTGAATGTTAATTTAATAATGCCTGATTCCTAGTCTTTTCAATGTAGTCTAATTTTTCTATCTGGAAGATTTTAGAATTTCCTCTTAATTTTTAGTGTTCATGATTATGGCCGCTGTATGGATCTTTTTTCATTGATTTTATGGAGTAACTGGAAAGAATCCTTTCAATCTGGAAACAAACATCCCTGGAAATACATTCTGAAAATATATTCCAGAGAGTTTTCTTGTATTACTGTTTTAATCAAGTTTTCAACACTTGATTTGTTTTCTCTTTTTGAAACTCCTAGTCCGACATTGACCCTCTCAACTTGATCTTTGAATTTTCCTATCTTTTTGGTCCTAACTGGTGTACTGTCTACATGGGTGCCATGGTCTGAATGTTTATGTCCCTCAGCAAAATTCCTATTTTGAAACCTAATCCCCAATATGATGGTATTAAGAGGTGGGCCTTTGGTAAGTGGCTAGGTCATGGGGACAGAGTCCTCATGAATAGGATTAGTACCCTTATAAAAGAGGCCCAAAGGAGCCTGCCTTTTCCACCATGCGAAAACCCAGTGGGAAGTCGGCAGTCCGCAACCCAGAAAAGGGTCTTCACCAGAACCCAACCATGCTGACACATTGATCTTAGACTTCCCAACCTCCTGAGCTGTGAGAAATAAATTTCTATTGTTTATAAGCTACTCAGTCTACGGTATTTTGTTACAGCAGCCCAGAAGGACTAAGAATATGGCTATCTCTTGTCAAGCTGCTGACTTAACTTCTGCATGATAGGACACAGGCCCAGCCATTTCACTGACATATCCCAATTTTCAGTACCATTAGGCCTTTCCTATTAATGTGATTCAACTTCAATATCTTGCTTGTAAGGGATAAAAGCTGCCAACATACTGGAAGTCACACAGTAGGAGAAAACAGGAGACCTCAATGCTCAGCTGGAGACTTTCATACAACCCTGCTGTTTTCATTTTATACAATAACCCCATCTTTCAGTTGTTTTATTTCTTGAGAAAACAAAAATCACTGGTGGAAAATACACTACCATTCTTTGGAGTAGGGGAGGGGTGGTGTTAAACCAGCTTCACAAGATGAAAGAGAGGATTCAACATTGTGCTTCTTAAACTTTTTTTTTCCCCCCAAGATGGAGTTTCCCTTTGTCACCCAGGCTGGAGTACAGTGGCATGATCTCGGCTCACTGCAACCTCTGCCTACCAGGTTCAAGCGATTCTCATGCCTCAGCCTCCCTAGTAGCTGGGATTACAGGCGCCTGCCACCATGCCCAGCTAATTTTTGTACTTTTAGTAGAGATGGAGTTTCACCACGTTGGCTGGTCTGGTCTCAAACTCCTGATCTCAAGTGTTCTGCCCACCTCAGCCTCCCAAAGTGCTGGGATTACAGGCGTGAGCCACCATGCCCAGCCTGTGCTTCTTAAATAAACTTTAAACCAATTCTCTATTCATACCCCTATTTAAACCTCACTGAATACCTATAATTCCTTAGCCTTTGTGGCTTTACTGGAATTCTGTGACTTGAATTGGCTTATTCCTTTTCTTCATCCTATCACTCTCAAATGCACTTATGTTTAATAAGCTTTCCCAGGGTCACTCAGTCAGTTGCCATTCCTCCATTTTCTTTCTGGATTCCAAATCGTTAAATTCTCCCTATCTCACAGACAGTATACTCTCTCATTCTTTCTGTATGTCATTGTTTTTTTTGTTGTTGTTCTTTTGTGTTAATGCATCTTAAGCCCTTCACTGTCCTTTAGCAAAATTTCTGAAAGGCACACAAGTAATATGTGACTTTAACCTACCATATTTAAAATGGAAGTCTCCATCTGTGGATAATTTTTCTCTTTGCCAACTATTTATTTACTACCCTCTCTCATTCTAAAGAGACAACAGAATCTTAAAAATGAATAAATCCAGATGAAAGGGAAAACAAAATGAAGCCAAAGGTAAGGCTGCTAAGTAAAAGACTAAATGTGTCAATGCATTTTCTAGAGGAGGCCCACAAATTTGGCCCTGAGATTCCAAACACGGTTAAAAAAAGAGGTGGGCGGGGAGCAACAACTGGAGGTTCAAAGGTAAATAAGACCAATTATTAAGAAACAGCACAACTTTTCCCAGTTATAAGATCTAAGAGAACTTTCCCAATGAGTCCTTATAAAGTAGATGCTTTGTGATATGATGCACTATACAACCACAACCATACCCTACCATAAATCAAGAAATACAATAGTGCCACTCACTCGATAGCATCTAATAAACACTAGTCTTGGTGGGGGTCACATTTCAACTAGATACACAATATTTCCTAATAGCTAACAATTATATAACACTTACTGTGTGTCAGGCATTGTTCTAAATGCTTTACATTAATTCATTCCTTCCTCACATCAATCCTATGATCCTCATTTTACAAATAAGGAAAGTAATGTTCCTTGTCCAAAGTGATGGCTAGTAACTAGTGGTTAAGTTAGGATTCAAATCCAGTCTGTCTTCAGAATTCATATTCTTAACCATTAGGCATACTGCCTCTAAAATATGAATCTGAAATTTACCATCCTCTACTTTTGGACATTAAGACTGCTTCTAATTTTTTCCTATTATAAATAAGAATGTAATAAACATCATTTTGCTGAAATCTTGATCCACATGTTATATCATTTTCTTATTCCTAGGGGTTTTCAAATGGCCCTAATAATGGCTCAACCATAACATGCCTACATTAGGGCAGAATCAGAAAATGTTATTGTATGCATTAAGAAGAAAGCCTCGATTAAAACAACTATTTCCGGCCAGGCGCAGTGGCTCATGCCTATAATCTTAGCACTTTAGGAGGCTGAGGCAGGAAGTTGCTTGGGGCAGGAGGGTTACTTGAGTCCAGGAGTTCAAGATCAGCCTGGGGAACATAATGAGGTCCTGTCTCTACAAAAACTTAAAGAATCAGCCAGGTGTGGTGGCATGTGGCTGTAGTCCCAGCTACTCTGGAGGCTGAAGTGGGAGGATTGCTTGAGCCTGGGAAGTTATGGCTACAGTGAGCTGTGATTGTGCCACTGCACTCCAGCCTGGGCAACAGGGCAAGACACCATTCAAAACAACACTAAACAAATAAACAACTATTACCTACATGTCCATCAACAGGTAAAGAAATAAAGAAAATGCAGTATATGCATACATTGGAATATCGTTGGTTATGAAAAGAAGGAAATCCTGTCATAAATGACAACAAGAATGAACCATGAAGACATTACGCTAAGTAAAATAAGCTAACCACAGAAGGACAAATATTGCATGAGTCCAATCATGAGGTACTTAAAGTAGTCAAACCCAGAAACACAAAGTAGAATAGTGGTTGCCAGGGGCCGGAGGGAGGAGGAAATGGGGAGCTGCTGTTCGAAAGTTATTGTTTCCAGTCATACCAGATGAAAAAGTTCCAGAGAGTTGGAACTTTGTGCTTCTGTTAACAATACTGCACACTTTAAAGTTTGTTGAGAGGGCAGATCCCATGTTGTATTTAACATACACGCATGCACACACACTCCAAAAAACTATCAAAATCTTAATTTTGCAAAGGCAAGAAGCTTTACAAGGAGAAGATACAGCTTATCGAGGATCTTTGTAAGATGATACTAAGAGTGAGGGGGAAAAAAACGAAAGGATCTTTGATTCAGATTCAGAGTCAGACGTGGTATGGCAAACCTGTATTGCTGTAAAATATTTACAAATTCTATGAACTACGTGGGTGACCAGTTTGGCTAAAAATATTTGATAATATTTCCGCTTTTTCTCTTATGCTACAAAACACTCTATGCTTCCTGAAATCACAGTATAGAAAATAAGGGCTCTATCTGATGTCAAACTGACTTTAATAGTCATTTCTCAGAAATGAAAACTCGAAATCAAAGGCTTATGTTAACTTTAAACCTTACAGAAAAAAATACACATACACACATATGTATATGTGTATATATACATAATATATACACATATATATACATGTATATATACATAATATATACACATATATATACATGTATATATACACGTATATATATATATATATACACACACAGACACACGCACATACATATATATATACACATATATATACACATTTTTTTTTTTTTTTGAGATGGAGTCTCGCTGTGTCACCCAGGCCGGAATGCAATGGCATGATCTCAGCTCACTGCAACCTTTGCCTCCTGGTTCAAGCGATCCTCCCACCTCAGCCTCCCAAGTAGCTGGGATTACAAGCGTGCACCCAGCTAATTTTTATATTTTTAGTAGAGATGGGGTTTCACCATGTTGGTCAACAGGCTGGTCTTGAATTCCTGATCTCAAGTGATTCACTCGCCTCAGCTTTCCAAAGTGCTGGGATTACAGACATGAGCTACTGTGCCCAGTCGACCAGAATATATTTTAGATAACTGCACAATATCATAAAATACATCTAGGGTATAAAATAATGTTTATAAACTATATACATTATTTATTTATTAAGCTCTAAATGACCTCAATGAACTCATCTGGTTTTTTCCCCATTTTCTTTGTCTTTCTAACCTATGTTACTCAGGGTAACGTCTCATGGTAAAAATGCTTAACTCCTTGTATTTATCAATTCCGTATTCATCAAAAGTATATCTGTTAGACAATAACAAGTGTTGATGAGGATGTGGAGAAATCAGAATCCTTTTAGTACTGCTGGTGGGGAGGTAAAACAGTGCAGCTACCTTGGAAAAGAGTTTGGCAGGTCCTCAATCTTCTTCATTAGTCCAAAACTTGGAACCAACCCACATACCCATCACCTATATAAGAAACACACAATGAAGGCCGGGTGTGATGGCTGATGCCTGTAATCCCAGCACTTTGGAAGGCCAATGAGGGCGGACTGCTTGAGCCCAGGAGTTCAAGACCTGGGCAACATAGCAAAATCCTGTCTCTACAAAAATTAGTCAGGCATGGTGTTGTGAACCTGTGGTCCCAGCTACTCGGGAGGCTGAGGTGGGAGGATAACCTGAGCCTAGGGAGGTCAAGGCTTCAGTGAGCCGTGATCATGCCACTGTACTCCAGCCTGGGAAATGGAGTAAGACCCTGTCTCAAAAATAATAATAATAAAATAAAAAAGAAACACATAAACCAAACGTAGTATATCCACAATGGAGTATTATTCAGAAATAAAAAGGAATGAAGTGCTGATGCATGCTATAACACGGATAAACCTTGAAAATATGCTAAGTGAAAGAAGCCACTTACAGAAGACTGCTTATATGAAATATCCAGAATATACAAATCTACAGAGACAGAGAGTAGATTAGTGGTAGCCCAGGGTTGGGAGATAGGGAGAAATGGAGAGCGGCCACCTAATGGGTATGGGGTTTCTTTTAGGGGTGATGAAAATGTTCTAAACTTAGATTGCGGTGATAGCTGAACAATTCTTTAAGTATTCTAAAAACTATTAAATCGTATTTTTTTAATGGGTAAATTTTATGATATGTAAATTCTATTTCAATAAACATTTTTATCTGGTAGCTTTCTGAATCCAAACACAATGCAAAGCTTTGTTTCTTTCACGCTAGGGTCTAAATAACCATTGCTCATTCTAGTGAGAGTAGCATTATAATTTGTTGAAAATACTCTAGCAAAAAATTTTAAAATAAGGATGTTAAAATAGCTCTGAACTACATGAAATCAGTCTCAAATCTGATTCTGCACCTATTTCGAACTAGTCATTCTGTTGTTATCAAAACTTAACAGGTTGGGTACGGTGGCTCATGCCTGTAATCCCAGCACTTTTGGAGGCTGAGGCGGGCAGGCTGTTTAAGGCCAGGAGTTTGAGACCAGCCTGGGCAACAGAGCAAGAACCCATCTCCACAAAAAATAAAAAAAATTAGCTGGGCATAGTGGCGCATGCCTGGAATCTGAGCAACTCAGGAGGCTGAGGTGGGAGGATCACTTGAGCATGGAAGTCAGAGGCTGCCATGAGCCGACAGCACACCAGTGCACTCCAGCCTGGGCAATGAAGCCAGACCCTGACTCAAAAAACAAACACCAACTTAACATAGATAAATTTTGAAAGCCATTAAACAGAAAATTTAGAAAATTTATTTGCTCATGGTACCATGGAGTGGGGTGGGAGGTGGCTAGGTCTTTAACTCTGAACTCGATCTGCTTTAAAAATTGTTAATAGCAGTTGGGCACGCTGGCTCACGCCTGTAATCCCAGCACTTTGGGAGGCCAAGGCAGGTGGATCACCTGAGGTCAGGAGTTCGCAACCAGCCTGGCCAACGTGGTGAAACCCCGTGTCTACTAAAAATACAAAAAATTAGCCAGGAGTGGTGGTGGGTGCCTGTAATCCCAGCTACTTGGGAGGCTGAGGCAGGAGAATTGCTTGAGCCTGGGAGGCGGAGGTTGCAGTGAGCCGAGATCGTACCATTGCACTCCAGCTTGGGCGACAAGAGCAAGACTCCGTGTCAAAAAAAAAAAAAAAAAAGTTCTTAATGGCAGTAACAAGGAGCTAAAGAGATTAACAATAACAATATCCATAATATCCATTATATAAACTATGTTAAGTATAAATCATACCTTTTTATTTCTTGTCCCTTTTGCTTAGGAGATTCACCTCCATTCAGGATCTGTTCTAAATTCTTTGTTTCTACTGATCCATTTGGTTCTGAATTAGATAGTCCAAGTAATGACCTTACCCGCTGAGACCGTACATCTAATATTGTATCTGTATAACCTACTTCCTGAAGATACCTGTAAGAGAAAATAAATATTAAAATCCACATACTGTTAACATGTGCCAGACTCAAAATCACATCAAATTTTAGAAAAACCCATAATCCTATAAAATATGCTCTCCCTTTGTCTCAGTATCTTTCTTCTCTACAGACTAGTTCCAGTTCTAAGAGAACAATACCAAATACAAACCAAAATTTAAATTAAAAAGCATATAGTATGGTTAACACTGATTAAGAGCCAATTATCTCAAAACCCAAGAAGCCCTAGTGTCTTAAAATGCTTTTAGGATTATATACACACACACACACATTTTTAAATTTCCATACACACAACCACACATTGTTTTTAATTTACACACACACACACAAACACAACACACACACATTTTTTAATTTCCAAGGAGCAGTAAAGAATGAGTAGAACTGCATCTTAGCACACAGACATACTAAGTTTAAACCTGGGGTTGTTAACTAGAGATTGATGAACACACTAATTCTCCTTCTAGGATCTAAGATCTCATAGCACTCCTCCAGTCCTGTGATTTTCAATCTTTCACCATATCTAAACTAAGGAACTTAACCTAGGATCTAAGATGAGACTGGAAAAGAAGAAAGGGACTAGATTATGATACAAAGATAATGAGTTGTGAATGGTTCTGTGACAAATTAAAGTATTTAAGAGGCTAATGAAGGATGCTTAAAAGATGCCTTAAATACTGCTGGCAGAAGAACAAAAGATTTTTAGGTGAATGCTAAAGAGAAAAAGACTAGATCAGGACACTAGCAAGAAGTAAAAATGGAGGAGAATAAATGTGAAAAAAAATAAGCAAGATACAATCTCTTTGACATGATGCACAAATGTATGTGGAAGTAGAATGAATAAACAAGTAAGAACTCTACACAATTTTCAGGTTTCTAGCTTGGATGGTTACATGATGGGTACATTCAAAAAAATTATACAGAGTCAGAATCAAGTTTATACAGTACCTATCAGACAACCATATAGTGTCTATAAAAAAATACAAGTGACAATGTTTATTAGGCACATAGATGATACAAATCAAAAGCTCAGAAGAGACTGGCCTGGGTATACAGATGTGGGTCATTAATCTTTGGTAATATTTGAAGCCATGGATTTAAATGAAGTCACTCAGAGAATAAGCATAAATAAGGAGAGAAAGTCTGGGTATACAAA
This sequence comes from Homo sapiens, assembly GCF_000001405.40. NCBI lineage: Eukaryota > Metazoa > Chordata > Mammalia > Primates > Hominidae > Homo > Homo sapiens. The sequence goes on from NC_000014.9 coordinate 30,948,443, forward strand.
CAACCAAAGGACTAGAATCATAATAAAAACTCAAAGGAAAATGAAAATATTTGAGAAATTAGAGGAAAAAAATGATAGCAGAGAGTGCTGTCATGGAAGCAAAAATAAAAGTTTCAAGAAGGAATAGTTAATGTCAAATTTTTCCAAGACACCAATTATAACAAAAAAGGTCTCTTGAATACGTTTGTGATAGTTGCTTCAGAGGAATGTCAAAATGGAAAACAGACAGCTGACAAATGAACAAGAAGGAAGACTATGGAGATAAACTACCTTTAACAAGTTTAGCTATAAAGTTACAGGGAAAGATAAAGGTGGCAAGAGACTAAATTGTAAATCAGGCAATGGGATTAGGCATTTATGAGAGGAATACTGTCCAAGTGATTTCTCTACTGTCCAGAAAAGCTGTCCTCACTTTTCTTCTAAAAAATGCAGTCCTCTCTTGGGGAGAACAGCTCCCATCATACTCTAACCACTTGGTCTGAATGAACTGCCAAGATCTCATACAACCCAGGTAAAAATGACTGACTCATGGGCAATTATTTGATCAGTCAGGACAACACTTACAGAGTGTTCTCTGACATACAGAAAAAAAGTGGTTTTCAGAAGAAAAGAATAAACCTAAGATAGAGAGGAGCAGAAAATCAAATAAGAATGTCTTTAGAGTTTCCAGTCTGAGAGGGCCTCCAAGCTATCCTAGCTCTTCACTTCCTGACACTTGGTTGTTCATTATTTCCTTCAATTCTGCTAGTTATCCAGCATCCTTCCAATCAATAATCTATTCTTTCCTTCAAATTTTAGTCACTTATAAGGAGAGCCTGGACTGATAAATACCTTTTTGAATGGTAAGAAACTAAAGTAAAATATAAGAGGTTTAAATACATTTACAGAGGCCAGGTGCGGTGGCTCACACCTGTAATCCCAGCACTCTGGGAGGCCAAGGCGGGCAGATCACGACGTCAGGAGATCAAGACCATCTTGGCCAACATGGTGAAACCCTATTTCTACTAAAAATACAAAAACTAGCCGGGCATGGTGGCATGCACCTGTAGTCCCAGCTACTCGGGAGGCAGAGGCAGAAGAATTGCTTGAACCCGGGAGGCGGAGGTTGCAGTGAGCTGAGATGGCGCCACTGTACTCCAGCTAAGGGAGGAGAATCTCTTGAGTCCGGGAGGCGGAGGTGATAGTGAGCAGAGATTGTGCCACTGCACTCCGGCCTGGGTGATAGACATAGACTCCGTTTCCAAAAAAAAAAATACATTTACAGAAAGGAAAGTGTTAAGGGAATTGCCACCTGACAGCCTTCACATTTTCCATGAAGCAGAGCCTGAAGTGCTTTAATGAAATAAGGGAGAATGGGCTATGTGGTAAAAGTTTAGAATATCCACTGAGGACAATGGAAGCAGGGGGTGGCCAAGGGTTATGAAAAAAGGCTCTCTGCAATGTTTGGACAGGAAACTATGAATACATAATAGTATTCACATGATTCTGTAGTTTTTATCCAAGAGTTAACTAGAAAGAGACAGACATAGTGAACAAGGGCTAGAGTTTTTCAGGTACATTTAGTAAAATGACTGGTGAGGAAGTGGTAAACAGTGGGCAGCAAGAAAATACTAGATAAGGGTGATCAATTATGGAGTCTAAGCTAGAGCTAGGGAAACAGAAATAAAATAAAAGCAACCATAGGTAGAAGAGCTAAAGAGAAAAATTATATAGTTAAGGATTTAAAAATCATGGTAAAGTCAGAGGGCAAATAACACAGTGGTCGGAGGTGGAATGCATGATGACTGTCCAGACTATGAAATATTCTAAAGATAGTTCTACAAGATCAAGAGTGAAGGTAAAGATACCTACAGCAGAAAAGGCTGAATAACTGAAAATCACCCAGGATATCAGTAGGCTACAAATCCCAAAATTTTCAAAATATAAGGAAAATAATACATGAAAGACAAAAAAGATTTGCCAGAGAAATATTTCCAATACAGCAAGTAATTCAAAATTCAAAAAAGCTCCTTAAAAATTCAACTGAAAGGAAGATTTGGCAATCCACTTCTGAAAAGTTTCAGATGAATTCAACTAAATTCATTCTCTAGACCGGTCACACCCACACTGAAAAGAAATGTGTGAATTCTGCACTGAAAGGAATGGAGGGCTCTATCAAGTATGAATTTTATATTGTTTTTGTTCTGCTCAAGTCATCCAGTCTTTTGGACATTCTACCCTGCAAGTAAGAAGACAACATCACCCTGAAACTCAGAGGAAACAAACTTTTAAAAAGATCCAAGCATCTACACAGCAAAAAAAGCAGCAATACAAAAAACATACACATTGTCCCAATATGATTTTTTACTTGTAAAGTGATTCAGTATAAGCACTTTCATACCTAGATCCTTAAAGAAGGTTGAAAATAAGTAATTACTCACTGTCTTAAAAGCTGTCTGCCTTGCTTCCACGTTAACTGGCTATTCTGAGGTGCTGTGGGAGCCTCTGTGTCTTTGGTTTCTTCTAAAAATTAAGAAAAAAAAAGTTTTACATACTTTATTTCGACTCCTGAAAATATTGCCAAAGTTTTCTTAGGGATAAATTCCCATAAAAACATACCTATTTTATAAAGGACAGGAAAAAATTAACTTTCATCTAAGTATTAACTGTGGGTCACTCATTTTAAATGTGTTTGTCCTAATAACCCAATGACTTAAGTACTATGTCCCCCATTTTAAAACAGGGAAAACCCAAGTGTACTTTATTAGTATCAAGGAATCAAATGCCCAGGAGATAAAATATTATTAAAACTGATTTTTTCTCTTTTTTTTTGAGACAGGGTCTCATTCTGTCACCCAGCCTGGAGTACAGTGGCACCATCTCGATTCACTGCAGTCTCGACTTCTCTGGGCTCCAGAGATCCCACCTCAGCCTCTCGAGTAGCTGGGACCACAGGCATGTACCACCACACCCAGCTAATTTTTGTATTTTGAAGAGATGAGGTTTTGCCATATTGCCCAATCTGGTCTCAAACTCCTAGGCTCAAGCGATCCACCCACCTCAGCTTCTTAAAGTGCTGAGATTACAGGTGTGAACCACCATGCCTGGCAATTTAATTTTTTTTAACTACTAGAATTCCGCTAAGTCGATTGCCTTTGAAATTAAAAAGCTGTATTATATGAGCTATTCAAAATCAACACTGTTAAGATATTAGGCATACATAAAAATATTGAATACCTTAATATGGGGTCTATATCAGTGGACCTTAAGTCTACATCACAGGACTTCATCTAGCTAAGTTCCTTTTTTGGAACTAAAATTAAACCAGAAAATAGTTTTTACTATAGGTAGAGTCATTATTTTATTTTCAGATAACAAAGTGTACACATTAAAAAAAATAATAAAAAGAGATTAGGCCAGATGCAATGGCTCACGCCTGTAATCCCAGGACTTTGGGAGGCTGAGGTGGGCAGATCACTTGAGCACGGGAATTCAACACCAGCCTGAGCAACACGGTGAAACGCCGTCTCTAGCAAAAATACAAAAGTTAGCCAGGTATGGCGGCACATGCCTGTAATCCCAGCTACTTGGGAGGCTGAGGCAAAAGGATCGCTTGAACCCAGGAGGTGAAGGTTGCAGTGAGCCAAGATTGCACCACTGCACTACAGCCTGGGCGACAGAGCGAGACCCTGTCTTAAACAACAAAAAAAAAGAGTTTAATAAACAGTATGATTTCAGATTAATCTCTCAACTAGCATCTCTATAACAAAATTTAAAACTATTGACATTTATATCACAGAAATACTTCCCCGTAAGTTCCCATTATTAACATAAAGACACAGTGAAGAAGAGAGGGACTTAGAAGATCAACCCTCATACTGAATGTTGAAGACTCTGTGAGGCTCCTAGACTCCTCAAAATCACTTAGTAGTGATTCAAATGTCCTCTTCAGACATTATTTCTCTAATCCTAACAGTCCAATTATTAATATCTCTGGCTGGGAACAGTGGCTAAGGGTCTGCAATCCCAGCACTTTGGGAGGCCAAGGCAGGTGGGTCGCTTGAGCCCACGGGTTCAAGACCAGCCTGGGAAACATGTCAAAACCTCATCTCTACAAAAAATGCAAAAATTAGCCAGGCATGGTGGCACGTGCCTGTAGTCCCAGCTACTTGGGAGGCTGAGGTGGGAGGATTGCATGAGCCTGGGAGACAGAGATTGCATTGAGCCAAGATCGTACCATTGCACTCCAGCCTGGGCAATAGAGCAAGACTCTGTCTCAAAAAAAACCAAAAAAACAACACTTATTCTATCCCAAACGTAAGCATTTCTTTTATTTCCAGAAATAATTATTTCATTCTAATAGTCCCTCTACTGATTTTTCTATTTATAACATTTTAAAATTACATATAACACATAATCACTGGAGGAAAAAAATACTAAAAAAACAAGATATACGACTGCCCAAACCCTGTTACCAAGAATTAACAACTGGTAGTACTTTAGTGTTTATCATTTCTTATTTTCTACCTGAAAATATACATAATACAACCCCACCCTTTTTAAAAATGTGCCAATGTATATACTGCACTATCATCTGCTTCTGACACTAAATGTACCTTGAACATTCTCTGTATGGCAATACAGATTAACATAAAAAATGACTGCATAATATTCTATAGAAAATATATACCTATTTAACCAATCCCCTAATGTTGAAATTAGTTTCCATTTTCTATTATAAATAATGTTGCTAAGGATATTCTTGAAGTACATCAAGTGTATAGCTCAAGGAATTTTTGAACACGCCCATGTAACCAGTACCTAGATGAAGAAACAAAACATTATCAGCATCCCCAAAAGCCTTTCTTGTGCCCTCCAGTCACTAGCCACTCCAAAAAGGGTATGAATGCTATCTTGATTTCTAAAATTATCTAGATTTTTGAATATAATAATTTCTTCAATTTTCAGTTTTATGTGATTAAACCATGTTGTCACATTCAGTTTTAGTTTGCTCACTTTTGTTGCTAAACAGCATTCTATTATGCTAACATATCACAATGTACTTATCCATTTATTCTAATTCTGAAGACTGTTCTAGTTGTTTCCAGATTTTCACTGTAAATAATGATGCTATGAAAATTCTTACACAAGCTTCATGATGAACATATATATGCTTTTTGAGGAGTGGAGTTACTGGATCATAGGGTATGTATATAAATATTTTTTGAGACAGGGTCTCACTTTGTCATCCAAGAGGGAGTAGAGTGGTGTGAACAAAATTCACTGTAGCCTTGACCTCCCGGGCTCACGCAATCCTCCTACTTCAGCCCCCTAAATAGCTGGGACTACAGGCATGCAACACCAAGCCTGGGTAATTTCTGTATTTTTTGTAGAGATGAGGTTTTGCCATGTTGTCCAGGCTGGTCTTGAACTCCTGGGATCAAGTGATCCAACGCCTCGGCTTCCCAAAATGCTGGGATTACAGGAATGAGCCACAGCACCTGGCCTAGGTATGTTATATCCTCTTTAATAATAGTCATAGTGTCAAGTCACTTTCAGAGCAGCATTATCAATATATAATCCTAACACCAATGTCGACGAATTCTAGTTACTCCACATCCTCAACACTTGATATTGCCTCTTCTGCATTTTAGCCATTCTGGTCAGTGTCTAATTGTATTCCATTGTGGTTTTAAGTTGTATTTTCTTAATAACTAATAAAAATCAAGCAACATTTCATATATTTATTGGCCATTTATATATCCTCTTCTATGGTGTGTCTTTTTAAGTCTTTTGCCCATTATTCTATCTGATTATCTGTTTTCCAAATGTAGAAGAAAGGGAACTCTTTTATATTTTAATATAACCCGTTTATAAGGTTAGGTTTAGGCTGTATCTATTTATTTTACTGAGAAAGGGGTATAAATACTTATATATCTTCTACTATGATCAAATCAATATTTTGTACATTTTCTTTCTTATATTGATTTCTTTGGGGGTATATAAAAGGCGACATTGTTTCATTTAATATTATCTCCATATATACTCTGACATAAATAATTTTACAATATTTTGTTCACACGATATACTTCTGCCCATCCCTTTGTTTGGTTTTCCACTAAACATCCTGAAGAATTTTTCTACATAACTGAAAACATTTTACTTCGCTGTTATTGTGTGTCCTGTAAAGAAAATACTTGGTTGGATATTATTTTATTCCTCAACTTGAGGAACTTTTAATATTTAGGTTTATACAGATAAAAACAGATTGTCTTGCCACAATTTCAGTTGTGAGCAAAAAAGACTTATCTTGCTTTATACAAACTGTTATACTGGGACCACCTAGCCAATTCTGACTCTCCTTAGCCTCTACTGCAGGCTCAGTGTGGCTTTAACTAGCCTCCTTTCTTTACACACAGACCAAGCCCTACAGTTCTAGAAGTGCCTGCTTATTTTCTGAATATTCTAGCCATACTGGAAATAAAATGAGTCAAGAAAAAAAAAAAAAAGCTCTGAATTCACCAGGTATTTTTCTGGTGAAGTCACTCTACTCCCTTTAACTGCAAAGAGAAGACTATAATAATCATGGCTCGGAAAAAGTAGACCTTCCATGTTTCTGTTCCTGATTTTTGCTTTTTCCAAGGAGGAGATTCTAATACAGTTTCTTGGCATCAGAATAAGCCTTCATAACCACTGAAAAGCCAGGTCAAAGAAAACCTATGCCACTCCCATCTTGGTCTCTTAATTTTATATGTATGACAACAAATGGAAGCTCTAAAGTTCTGCTGCTAAGACTGAAAGTGTTAAAGACTAAAAAATAAATCAACTGCAAATTTTATGTATGGTGTGTGTTTCTCCAAGTTCTACATACTTAATATTGAACTCAAAAACAATTAACTAAAATTTTAAAATTTACTATAATACCTAACTTTGTTACCTTTCAGCTCAAATTACTACCATAAATGCAACCACACTTTTACACAGATTTCAACTCAAGGATAATAAGACAAGTTGCCTCAGGATTAAGATGTATATGAAACTATTTACTTTTATTCATTTAATATTTTTTCCCAAATTCTAGACAGTTTACAATAGTCATTCTCTAATATTATCAAACCAAAATGCGGGTAAAGAGAACATGTCTGTTACATAAAAAATGAATTAAAAAAAAAAAAAGTAACAGAAGAAGCAAGTTTACCTGACTCAAAGGTTGGCATTTTCAAGTCACCTTGGTTCAGTTCCGTGCCATATTTTAATTTGTGATATTTTGCCCTGAAAATTTAATCACAAATTAGTAAAATCACAACTTCTTCTTTTTGTCACTCTTGCTTTATATTACTCCAATAACAAAACATAATATGAATGTCTGCTTCTTTAAACTTTGTTTGCAAAGAACATTGAAGACTATATTGCTGTAAAAGAAAAAAAAGGTAAGTTTCCCAAGTAACACATACCCAAAAGTTAAAAAAAGATCAATTATCCTTTGTCTTTTTTTTTAAGTTCCAAAATTTAGATTCTGTAACAAAACACATTTCAATTGAATTATTTTAATCTCTTTTGCCTTTCTTTCCCAAGTATGAATCAAATCAAGACAGCATCATGTATTCGGGCAAGGATTTGTACCTTTCAAAAAAAGCTGCCAAATACAGAGTACAATGGTATACATGAGTATACTATTGTTCTACTTTATTCATGTAACAAAATGAGGCACACATACCTTTCTTGTTTTAATGCATACTCTAACATCTTTATTCTTCTTACTAAGTCCTTCTTCAGGTTCTCTTGACCTTTTCTTTCGCCTTGTAGAAATGCAATCCGGGCCTAAAAATATAAAAGATGCATTTATTTACATTTTCCCTTAACCATACATAGGAAACTGAAAAATGGAAAACGATAAACACAAACTGTTGCACTTGACTCATGATATCAAGATTTTAAATTCATAAAAACGGGCCAGGCAATGGCTCACACCTGTAATCTCAGCACTTTGGTAGGCCAAGGCAGTAGGACTGCTTGAGACAAGGAGTTTTAGACCAGCCTATGAAACATAGTGAGACCTCATCTCTACAAAAAATTTTTTAAATTGGCCAGGTTTAGTGGTGTGTGCCCATAGTCCTAGCTACTCGAGGCTGAGGAGACTCTGTCTCAAACAAACAAACAAAAAAAACTCATAAAATGTCCAAACTTTGTTAGATCTAACACATCCCTTTTAAAATAAAGATAACTATAAATTAGCTAGTTTATAATCCTTAAGATCCCTAATATTAATATTTCACCTTCACATAACCTTGAAAGAAAAATATACATAAAAATGCCACCTAATTCCTAACATACAATTCACAAAGAACTGAAAAACATGTCCACAAGTAGATAAATACGTCAGAAAATGACATATTATTTCAAAAAACAGATTACTTCAAAAGCTTTTCTTGAAATACTAGAAAATTTATAATCTGAGCTAGGCACGTGGCTCATGCCAGTAATCCCAGCACTTTGGGAGGCCGAGGCAGGCAGATCACCTGAGGTCAGGAGTTCAAGACCGGCCTGGCCAACATGGTGAAACCCCCTCTCTACAAAAATACAAAAATTAGTTGTGCATGATGGCAGGTGCCTGTAATCCCAGCTACCCGAAAGCCTGAGGCAGGAGAATCGCTTGAACCTGGGAGGCGGAAGCTGCAGTGAGCCGAGATGGTGCCACTGCATTCCAGCCTGGGCAACAGAGCGACACTCTGTCTCAAAAGAAAAAAGAGGGGCCGAGCGCGGCGGCTCACGCCTGTAATCCCAGCACTTTGGGAGGCCGAGGCGGGTGGATCACGAGGTCAGGAGATCGAGACCATCCTGGCTAACACGGTGAAACCCGTCTCTACTAAAAAATACAAAAAATTGCCAGGCGTAGTGGTGGGTGCCTGTAGTCCCAGCTGCTCGGGAGGGTGAGGCAGAAGAATGGCGTGAACCCAGGAAGTGGAGCTTGCAGTGAGCCGAGATGGTGCCACTGCACTCCAGCCTAGGCGACAGAGTGAGACTCCATTTCAAAAAAAAAAAAAAAAAGAGAGAGAGAAAAAAGAAAATGTATAATCTTTCCATTGTACCACCCCACTCCAAATTCCATTTTAATTCTTGAAACAGTAAATGCCATACTATTACAAATAGTTTAAGTAAGCCACCATATATTCCATTACCTCATTGCTTTCTATTGTCATTTTTCCACTGTGAGAGAATTTTTTTCCTTAAGTGCCTTTTATCCTTATTTCCTGAAAAAAGCAATTCTCTGCCTTTTTCTAGCCCTTCCCTATATGTCAGCCTGCTTTAACCACCTCACACTAAAGAATAATGTTGAAAGAGACTGGCATCTGTCTGGGGACATTTGCCATTATCTACACATTGACAATAAAACTAATTTTCACAAGAGGTAGAATGTTCTTGCAGAGATGACACAGGTGCATTTGTTCAGTATGAGAAAGAAAGCTATTCAGTAAGCTAAATTGTTGTTAAAACTTTAGTTATGATGTGTTCATTTCTACAAGAGAAATATATTAGCCAAGGAGACCAGCTAAATCAAGTCAACTAATAAAAACACCTAAGTAATAAATAACTGCTGTCGTCAAAAAAACTGTTACCCTAAAAAAAGTTTGTATGAAATTATCTACAACTTCTTAACACCTGAGAAGCTATAAACAGCTACAGAGTTCATGACCAGCCTTGGCAAGACAGCGAGACCCTGTTTGTACCAAAAAATCAATAATTAGCCAGGCGTGGTAGCATGTTCCTGTAGACTTAGCTACTTGGCAGGCTGAAGCAGGAGAACTGCTTGAGCCCAGGAGTGAGGCTAGAGTGAGCTACGATCACATCACTGCCCTCCAGCCTGGGCGACAAGCAAGACCCTACCTCTAAAAAATAAAAATAAAAATAAACAAATAAGCAGCTACATGACACTTATAAATACATATTTTAAAAATTTTTAAAAAGCACTAGGAGGAATAATAAAAGTTCAGAACCTAATAGTCTATGATCCAGAAGAAAAGAGCAGCACTTACTCTCTATCAAGCTGTGGAGCAAAGGGAAAAGATGTCAAATTCGTCATACACTTTTAAGTAAGATTCTGACTAGTGTTTTCTCCTGTGTTGGCTGTTTGTTGTTGTTGTTGTTTTTAAAAACCACTAAGCCCATACTATAGAACCATTATGTATCTCTCAATTTTCAGATCTAATAAGTGTTCTAAAATTACCATTACAAAAAGCTGAAGGAAACCTGTTTTATTATTCTGCTTCTGAAGAAGTAAAAATTGGTGGGTTTCTGATTGAGAAAGGCATTGAAAGTAAGTGAAAGTCATAATGTCCTCTAAGAGGGTTCTTTTTAAAAAAGACAACCCAGCAGCAGTATTTCCTATTAGAATCTTATACTGTTGTGAGAATTGGTTTTCATTTCCTTTTTTTGAATTTTTGTATTACCAACTATCCACACTTAGACAATCTAGTAAAATAGACAAGCACAAACCACACACCAAAAAGCAAAAATTCCAAAGCGGTACTGAACAGACGGCTGAAAGGAAATAATTTGCGAGAATTTAGGACAAGGAAAACGCTCAAGAATTAAAAACAAAACCTTTTTAAAAAATGTGGACTAGGGTGGGCATGGTGGCTCACACCTGTAATCCCAGCACTTCCAGAGTCCAAGGCAGGAGATCACTTAAGACCAGGAGTTTGAGACCAGCCTGGCCAACACAGCAACACCTCGTCTTCACTAAAAATTTAATAATTAACTGAGTGTGGCGGTGCACGCCTGTTATCCCAGCTACTTGAGGGGCTGAAGCAGGAGGATCATTTGAGCGGAGGGGTCGAGGCTGCAGTGAGCCATGATTGCCACTGCACTCCAGCCTGAGCGACAGAGCAAGACCCTGAATGAAAAGAAAAAAACAAAACAAAACAAACACCACCACCACCAACATATGGATTAACCAAAAATACATGGAAGAGGACCAAGTAAATGAGAGAGAAGTCATAATGACTGGAACTGACCTTATGACCTCATATCATCACGTATCTAGAGGGTAAACTGATTGAAAAGGTAAAGGTTATACCTGATAGTGATAATAACATAATAATGACCAATTAAATAATAAATTTAGCACTCAGTACAGGATCATTAACAATCTACTTTTCAGCAATGTTATAGCATCATCTCTGCAAATAAACACTTTTAAAAGTAACCTCAAAAAACACATTCCCCATGGCATCAAAAAATAAAAGTACCTAAAAAAGGCAAGGTGGCACATGACTATAATGCCAGCTACTTGGGAAGCTGGGGGGTGGGGGAGAATTGCTTGAGCCAGGGACTTCGAGACCAGCCTGGGCAACACAGTAAGACTCCATCTCCAAAACTATAACAGATAAAAGTAACTAGGAAAAAACCACCAAAGATGGGCAAGAGCTTTACACAGAAAATATAAAAATTTAACAAAGGCATTAAAGACAACCTAAACGGACTAGCTGACTACTGTAAAAATATCAATTTTTACCCAAATTGACTGACAGATTTAATTTCAATCAAATTCTGAATTTGCATGTGTAGAACCTGACAAGCTGATACTAAAATTTACCAAAAAAAAATTCAAATTACCTAGAACAGCCAAGACAATTATAAAGAATGAGATGGGCCGAGTACAGGGGGCTCATGCCTATAATCCTAGCACTCTGGGAGGCTGAGGAGGGTGGATTGCTTGAGACCAGGCGTTCAAGACCAGCCTGGGCAACATGGCAAAACTCTATCTCTACAAAATACAAAAATTAGACAGGTGTGGTGGCATACACCTGTAGTCCCATCTATGTGGGAGTACTGCTTGAGCCCAGGAGGCAGATGTTTCAGTGAGCTATCAGGCCACTGCACTCCAACCCGGGCAACAGAGTTTCAAGAAAAACAAAAAGAATGAGGTGATAGAATTTGCTCTACTAAACAATAAGATATAACACTGCAGCAATTAAGACACTGATGACTCAGGGATAGGAAAATGAACCAAAGAAACAGAACAGAAAGTCCAGAAACAAACTAAAGCATAGAAGATCACATGATTTATGAAAGATGGCAGTGCAGAACATTGAGAAAAAAATGGTTGCTTCAAAAATGGTGCTTAGTAATAGAGAATCCAAATGTGGGCTAAAAATGAAAATGAGGCTGGGCGCGGTGGCTCATGCCTGTAATCCCAGCACTTTGGGAGGCTGAGGCGGGCAGATCACGAGGTCAGGAGATCGAGACCATCCTGGCTAACACGGTGAAACCCCGCCTCTACTAAAAATACAAAAAATTAGCCGGGCGTGGTGGCGGGCGCCTGTAATCCCAGCTACTCAGGAGGCTGAGTCAGGAGAATGGCGTGAACCCGAGAGGCGGAGCTTGCAGTGAGCTGAGATGGTGCCACTGCACTTCAGCCTGGGCCACAGAGTGAGACTCCATCTCAAAAAAAAAAAAAAAAAAAAAATAGAAAGAAAAGAAAAAAAGAAAATGAACATCTGCCTGATACTTTCTGCCTCATACAGTTCCAGGAGGATTACAGATCTAAATATGAACGCAGGACAGTAATGCTTTTAGGATATAACAAGTATCATCACAACTTCAGATTAAGGGGAGATTTCTTAAAAAAGACAAAAACACTAGCCATAAAGAAAAGGATTAAAAATTCATTACAATTTAAAAACTTTTATTCAAGATAAAAGAGGAATTGGCAACCTATCCCAGGCTTGTTTTTGCATAGCCCTAAAACTAAAAATGTTTTTTAAAGTACCATAAAACAAGAAACAAAGAATAGGCAACACAAAGCCTTTGTAGCCCACAAAACCTAACATACTTACTTTAAAAGTCTGTCAATCTCCCATACTAATATCAGACAAAATAGGCTTAAAATTTTAAAAAAGACAAGAGACAAAGAACATTATATACAGTCATGTGCCACATGACATTTCAGTCAATGACAGACTGCATATACAACAGGGGTCCCATATGATTATAATGGAGCTGAAAAATTCCTATCGCCTAGTGAAGTTGTAGAAGTCTAGAAGTCGTAGCTATTGTAACATTGTAGTGGGACGCATTAGACGCATTATTCACGTTTGTCCTGATGGTTATAAACAAATCTACTGTGTTGTCAGTCATACAGAAGTACAATACATATAATTATGTACAGTGCTCAATACTTATAATGACAATAATGACTATTCTACAGTTGATTTACTATACATTTTTGTTTTGAGACACCCAGACTGGGTTGTAGTGTGCAGTCACAGATCACTGTACCCTCTAAGTCCTGGGCTCAGGTGATCCTCCTGCTTCAGCTTAAGGCTCGGGCCACCAGCCAGGCTAATTTTTTAAAAATTATTTTTGTAGAGAAGGGTATTGCTTTGTTGCCCAGGCTGGCCTTGAACTCCTGGCCTCAAGTGGTCCTCTTGCCTTAGCCTTCTGAGTTGCTAAGATTACAGGTGTGAACCATCGTGCCTGGTTCTATCGTTATTTTAGAGTGTATTCCTACCTATAAAAAGAAAAGTTAACTGCAAAAGTGCCTCAGGCAGGTCCTTCAGGAAGTATTCCAGAAGAAGATATTGTTGTCATGGAAGATGACAGTTCCATGTGTGTTACTGCCCTTGAAGACCTTCCAGTGGGATAAGATGTGGAGGTAGAAGACAATGATATTAACCTAGGCCTTCCTAGGCCTTACGTAGGCATAGGTTAATATGTGTGTTTGTGTCTTCATTTCTAACAAAAAAAGTTTAAAAAGTAAAAATAAATCAAAATTTTAAAAACTAGAAGAAAGCTAATAGAATAAAGATAAAAAGAAAATATTTTTATATAGCTGTACAATGTGCTTGTTTTAAACTAAGTGTTATTACAAAAGAGTTAAAACGCTGAAAAAATTAAAATTTATAAAGTAAAATGATTATGGTAAGCTATTATTGAAGAAAAAAATTCACATAAATTTAGTAAAGTCTAAGTATACAGTGTTTATACAATCTACAAGAGAGACAATGCCACAGGCCTACAAATTCAATCACCACTCACTGACTCAACCAGAGCAATTTCCAATCCTAAAAGCTTCATTCATGGTCAGTGCCCTACACAGTTATACCATTTGTTATCTTTCTTTTTTCTGAGACAGGGTCTCACTCTGTCACCCAGGCCACAGTGCAGTGGCACGATCACAGTTCACTGCAGCCTCAACCTCCCTAGGTTCAGGTGATTCTCCCCTCTCAGCCTCCCGAGCAGCTGGAACTACAAGCACCTACTACTATGACTGGCTAAGTTTTCTATTTTTTTAAGATGGGATTTCACCATGTTGCCCAGACTGGGCTCAAACTCCTGGCCTCAAGCAATCCTCCCTCCTCAGCCTCCCAGAGTGCTAGGATTACAGGTGTGAGTGACAGCACCTGGCCCCATTTTTTTTTTTACTATACCTTTTCTATGTTTAGATACACAAATACTTACCATTGTGTTACAACTGCCTATAGTATTCAGTACAGTAACATGCTATACAGGTTTGTGGTCTCAGAATAGGCTATACCACATAGCCCAAGTGCAGGCTATATTATCTAGTTTGTGTAAGCATACTCTGTGATGTTCACAAGATGAAATCATCTAACGATACATTTCTCAAAACATATTCTTGCTGTTACGTGACACATGACTACGCTAATAATGACAAGAAGATATTACAACTATAAACACACACACACCTAGTAACAGATTATCAAAACGTATGAAGCAAAACTGACAGAACAGAACGGAGAACAGACAACAGTAGTTGGAGATTCAATACCCCACTCTAAATAATGGATAGAACCACCAGACAAATGGTAAGGAAGAAAATAGAGGATCTGAACACAACAAATCACCTAGCTCTAACACACATATGCAGAACACTTTACCCAACAAAAAAATACACATCTTAAGTGCACATGGGACAGTCTCCAGAACAGACCATGTAAATTGAGTCACAAGTTAAGTCTAAATAACTTTTTAATTTTTTTGAAACAGGGTCTCATTCTATCACCCAGGCTGGAGTGCAGTGGTGCAGTCTCGACTCACTGCAACCTCCAGCTCCTGGGTTCAAGTGATTCTCCTGCCTCAGCCTCCCGAGTAGCTGGGACTACAGGCACACGCCACCAAACCCAGCTAATTTTTGTATTTTTTGGTAGAGACAGGGTTTCACCATGTTGGCCAGGCTGGTCTCAAACTCCTGACCTCAAGTGATCTGCCCACCTTGGCCTCCCAAAGTGCTGGGATTACAGGCATGAGCCACCATGCTCAGACAAGTCTTAATAACTTTAAAAAGACAGATATCAAAGTTTCTTCTCTGACCACAAAAAAATCAAGTTAGAAATCAATAACAAAAGAAAACTGGAAATTCACAAATTTATGGAAATTAAACAACACACTCAAAGAAGAAAAATTAGGTAACAGAAACAAATGAAAACAAACACAGGACATACCAAAACTTAGAGGATGCAATGTAAGCAATGCGCAGGGGGGAATTTATAGATATAAATGCTTACATTAAAAAACAAGAAAAGAGCCAGGTGCGATGGCTCATGCCTGTAATGCCAACACTTTGAGAGGCTGAGGCAGGCGGATCACTTGAGGTCAGGAGTTCGAGATCAACCTGGCCAACATGGCGAAACCCCATCTCTCGTAAAAATACAAAAATTAGGCAGGTGTGGTGGTGCGCATCTGTAGTCTCAGCTATACGAGAGGGTGAAGCATGAGAATCACTTGAACCTGGGAGGTGGAGGTTGCAGTAAGCTGGCAATAGAGTGAGTCTCCGTCTAAAAAAGAAAAACAAAAAACAAAAAACTACACACAAGAGAAGATAGGGCATGGGAGCTGGGATTTGAAGCCAGTTGGATCATGAGGGTTTTGTTGCTCTTGAGAGATTCTTCTAGCAATTTCCATACCAACCAACACAGATGTTTCTCTTTCTTCATATGATGATCAGGGATCCAAACATATCCAAAAAGCTAAAGAGGCACCATTTGTCCCCCATTGGAATAGCAGGTTTTGCAGCAATTGTTGCAGTGGATATACAAATTGAAGAACAGGAGAAATATTAAAATGTCCCTTCACCTGATCCACATGCATGTGGCAGCCCAAGGCTTTGTGATGGGAACAATGACTGTTGATGTCAACTATTCCATGCACTGAGAATTATGGGCAAAACCTAAGCCTTAGAAGAAGAGATGCAGGCTTGGCACAGTGGCTCACACCTGTAATCCCAGCACTTTGGGAGGCTGAGGTGGGCGGATCACCTGAGGTCAGCAGTTTGAGATCAGCTTGGCTAATAGGGTGAAACCCCATCTCTACTAAAAATACAAAAATTAGCCAGCTGTGGTGGCGCGCACCTGTAATCCCAAGTACTCCAGAGACTGAGGCAGGAGAATCACTTGAACTCGGAGGTGAAGGTTGCAGTGAGCCGAGATAGCACCACTGCACTCCAGCCAGTGCACAACAGGGCAAGGCCCCTTCTCAAAAAAAAAAAGAAAAAAAAAGAGAGTCTTGGTCTTGGTGCTGTCTTGGTCTTTGTCTTGTTGCAGGAGCTTGCTCTAGTTAGACATGTCATTATTGAGGTTAAGTGTTCACACAGAAAACATGTTATTTGATGGAATTCAGACGATAACACACTATTTTGAGTATTGACTTCCTTTCTTGCAGGCTTGATTTGCTTGGTGACCAAATTACTAGTCACTAGTTCACTAGTGAACTAGGTCATTCAGAGGAGTCACATTAACAGAAAAGAAATATGTCACCTAATACAATTGACTATGTAAAAATATCCACCTTCTTAAACTGTTATAATGAAATTAGTTCTAAAGAAGACAGCAGGCCAATCCAGAAGTACTCCCAGTTTGCTGCAGAATCCCACATGCTTTGGATGTTATATAGGAGTCCTATTTACCCCAGTTAATTTACTTTCTTCTGCCTGCCTAGTAGACTGGTTGGCTCCTTAAGTGCATGGGGGTGCAGTGGTTTATGTCTGTAATCCCAGCACTTTAGGAGACTAAGGCAGAAACGTCACTTGAGGCCAGGAGTTCAATACCAGCCTGGGCAACACAGCAAGACCCATCTCTAAAAAAAAACAAAAAGAGGCCAGGAGCGATGGCTCACGCCTGTAATCCCAGCACTTTGGGAGGCTGAGGCAGATGGATCACCTGAGGTCAGGAGTTCAAGACCAGCCTGGCCAACATCATGAAACCCCATCTCTACTAAAAAAATTAGCCAGGCATAGTGGCAGGTGCCTGTAATCTCAACTACTCAGGAATCTGAGGAACGAGAATCGCTTGTACCAGCCTGGGTGACAAAAGTGAAACTCCATCTCAAAAAAAAAAAAAAAAAAAAACAACAAACAAAAGTGCATGGGGCCAGACATCTGTAATCCCAGTGCTTTGGGATGCTGAATGTTAGATATGAGTTCTAAATTTCTTTTCAAATAATATGTCAGTATGTTCCACTCTTTGCCTTCTACTTTTAAACTTAACTTCCTCATAAAGCAATCTTTTTCGATTACCCACTCCACCCTGACTCATTCCAATTACCTACTCCACCCTGACTCACCTGCTCCACTCTACATTCCAATCACCTGCTCCACCCTAACTCATTCCAATTACCTGCTACCTGCTCTGCCCTGACCCCCGCCAAAGCACTCACCCTGTCATTCTCTTTTAATTAGCCAATCGGAATTAGTTTAGCCTGTGCATCCAATCGGAATTAGTTTAGCCTGTGCGTCTAACCCTAGCCGACAGGGGAACAACACGGCAGCAAAGGGTCACGTGCATCAGGGATAAGAACCCCTTCCCCTCCCTTGTCCAAGTGTGCGCTCACCATTGTTCCATCTGTAAGGGTGCACCCTTCTATACAGAAGTAACTTGCCTTGCTGAGAATTAAAAAGAAAATTTTATATCTGAGTGCTATTTCTTTTGTGGCACCGAAACTTTACATATAACAATGTGGGGGCTCATCCAGGATTACATTCCCCACCAGGGACAGTCTCTGTTTCTCTCTCGTGAGGAGGTGCACCCTGCCCTATTGTGGCAGCCTCAGGGATGAGAAATCAAGACCTACCCAGTGCGAGGAATAACCCGAGCTCTCAGCAACGCAGAGTGGGGGACTGGCCAGCAACCTAGCTTAAAGGATCCTCACATACTGCTGCGATGACTGTGCACAGGCCAAGGAAGGAGAAGCCGCAGGAGCTGGTAAAGTACTTCCTTTGTGGTCAAATTCTGGAGGGCTAAATGTGTGCGTGCGTGAATGATCATCAACAACCCTGCTTGCGGTGTTGTGTGGATGGTGACAAGTCCTACTGCTGGACGGAGTGAGTGGGTCCTCTCCAAGGTTCCATAGCTACCTCATATGGCTTAGAGCAAATCCTGCCATGGGATTTATACCAGCACGCCAACACTAAGAGGGGCCTAATTCTCCCTTAGGGGAGCAGCCAGAGATGACAGCACAAGTGGGAAGTGTGCAAAGGACCTTCAGAAGGGGAAAGGGGGGAAGCAGGTCAACCTCCCAGGACAAGCAGGACAAGACACCCCCTGGTTTGAGGGATTGAGCCTTCCGGGACAGGCAAGGTGAGACACCCCTGGTTTGAGGGGTTGAGGCTTCCGGGACACACAAGGTGAGACATCCCTGGTGTTAAGGGGTTGAGCCTTCCGCTAATTTCAAGGGTTGAACCTGACACAACCCCCCACCCCACCTTTTCCTTTCTTCTTGGGTATTAGAGTAGCTCCACTCCCACAGGTCCCTACCCTAGAGGCAGAGAGACACAGAGGGGAAAGAGAGGGTGGGGCAGGGTGGGGGGGAAGAGAGGCAGAGAGAGGGGGGAAGAGAGGCAGAGAGGGGGGAAAGAGAGGCGGTGGTGGGGAAAGAGGCAGAGAGACAGAGAGTCAGAGAGAGAGAAAGAGACAAAGTCAAACAGAGAAAGAGAAAAATAGTAGTAGTAAAGAGAAAAACAGTGTACCCTATTCCTTTAAGAGCCAGGGTAAATTTAAAACCTATAGTTAATAATTGAAGGTCTTCTCCGTGACCCTATAACACTCCAATACCATCTCGCTGTCAATGTAAACAAGGGCGTAGCCCAAAAGCACTGAGGACACTGACAACCCGTAGCCTTCCTATCAAAAATCCTTAACCCAGTAACCCGCGGATGGCCCAAATGCATTCTATCTGTAGCGGCAACTGCTTTGCTAACAGAAGAAAGTAGAAAAATAACTTTTAGAGGAAACCCCATTGTGAGCACACCTCACCAGTTCAGAACTATCCTAAGTCAAAAAGCAAAAAGGTAGCTTACTAACTCAAAAATCTTAAAATTATAAGGCTATTCTGTTAGAAAAAGATGATTTATCATTAACCACTGAAAATTCCCTTAACCCAGAAGGTTTCCTAACAGGAGATTGAAATCTTAATTACCATACAAAGATCCGACCAGACCTAGGAGGAAGCCCCTTCAGGACACGACTTCCTCCCGGGTGACTGGGGTGGTGGGGGAACAACAGGTATTCAGTAATTGATAGGGAAACTCCTGTAGAGGCAGTCAGGAAAACTGCCTAATAACTGGTCTCCTCAAACGTGTGAGCTATTTGCACTCAGCCAAGCCTTAAAGTACTTACAAAACTAGGAAGGAACCATCTATACCAATTCTAAGTTAATTTGGACTAAACAGGGTCTTATTAATAGCAAAGAATAATTGAAATACCAAACTTAAAAGGTTTTCAACAAAAGCAAAGTTTGCTAAAAGTTAACAGTGTAACATGTATTATCCTAACTTCTAATCTTATGGCCTTAGACAGTCTAGTCCACCAACATGAAGTTCACTTCAGAAAAGAATGATTATCATCTTCAAAAAAAAAAAAAAGAAAAAAGAAATTGGGGGGACAGAATTTATGTAAAAAGAACGTTATATGGTAAATTCTTGTCCTAAAATAAGATTAACTGGTTTAAAAAAAAAAAAAAAAAACAGGCGTGGTGGCTCATGCCTGTAATCCCAACACTTTGGGAGGCCGAGGCGGGCGGATCACGAGGTCAGGAGATCGAGACCACCCTGGCTAACACAGTGAAACCCCGTCTCCACTGAAAATACAAAAATTAGCCGGGCATGGTGGCGGGTGCCTGTAGCCCCACCTACTCAGGAGGCTGAGGAAGGAGAATGGCGTGAACCCGGGAGGCAGAGTTGCAGCGAGCCAAGAAGGCACCACCGCACTCCAGCCTGGGCGACAGAGGGAGACTCCATCTCAAAAAAAAAAAAAAAGGTGTTTGCGGCAAGTCAGAAAGTTGAGGCATGTCTAAGAATTATCTGTGAAAGTTGTGGAGAAAAAAAAGGTTATAAAAGGAAATTTATGCAAGAAATGTTGTATAATTTAAAAGTAATTAAGCCTCCTAAATGTAAAACTATAGAAGAAACAGTTTATGTGCAAAGCGTGTAAGGAAAGTAAAATATACTTCTGGTAAAAAGACTATAAGGAGGCATAAGAATCTGAATTTTTACCTACATTAAAAGGTTAAAAAAAATATATATTTTGTTTCAAAGGTTTAAGCAAGTTTTAAAACATTAATTGTAAAGGAAATTCTGTGTGTAAACATATTAGCCAAAGAGGTATCATCCAGTTTTTCTGTGAACTGGATATTAAAACAAAAGCATAACAGGTTTTTCTTAAAGCACTAACCTGCTGTTTAACAAAAATTATAAAAAAGGTTAAAAAGAGTCTATAAGCTGGGCGCAGTGGCTCACGCCTGTAATCCCAGCACTTTGGGAGGCCGAGGAGGGCAAATCATGAGGTCAGGAGATCGAGACCATCCTGGCTAACATGGTGAAACACCATCTCTACTAAAAATATAAACAAAATTAGCCGGGCATGGTGGCAGGTGCCTTTAGTGCCAGCTACTCGGGAGGCTAAGGCAGGAGAATGGCGTGAACCCGGGAGGCGGAGCTTGCAATGAGCTGAGATCGCGCCACTGCACTCCAGTCTGGGCCACAGAGCGAGACTCTGTCTCCAAAAAAAAAAAGTCTATAAAAATCTTACCTTATGCTCAGACATTAAAAATTGGATAAATATGTCTACAAGGTTTTATTAAAATTAACATTAATAACACACTAATATAAAGGTGAAATTCAGATTATTTGGTATAAAAATCATACAGGAAGCATTGTTAAATATAAAATGGTTGTTTGGCTTTCTTTGGTCTAAAAACTAATAAAAGTAGGTGCTAAAGGAAATTTCTCAGTAAGAAGGCACCAAAAACTATATATAAAGTCCACTGTTGATGTCCCCACATTTAAAACAAAAGGTCAATTTCTTAGAAATTATATACTTGGTTTTATCTTCCACTTTCCTTTCCCTCAAAACTAAAAGTCTTTTAGCACAGGTACAACCCCTAGAATTTCCAGTAAACCAGCACCAGCCTGAAGATCACCTTCTCATCAAAGAGTGGAAAGAAAAAAACTCGAGCCAGCATGGGAAGGACCCTACCTTGTGCTGCTAACCACCAAGACTGCTGTTCGTACAGCGAAAAAGGGATGGACTCACCCACACCTAAGTCAAAGCGCCACCCCCTCCAGTCATGGACCACAGTCCCAGGGGAAAACCCTACCAAACCAAAGCTAAGAAAAATTTAACTTTTTCATCTATTCTATTACTCTTCTTTTCTCACTCTATTGCTAAGCATCTAGTTATTAACACCAAGTCAATTTCACCTCAAACTACTGCATTTAATGCTTGCCCTGTTATACCCTGTGGGGACTTGCCAAGTCAAAGACAGCTCTCTATTTCAGAAAAGTACCTTGTCCCTCCTGACTCTCCTCAGAATGGGCATTAGTAAATTGGGACCTTTTAATCCAGGGAGATTTCGATAAAGACCCGAGTGTCAACCAGGAGTCTGGCCCCCCGATGTAGAGCTTTTATGCCGTAGTTGGTCCAACGTTCTGTGGACCACTAAAGAGCAAGGATAGACTGCCCCAAACAGTTTTTGTAATTTCCTAAAACCATACATTCATTTTACTAAAGGGACAGCTCCCCTCCCCCAGCTGTCAGCTAAACCAATGCAATCCTATACAGGCTATTATTTCAAGCCCCCAAAGTTCTTCCCTTTTCTAAGCCAGTTCCCTTCTTTATGCCAGTTTTATGGTATGGGGGCTGAGGTTTCAAGGACAGACCCTATTGGACTCCTTAAAATGCATGTCTTTGATCCCCCACTGCCTGCACCAGCTTCTAAGCCTTTTTCCAAAACCTCTCACAAGGGAACCATTGTTCCTCCTCCATCTAAGGACAAGGCCAAGATAGCGATGGTAAAAGTTAAAGACTTAAAACAAACTTTGGCAATTGAGACAAGATACCAAGATGTAAATGCCTGGTTGGAATGGATCAAATATTCCACCCGCACATTAAACAAAAGCAACTGTTATGTTTGTGCGCACGGCAGGGAGGCCCAGGTTGTCCCCTTTCCACTAAGGTGGTCCTCCAGTCAACCAGGCAAGGGCTGCATGGTAGCTCTTTGCCAGGATTCTACAGCCTGGAGTAATAAGTCTTGCCAAGCTCTCTCTCTGCTATATCCCAAAATCCGGCACCCTGCGGGTCAGCCCCCGAGGGCCATCCAGCCTCCATCTCCCAACACTAAGTTCACTTTGTGTCTCTCACAACATGGAGGAAACTTAGCGTTCCTTGGAGACCTGAAGGGATGAAGTGAGCTTAAGAATTTAAGAGCTTATCAATCAGTCAGCCCTTGTTCATCCCCGAGCAGATGTGTGGTGGTATTGTGGTGGACCTTTAGTGGACACCCTGCCAAACAACTGAAGTGGCACTTGTGCTTTAGTCCAATTGGCTATCCCTTTCACCCTGCCATTTCATCAACCAGAGAAAGGAAAAATAAGACATCGTAAAGTGAGAGAAGCCCCTTATAGGTCTTTCAACTCTCACGTCTATTTAGACACAATTAAAGTCCCATGAGGAATACCAGATCAATTTAAAGCCCAAAATCAAATAGCTGCAGGATTTGAGTCAATATTTTGGTGAGTGACAAAAATGTAGATTGGATAAACTATATCTATTACAACCAACAGCGATTTATTAACTACACTAGAGATGCTGTTAAAGGAATAGCTGAACAATTAGGGGCAATCAGCTAGATGGCTTAGGAAAATAGGATAGCCTTAGACACGATATTAGCAGAAAGAGGATTTTGCATCATGATTAAAACTCAATGTTATACCTTCATCCCAAACAGCACCGCCCCTAATAAAAGTATAACAAAAGCACTGCAAGGTCTCACTGCTCTATCCAATGAGTCAGACAGCAACTCAGGGGTAAATGACCCCTTTACAGGATGGCTAAAAAAAAAGTAGTTCGGTAAATGGAAAGGAATAATAGCCTCAATTCTTCCCTTGCAGCCATAATAGGTGTACTTATTCTTGTCGGGTGCTGTGTCATACCATGCATCCGTAAGTAGATGCAGAGGCTCATAAAAATGGCATTTACTAAAACCTCCCTTAACTATCCTCCACCTTATCCAGAGAAGCTTCTTCTTTCAGAAAGTCAAGCAAAACAACTAAGCCAAGACATGTTAAAAAAAAGTTTGAAAAGAAAGCTGTAAGGAAACACAAGGGGAGGGATTGTTAGATATGAGTTCTAAATTTCTTTTCAAAGAATATGTCAGTATGTTCAATTCTTTGCCTTCTACTTTTAAACTTAAACTTCCTCGTAAAGCAATCTTTTTCGATTATCTACTCCACCCTGATTCATTCCAATTACCTACTCCACCCTGACTCACCTGCTCCAATCTACGTTCCAATCACTTGCTCCACCCTAACTCATTCCAATTACCTGCTACCTGCTCTGCCCTGACCCCCGCCAAAGCACTCACCCTGTCATTCTCTTTAAATTAGCCAATCGGAATTAGTTTAGCCTGTGCGTCTAACCCTAGTCAACAGGGGAATGACACAGCAGCAAGGGGCCACATGCATCAGGGATAAAGAACCCCTTCCCCTCCCTTGTCCAAGTGTACGTTCACCATTGTTCCATCTGTAAGGGCGCACCCTTCTATACAGAAGTAACTTGCCTTGCTGAGAATTAAAAAGAAAATTTTATATTCGAGTGTTATTTCTTTTGCGGCACGGAAACTTTATAACACTGAGACAGGAGGATCACCTGAGGCCAGGAGTTCAAGACCAGCCTAGGCAACATGGCAAGACTCCATCTCTACAAAAAATTAAAAAAAAAAAAATTAGCTGGGTATGGTGGTGCACACCTGTAGTCCCAGCTACTTGGGAGGCTGTGGGGAGGAAAGCTTGAGCCCAAGAGGTTGACGTTACAATGAGCTATGATTGCGCCACTGCACTCCAGCTGGGCAAAAGAACAAGACCCTATCTCTATTTAACTTGTAATGGAGTATAACTTGTAATGCCTCCCACAACGAAAAGTGTGTCTAAAATGAACTTACAGCAAACAACAGAGCTATATAATATTTATTTCAGAATCACAATTGTAAAGATTAGGCCGGGTGCGGGCTCACGCCTGTAATCCTAACACTTTGGGAAGACAAGGTGAGTGGATCACCTGAGGTCAGGAGTGCAAGATCAGCCTCGCCAACATGGTGAAATCCTATCTCTACAAAAAATACAAAAATCAGCCAGGTGTGGTGGCACCCGCCCGTAATCCCAGTCACTCAAGAGGGTGAGGCAGGAGAATCACTTGTACCCTGGAGGCGGAGGTTACAGTGAGCTGAGATTGCACCACTGCACTCCAGCCTGGGTGACAAAGTGAGACTCTGTCTCAAAAAAGCCAGTAGAGGCAAATAAAGATTGGAGCAGAGATCAATGAAACAGAATAGAAAAAAAAAATTATTGAAAGCAAAAGTCAAATCTTTGAAAAGATCAAAAAAACTGACAACCCTTTAGGTGGGGGGGAGGGGGAGAGAAGGGGACAGAGAGGGAGAGGGGGACAAAGAGACAGAGAGAGAGAAAGAGAGAAGGGAGGGAGGAAGAGGAGAGACTCAAATTACTAAAATCAGATATTAAAGTTAAATTAGTAACCACCAATTCTACACAAATAAATCTCCCAACAAAGAAAAGCCCTGAATCTGATAGCTTCACTGGTGAATTCCACCAGCATTTAAATAACTAACACCAATCTTTCTCAAACTTTTCCAAAAATCTGAAGAGAAGGGAATACTACCCAACTCATTCTATGAGGCCAGCACTGCTCCTGATAACCAAAGGCAGACAAAGACACTAAAGAAACTATAGACCAATCAACATCCCCTGTGAACACTGATACTAAAATTCTCAACAAAATACTAGCAAACTGAATTCAGCAGCATATTAAAAGAATTACACATCGTGACCAAGAGGGATTTATTCCTGTAATGAAAGTATAATTCAACATATGAAAATCAAGCAATGTAAGAAAGTACATTAACAGAATGAAGGAAAAATTCATGATTATCTCAGTGTAGAAAAAGCACTGGACAGAATTCAACACCCTTTCATGATAACACTCCACACACAAGAAACAGAAGAAAACTACTTCATCATAATAAAAGCCATATATGAAAAGCCTACAGCTAACATAGTCAATGATGAAAGACTGAAAGCTTTTTCTCTAAGATCAGGAACAAAGCAAGGAAATCCACTTTCACACTTCTATTCAATATAGTACTAGAATTCCTATCAATTAGGAAACAGAAATAAAAGGCAACCAAACTGGAAAGGAAGAAATAAAACTATGTTCACAGATATGATGTAGAAACTCAAAAGATTCCATAATAACCTATGAGAATAAATGAATCCAGCAAAGTAACAGAATACAAAATCAACACAGAAAAATCAGTTTCATTTTTATACACTAACAATGAACAATCTGAAAAGGTAATTAAGAAAACAATTCCATTCACAATAGCATCAAAAAGAATATCTAGGAATTAACCAAGGATGTGAAAGACTTATATAATGAAAACTATAAAACAATGCTGAAAGAAATTAAGACATAAATAAATGAAACATATCTCATGTTAATGGATTATAAGACTTAATACTATTAAAATGTCAATACCCAAAGCAATCCACAGATTCAATGCAATCCTTATCAAAATCCCAACTTTATTTCTGCAGAAAACAGAAAAATCCATCATAAAATTCATATGGAATCTCAAGGAACCCCAAATAGCATAACTACAAAAAAAAAAAAAAAACCTTGAAAATGATGAATAAATAAAACAAATATTTGTCAGGTGCTATGGCACACGCCTGTAGTCTCAGCTACTCAGGGGGCTGAGACAGGAGGATCACTTGAGCCTGGGGGGAGTAGAGGCTAAAGTGAGCTGACATTGCGCCACTACACTCCAGCCTGGGTGACGGAGTAAGACTGTCTTAAAACAAATAAATAAACAAACAAACAGAAGGAAACATTTCATTGCCAAAAAATGCTAACAGAGTGAGCACATGCTGTTGGAAAAAATGACACAGACTTGCTTGACACAGAGTTGCCACAAACCTTCAAATTGTAAAAAACTCAGTATCTGCAAATGCACTAATGTGAAGTATGCCTACACTATGAGGTGCCTGCGCTGCCTGTGAAGCAATATAATATTATGTGAAAGGTAACTTCATTCAGCAGTCCCACTACTGGTTATCTACCCAGAGGAAAAGAAATTATTATAAGAAAAAGACACATACACGCATGCTTATAGCAGCACAATTCATAACTGCAAAAATATGGAACCAGCCTAAATGCCTATCAACCAACGAGTGGATAAAGAAAATGTGATATACCATGGAATACTACTCAGCCATAAGAAGGAATGAAATAATGGCATTTGCAGCAATCTGGATGGAGCTGGAGAGACCATTATTCTAAATGAAGCAACTCAGGAATGGAAAACCAAGCATTGTATGTTCTCATAACTGGGAGCCAAGCTATGGAGATGCAAAGACATAAGAATGATATAATGAACTTTGGGGACTTGAGAGAAAAAATGGGAGGGCAGTGAGGGACAAAAGACTACACAATGGTTACACTGTACACTGCTCAGATGACAGGTGCGTCAAAATCTCAGAAATCACCAAAAGAACTTTTCCATGCAACCAAATGCTACCTATTCCCCCCTACTGAAAAAAAAAAAAAAAGAAGAAGAAAGAAAGAGAACGAAAGAAAGAAAGAAAAGAAAAGAAAAAAGAAAAGAAAGAGGAAGTAGACTTGAAGCCTGGGCAATATAGCCAGACTGCATGTCTACAAAACTTTTATTTAAAAAATTAGCCAGGTGTGGTGGCACATGCCAATAGTCCCAGCTATCTGGGAAGCTGATGTGAGAGGACCACTTGAACCCAGGAGATCAAGGCTACAAGTGAGCTATGATGGTGCCACTGCACTCCAGCCTGGGTGACAGAGACAGACCCTGGCTCTTTAAAAAAAAAAAAAAAAAAAAAAAGTGGACTTGAATTAGTTGTAAATGTTTTATAAGTCCTAGGATAACTACTAAAAGAAACATTTTTAAACTACAGTTCATATGCTAAGACAGCAGAGAAAATGCAGTCATATAAAATTCTCAAACCAGAGAAGGCAGAAAAAGAGGATTATAAACAAAGAACAAGTGCAAAAACAGAAAAGAGTTACCAACATGGTACTAACCCAACTACATCAATAATCACTTTAAATGTGAATTATTTAAATAAGCCAATCAAAAGAGACTGTTGTAGTGAATTAAAAAAATAAAATGCCAGACAGGTTGCCTACAATAAATTTTATTTAAGTATACACACAGAAAATAACAAAAAGTAAATGAATGGGGAGAGTTATACCATGCAAACATTAACTTTTTAAAAGTGGGAATAGTTACATTAAGTTCAGATAAAGCAGACTTCAGAACCAGGATAATTATCCAGGATAAAGAGGGATATTACATAATGAAAGAGGTCAATTCTCCAAGAACACAACCCTTAGTGTGTCAAAATAGGAGAAGCAAAAATTGAGAAATACATGAATCCACTATTATAGCTGGAAACTACAACACTCCTCTACCAGTAACTGAGAGATCCAGCAAGGCAGAAAACCAGTAAAGATATAGTTCAACTGAACAGCATCATCAATCAGCTGGATCTAATTGATCTACACAGTATTTTATCCAAGAACAGCAGAACAACATTATTTTCAAACTCACATGGAATGTTCATCAAGAAAAACATTTTGGACCATAAAACCCATCTTAACAACTTTAAAAGATTAGAATTCATACAGTGTACTATCAGACCACAATAGAATTAAATCTAAAAATCAGTAACAGAAAGACAATTAGAAAATCCCAGCATATAGGAAATTAAACATACTTGTAAGTGAAACACTGGTCAAAGAAGTATCAGGATAAGTTTTAAAATATTTTAGCCAGGCACTGTGGCTCACACCTGTAATACTAGCACTTTGGGAGGCCAAGGTGGGGAGATTACCTGAGCTCAGGAGTTTGAGACCAGCCTGGCCAACATGGTGAAACCCCATCTCTACTAAAAATACAAAAATTGACCGGACATGGTGGCACAAGCCTGTAATCCCAGCACTTTGGGAGGCCGAGGCAGGCGGATCACATGAGATCAGGAGTTTGAGACCAGCCTGGCCAACATGGTGAAACCCTGTCTCTACTAAAAATACAAAAAATTCGCTGGGTATGGTGGTGGGTGGCTGTAATCCCATCTACTTGGGAGGCCGAGGCAGGAGAGTCGCTTGAACCCAGGAGGCAGAGGCTGCAGTGAGCAGATATCGTGCCAGTGCACTCCAGCCTGGGCAACAAGAGCGAAACTCTGTTTCAAAATAAATACATATATGAAAAAAAGAGAAAGATTTGAAACCAACAATTTAGCTTCCATCTTAGGAAATCAAAGAACAGCATTATAAACAAAAGAAATAATAAAAAATAGAACACAGAAATCAAAAAAATTACCATAGAAAAATCAATAAAATCAGCTCATTGAAAAGATCATTAAAATGGATTAAACTCTAGCCAGGCTAGCAAAAAAGGGGGAAAGATGGAGAAAGGGGAAGAAAGAGGAAGAAAGACACAAACTACTAATATCAGAAATGAGGCCGGGCATGGTGGCTCAATGCCTGTAATCCCAGCACTTTGGGAAGCCGAGGTGGGCAGATGACCTGAGGTCAGGAATTCAAGACCAGCCTGGACAACATGGTGAAACCCCATCTCTACTAAAAATACAAAAAAAAAAAAAATTAGCCAGGTGTGGTGGTGGGCGCCTGTAATCCCAGCTACTCGAGAGGCTGAGGCAGGAGAATCGCTTGAACCCAGAAGGCAGAGGTTGCAGTGAGCAGAGATTCACACCATTGCTCTCCAGCCAGGCAAACAAAACAAGACTCTATCTCGAAAAAAAAAAAAAAAAAAAAAAACATGAAAGAAGGGTCCTCATTATTGAACCCATGGACATTAAAAGGAAAATAAAAATTATAAATAGCTTAATGCCCACAAATTTGATAACTAAGATGAAGTGGACCAATTCCTTGAAAGACACAATCTACAAAAACTTACATAAGGAGCAATAAATGACGTGAATGGATCCATATATACTAAAGAAATGGAACCAAAAGTTAATAATCTTCAAAAATAAAAAGCATCATGCACAGATGGGCTCTAGGGTGAATTCTACTAAACATTTGAGAATGAAATACCAATTCTCTACAATCTCTTCCAGAAAACAGAAGCAAAAGGAACACTTACTAATTCACGTGATGAAGCCAGCATTATCCTAATACCAAAACCAGAAAAATGTACTAGAAGAAAGGAAAACGACAAACATATCTCTCATGAGCATAGATGCAAAACT
Source organism: Homo sapiens (assembly GCF_000001405.40). NCBI lineage: Eukaryota > Metazoa > Chordata > Mammalia > Primates > Hominidae > Homo > Homo sapiens. Next base: position 30,978,252 of record NC_000014.9, read on the forward strand.
CCTTAACAAAATATTAGCAAACTGAATCCAACAAAGTAGGATTTATTCCAGGCATACTAGACTGATTCAACATTCAAAACTGTGTTAATATAACGCATCATTAATTGGTTAAACAAGCTGAAGAAGAAATATCAATAGATACAGAAAAGAACAAAATCTTATACCCATTCATGACAAAAACTCTCAATAAACAGGAATAAGGGGAACACCCTCAACTTAATAAAGGATATCTATGAAAAACGTACAGCTAAATATCATATTTAATTATGAAAAAGTAGATGCTTTTCCCCCTAAGACTGGGAAGAAGGCAAGGATCTCCTCTTTCATCACTCCTATTCAACATCATACTCAAAGTCCTAGCTAATGCAAGAGATGAGAAAAGAAGAGGTATACAGATTGAGAAGGTAGGAATAGAACTGTTTGCGGATGACCTGACTGCCTATGTTAAAAATCCTAAAACATCAATAAAAAGAACCCTGGATCAAAGAAGCAATTATAAAGCTAGGTGCGGTGGCTAACGCTTGTAAGCCCAGAACTTTGAGAGGCCAGGGCAGGCAGATCACTTGAGCTCAGGAGTTTGAGACCAGCCTGGCCAACATGGTGAAACCCTGTCTCTACTAAAAAATACAAAAGTTAGCTGGGCATGGTGGCACACGCCTGTAGTCCCAGCTACTCAGGAGGCTGAGGCAGGAGAATCGTTTGAACCCATGATGCAGAGGTTGAAGTGGGCCGAGATCATGCCACTGCACTCCAGCCTGGGCAACAGTGTGAGACTCCATCTCAAAAAAAAAAAAAAAAAAAAAAAAAAAGGCAATTACAGCAAGGTTGCAGCAAACAAGATTAATAAACAAAAGTCTGTTACTTTCCTATGCAATAGTAATAAACATTTAGATTTTGAAAGTCAAAACATAGTACCATTTACCTTAGCACCAAAAACCTTAAGCATAAAGCTAACAAAACATGCACAGGAAGAAAACTACAAAAAACTCTGATGAGAGATATCAAAGAAAATCTAAATAAAAGGAAACATTTAAAAAGTATATTTTTATTGTGAAGATAAGGTCAAAGACCTAGGCCCAAAGAAAAAGGTTTTGCAACGGACTGTGTAGTTGCTTCAATAAAATAGGTACCAAAAATTTTGTTTTTATGTGCCCAACTCAACAAATTTTGTTTTTAATTACTTGATCTGAAGTGTACTTCAGGCAAAAATTAATTTTTATAAACTTGTTTCCATATACAATTTCAGTTGATAATTTAGGGTAACAAATATTACTACTGATTTTCAGGATAGCTTTTCTTCCTTTGAATACAGGAAAAGGTGTTCGTTGATTTGCGACATTTTATTTTTATTTATTTATTTATTTTTGAGATAGAGTCTCGCTCTGTCGCCCAGGCTGGAGTGCAGTGGCACCATCTCGGCTCACTGAAACCTCCGCCTCCTGGGTTCAAGCAATTCTCCTGCCTCAGCCTCCTGAGTAGCTGGGACTACAGGTGCACACCACCACACCCGGCTAATTTTTGTATTTTTAGTATAGATGGCGTTTCACCATGTTGGCCAGGATGGTCTTGAACTCCTGACCTCAGGTAATCTGCCCGCCTTGGCTTCCCAAAGTGCTGGGATTACAGAAGTGAGCCACCATGCCTGGCGGGACATTTTATATATCATCTGAATTTATTCAACAATCAGCATGTGAATGCACATAAGAATTATTTCAGGCCAGGTGCGGTGGCTCACGCCTGTAATCCCAACCACCTTGGGAGGCCAAGGTGGGCGGATCACGAGGTCAGGGGTTCTAGACCATCCTGGCCAACATGGTGAAATCACATCTCTACTAAAAATACAAAAATTAGCCAGACATAGTGTGTGCCTATAATCCCAGCTACTCGGGAGGCTGAGGCAGGAGAACTGCTTGAGCCCAAGAGGCGGAGGCTGCAGTCAGCTGAGATTGTACCATTGCACTACAGCTGGGATGACAGAGCAAGACTCTGTATGGGGGCGGGGAGAATTATTTGATATTTGTTGATACTTGACAGCAGATAATTTTTTAACTGCAAGACCACTAGAGGTCACCAGCGTAAAACTTTCAACTTTGATTCTGCTGGTAGTGAACTAAAAAGTTCAACTACTATTCTGCAATGTTTCTTTGTTTCTTTTTTTTTCTTTTTTTTGTTTTGAGATGGAGTGTTGCTCTGTCACCCAGGCTGGAGTGCAGTGGCACAATCTCAGCTCACTGCAACCTCTGCCTCCCGGGTTCAAGCTGTTTTCCTGCCTCAGCCTCCCGAGTTGCTGGGATTACAGGCACCCGCCACCACGCCCAGCTAATCTTTGTATTTTTAGTAGAGACGGGGTTTCACCATATTGGCTGGGCTCAAACTCCTGACCTTGTGATCTGCCCACCTCGGCCTCCCAAAGTGCTGGGATAACAGGCGTGACCCACCGCACCCGGCCCTATTTTGCGATGTTTCTTAAAAAACAGTATCTTGCTTTGACAAATAACTTCACAAAATTTGTTCTATTGCAAGAGTTTTCTTTAAAAAAATTTTTTTAACTAAAAGCAAACACTAGATATAGGTGAGTTTTGTTGTATTTAATGATTTTAAGACATTCTTTAGCACTTACTAAAGAAACTGCAACACCACTCAGAAGCAAACATCCAAGGAATTAAAAAAAAAACTTAAATATTTTAGCTTTGGAAGCAACATACAGGCGAATTCAGGTTAGAGCAACTAATAATAAATCCATAACACCACTACTCAAAAACAGTAGGTTTTCTGTCCAGGCATGGTGCCTCATGCCTGTAATCCCAACACTCTGAGAGGCCCAGGCAGGAGGATCACCTGAAGCCAGCCAGGCGTTCAAGACCAGCCTGGACAACAAAGCAAGATCTTGTCTCTACAAAAAAAAGTTTAAAAATTAACCAGGCATGACGGTGTGCACCTGTAATCCCAGCTACTTGAGAGGCTGAGGTGGGAGGACCACTGGAGCCCAGGAGTTGGAGACCGAGGGAACTATGACTGCACCACTGCACTCCAGCCTGGGCAACAGAACAAGACCCCATCTCTCAAAATAAATTAAAATAACACAGTAGGTTAAGAAATGTTGGCACCCACACCTGTTAATGGTCAACTAAAATTATTCATGTGTATTCAAAGTACTTAAATATTTGGGGCTAGAGGCAAGGTTCAAATGTAAAATAATTTTAAGATTAAAGAGTCAGCAAACCATTGACATTTTACATAAAGCAAAAAATACAAAATAAAAACCATATCACACAAGAGTTTCAAAACCTAGCTAATTATGAGAATCACAAGGTAGCTTAGAATTCACACACACACACACACACACACACACACACCCCATAATTCAGTGTGCTAAAGCAGGGCACAAAAACCTTTGTATGATCATCTAATAACAGAAACAGTCCAGTCCCCGACCTACCCAGTACCTGCTCAATTTCTGTCTTTTCAAAGAGGATGGATAAACAAAAAACTTGCTTGCAAGAGCTTATAAAATTTTTCATGAAAATAACGTTTTCCAATTTTATTGATAAAAGAATTCCAGGCTGGGTGCGGTGGCTCACGCCTGAAATCCTAGCACTTTCGGAGGCCAAGGTAGATGGATCACTTGCAGTCAGGAGTTCGAGACCAGCCTGGCCAACATGGTGAAACCCCATCTCTACTAAAAATACAAAAATTAGCCCAGGCATGATGGCGTGTGCCTGTAATCCCAGCTACTTGGGAGGCTGAGGCAGGGGAACTGCTTGAACCCGGGAGGCAGGGAGGTTGCAGTGAGCCAAGATTGTGCCACTGCACTCCAGCCTGGGTGAGGAGCAAGACTCTGTCTCACAAAAAAAAAAAAAAAAAAAAGAATTCCAAGGGGAAAAAAAAAGACTAAACAGTAATTAGGATGTCCAAAAGCAAATAAAACTTATCTCTTCTACTTATAATAGATCCTAAAATAAGGTTTAATGAATTATAAAAAATACCACCACCATCCTCAAAGATCTCAATGACATTTTACATGGCAACAGGTGGTTTAAAGCATAATAGAGATACTCAATTTTTATTTATTTTTAGACAGAGTCTCACTCTGTTGCCTAAGCTGGAGCACAGTGGCGCAATCTCAGCTTACTGCAACCTCCGCATCCCGGGTTCAAGCAATTCTCCTGCCTCAGCCTCCCAAGTAGCTGGGACTACAGGCACACACCACCACTCCCGGCTAATTTTTTTGTATTTTTAGTAGAAACAGGGTTTCATGATGTTGGCAAGGCTGGTGCCGAACTCTTGGCCTCAAGTGATCTGCCCGTCTCGGCATCCCGAAGTGGTGGGATTACAGGCGTCAGCCACTGTGTCTGGCCAATAGATAATTTTTAACTGGTAACTGTATTCCAATAATTTCACATTCACGTGGTATTTGCAAGCATTAAGCCACAGATAAGCCCCTTTTCCATAAAAAGAGGAAGTTTACCCCCTTGAGGTAGGAAACTATGAGCTATTTTAATGGTACTTTATTTTTTTACTTTTTTTAATTTTAGATACAGTCTCGTTATGTTGCCCAGATGGAGTGCAGTGGTGCCGATCATAGTACCTGTTGGGTACTGTGCTTATTGCCTGGGTGATGAGATCATTGGGACCCCAAGCCTCAGCATCACACAATTTACCCATGTAATAATAAACCTACACATGTACCCTTTAATCTATAATAAAAGTTAAAACTTAAAAACTAAAAATAAATTAGAAAAATGCTACCAAAATGCTCCATAAAATTAGAAATTTTTTGTCTTTTGTTCACTGATATATTCTTACTATCCAGAACACTGTCTGGCATATGTAAAGACTCAATAAATATTTGGCAAATTTTTGTTGCTGAATAAATGAAGTCATAAAGTTCTTGGTTTTCTCAACTGTAAAATATGGAAATGACCATATGTGTGCAATCTCTTATAATACCTCAAGCTTGGAAGAACTTACTTCATCTACAAAAAATGAAATTACCTTAACATAAGGCAGGCCGGGTGCAGTGGCTCATGCCTGTTATCCCAGCACTTTGGGAGGCTGAGGTGGGAGGATCGCCTGAGGTCAGGAGTTCAAGACCAGTCTGGCCAAAATGGAGAAACCCCGTCTCTACTAAAAATACAAAAAAATTAGCCGCGTGTGGTGGCGTATGCCTGTAATCCCAGCTACTCCGGAGGCTGAGACGGGGGAATCGCTTGAACCAGGGAGGTGGAGGTTGCAGTGAGCCGAGATCGTGCCACTGCACTCTAGCCTAGGCGACAGAGCGAGACTCCGTCTCAAAAATAAATAAATAAAATAAGGCAAAGATGTTTTTTCATGTGTAAAGGGAGAATTCACTTTGATCAAATAAATGTGATTCCTCAGATTTTATTAATCTACTCTACACTAATTCAGTATATTAATGATCAAAATGAAAGAAATATTTAAGAGAGTTAAGAAAGTAAAGATGAATAAGCTGAAAGAATCCTAAATTTAGAAGTCAGGTATTTATACTCATATTTATTACTATAGTACTAAATTCAATAAATGTAGTTATTAAACCTAGAATGTAAAATTTCCAAGAGAAAAAACCTAAACACAGTCTCTATAATACATATCTAACTAACCTTTAAAAAGTAAATGAAGAAAATAATAATATTCTTTGAAAATTCCCTTTAACAGCTCATGTAGACATTACTTATCAATTAAGTTTCTGCAAAATACAGTGTCTGAGAGGCAGGTACTAGGTTGCGTCTAGGAAGGGAAGGAGAGTGGGGATGGTGGCAGCAACAACAACAAAAAGGATGTCTGATTTGGCCCACAGACACTGATATTGCAAGATATCTTGGATAGCTCTGTGAAATTCCATGGCATCTTCCCCGCCCCCCCCAACCCCCCCCCACACACAAAGGCCTATAAAAAGGTTTAAATGTATTTCTTTTCATGAAAAAGTCTTGATAATTAAAATGTACTATGAAGGAAAAATGAAGCAGGCAAAGAAAGAAAAGGATGAGGAATTCTAAAAAAAAAAAAAAAAAAAAAAAAAACAGAAAAGAATTAAAACTACGCTGTTGCATGAACCCAAGAGGCAGAGACTGCAGTGAGCTGAGATCATGCCACTGCACTCCAGCCTGGGCAACAGAGCGAGACTCCATCTCAAAAAAACTTTGCTGTTAGTTAAGCCACCTAATTTTGAGAAGGATGGCTTTTAAATATCTAGGGAAAAAATTATTCACATTACTTAGTACTAGCTCATTAAAACCACTCATAAGGATAGCAACTATAGCACTTTGGGAGGCTGAGGTGCGCAGATCACGAGGTCAAGAGATCGAGAACATCCTGGCCAACAGGATGAAACCTCGTATCCACCAAAAATACAAAAATTAGCTGGGCGTGGTGGCAGGCACCTGTAGTCCCAGCTACTCAGGAGGCTGAGGCAGGAGAATCACTTGAAATGGGGAGGCGGAGGTTGCAGTGAGCCAAGATTGCACCACTGCACTCCACTCCAGCCTGGCGACAAAGCAAGACTCCGTCTCAGAAAATTTAAATAAAAAATAAAAAGTATGGCAACTATAGAGTACACTGCTCCCACAATTTTGACATTCAGAACTCTAACAGCTTAATTTGTTATACCCCTTTAGAAGTAATACATACTTAATGATTTGAATAGATGAGGATTAGGCATTTAGAAATTCCTAGGATCTTTCTTTTTATGAAGTATCCTAAGCTTTAAAAAAGTTAGATGTAATTGCGGAATACTTTTTTTTAATAACAAAAATATTTTATCTTGGCCGGACGCGGTGGTTCACACCTGTAATCCCAGCACTTTGGGAGGCCGAGGTAGGTGGATCACCTGAGGTCAGGAGTTCAAGACCAGCCTGGCCAATATGACGAAACCCCATTTCTACTAAAAATACAAAAAATTACAGCCGGGTGCCTGTAATCCCAACTACTCGGGAGGCTGAGGTAGGAGAATCGCTTGAACCTAGGAGGCAGAGGTTGCAGTGAGCCACGATGGCACCATTGCACTCCAGCCTGGGCAACAAGAGTAAAACTCCGCCAAAAAAAAAAAAATAGGCCAGGCGCGGTGGCTCACACCTGTAATCCCAGCACTTTTGGGGGCCGAGGCAGGTGGATGACCTGAGGTCGGGAGTTCGAGACCAACCTGGCCAACATCATGAAACCCCGTCTCTACTAAAAATACAAAAAGTAGCCAGGCATGGTGGCGCATGCCTGTAGTTCCAGCTACTTGGGAGGCTGAGGCAGGAGAACCACTTCAATCTGGTGGGCAGAGGTTGCAGTGAGCCAAGATCACGCATTGTACTCCAGCCTGGGCAACGAGAGCGAAACTCCATCTCAAAAAAAAAAATTGATCTTTGGTAGTCTAAACAGTTTCATAAACATCTCTTATATGGGAAAATATACCATTAAGAAGAAACTTTAAGATCTTCACATAAATATGTATAAATGATGATCCATGTTTGACTTATGTTTATAGTTTTATCATAAGAAATATATCTTTTGCTAACGTTTACACTTACATCTTTTGCTAATGTTTGCACACGTATCTTTTGCTAATATCTTAGGCTCACATTAATATCCTTTTCCATTTTTTTCTGTCCAAAAACTACCTGTTCAGAACAAGACCTAGCTCAACATCTATTTTTATTAAGTCTCCCACACACCCCCCTCAGCTCTCTTTTCATTCTCAATCATAAGCACTTGTGTGCATGCGCTTTCTCTCTCTCTCTCTCAGGAATTTTCAGCCTTAACCACAAGATGGGAAACCTAGGGAAGGAGAGAATGATCTTTCTATTAAAGAGAAATGATCTATTAAAAAAAGAATGAGAATGATCTTTCTATGAAAGGAGTGAAGGTATAAAAGTTCCCTCTTCATTTACCTTCCATTTGGAAAACATGTATAAGGCTTCACTGCATGGATGCGTGTGAGGGACAGGTATGCTTCTAAAATGCTGAGAACAACCAAAGCAGATCCAAAGCGAAAAAGAAAAAAACACTGGCCTCCTGAAGTGTTCTAAGATTAAAAGAAAATTAAGAGAAATACGTATTTTTATTTACATTATCTAGCTCGGTCAACCGTTTAGAAAACATAGAAAGGGACAGTCCATGTTTTACTTAGAAATGTGTGCTTGGCTGAAATGCCTTCAAGAACTCAAGCATTTCTCAAGAATGTGATTATTACAGTAGTAGCTAGATAGTAGCCAGAAAGGACATATTTGCAAATAAGACAAGTACCTAACCTAAAAGGTAATAAACCTTTTAGCTACTAACACTATTCCTATATTTCTTTTACTTTCCATACTATGCAGAAAACAAGTTCCTTGAAAACACAGGCCACATCATTTTATCCTACTATAGTGCTACCCTAGCATCATGCAAATTACATTTTCCATCCTGCATAATGCAGGTGCCAGCTAATACTTATTGAATAAGTTAATGTTTCCCCAAGTCTTGGAAATAAATAGAAAAAAGTACAATTCATTTTGGCTCACACCTACTTTAGTGTAATGTAGTGCCACTCTTAAACAGAAGATATCAACTATTTTTTTCAGTAATGAAACTGTTAAAGGAAGGAAAGAAAAATCAATGGTGAATTTCATCTCTCACACATACTACATATTTAATTTACTCTTTATAGTCTTTCTCAAATCCACAAAGCAAAAAGTTCATTTTTTTATATTTTGGTATCTCCATTTATTTCACTGTATGGAAGGATAATCAAAAAAAATACTCAAGCTCTAATTACCAACAAAATTTTGTTTCTTAATTTCAGTGTTTGCATAAACTTACCCTCTTTATGGTACAAGAAGGCATACAGTCCTTTAAACACACTTACTAGTACAGGCTGTACACTGTGATAGACTCTGAGGATATAAAGAACAGTAAAACTCCAAAGAAAGGGCAAGAGTAACGTAGAGGCATGGCAGCCGGAAAAAGAAAATATAAAATACAATTTAAGGGCCAGGCGCAGTGGCTCACGCCTGTAATCCCAGCACTTTGGGAGGCCGAGGCAGGCGGATCACAGGGTCAGGAGATCGAGACTATCCTGGCTAACATGGTGAAACCCCATCTCTACTAAAAATACAAAAAATTAGCTGGGCGTGGTGGCAGGCGCCTGTAGTCCCAGCTACTCAGGAGGCTGAGGCAGGAGAATGGCGTGAACCCAGGAGGCAGAGCTTGCAGTGAGCTGAGATCGCGCCACTGCACTTCAGCCTGGGTGACAGAGCGAGACTCCATCTCAAAAAAATAAAAAATAAAAAAAAACATAAAATAAAATTTAAGCTGAGGCTAGAGAAATACGTCACAACCAGGCCATGTAGGACCTTGAGGTTCATATTAGAAATTTGGAGGAGCCATGGTAGCTTAAAAAGTAAAACAATAAAATAATCAATATTTGCATTCCAGAAAGATTATTCTGACTACTCGCTGTGATTCTGCCCACAATATTTTCTTACATTCAATCAGTTGAATATAATTTTTTTTTTTTTTGAGACAGACTCTCGTTCTGTTGCCCAGGCTGGAGTGCAGTGGCGCGCGGTCTTGGTACTGCAACCTCTGCCTCCCGGGTTCAAGCAATTCTCCTGCCTCAGCCTCCCAAGTAGCTGGGATTACAGGTGTGTGCCACCATGCCCAGCTAATTTTTGTATTTTTAGTAGAGACGGGGTTTCACCATGTTGGTCAGGCTGGTCTTGAACTCCTGACCTTGTGAATCGCCCGCCTAGGCCTCCCAACGTGCTGGGACTACAGGCGTAAGCCACCGCGTCCAGCTGTTTTTCTCACTTCTTGCAGTGCTTTCTTCCAAATGTCTTGTATATTAAAGCAAGTTTTACATTCCTTCACTGGACTGTGAGCCCTGAACAGAAGCCAAGTCTTCCATTATTCCAAACATTCAATAAATGTTTATTATACTGAACAAGACTAACACTGATTTGACATATTAAAAAACAATGTCCAAGATGCTCAGCTAGGTCCTGTGACACGAGCAGCACTTTGGCCTCATAAGCAAATCCTAAAAGGTATTATCAACCAAACTCTGACCCTTATACTCAAACTAAAATTAATAAACAAAAAGCTGTTCCAGGTATTAACTTTTCTAAGCTTATCTCTTTATGCCCCTTTCTGCTAGCACCACAACCTATTTTTATTTGTTATTTACCTTTCTTAATTTTACCAAATATATTTACTCAACGAACATATACAATACAAAGTAGAAATCTGCTGAGCCCAACTACAACAAAATTAAAGCATATCAATGAATGGAGATGAAACAGCAAAACTTGGTTGGAATGCAAATTTATTCCTTAAAATCTGAACATTTAAAAAGAGAAAGAGAATAATTAATAAAGAAAATGAAGTCATGGTACAATTATAAAGCAGGTCCTCTCACTTTTCTCTGACAAAGTTTTGAATGACTCATCTACTGTCCTAACAGGCTATTTTCAAGGTTCTCTCCATTCTACCATTATCCTACATTTTCAAGCTTATTTTTCATCATTCCTCTGTACTCTACCACAAGTGAAACATGCAACATTCCTCAAAAAAGACCTTGCACTTTACAGCCATCCAACTTTTGTTCACACTATTTATACCACAGGAAGTGAATATTCCAGCTCTATAATCTCCACTTCCAATAATGAATTATAATTATTTTACAAATTAGGCAACTAAGCCACCCCCTCTGGAAGTAAAGTGTCTTGCTCACGGACACTGTCTTGGCTAGTAAGATAGAAGAATCAGGACAGTAGATCTCAAGTCTACTGGCTTCCCAGGGTCCAATGCCTTCACTACCCCAGGTAGATTCTTAACCTTCAAAAATAAAAAGACTCATATGAAAAGGAATTTGAATCATCCACAGAAAGTAGTCTGGTCAAGTTCAAGATAAAGAGAGGGGTCAGTTACCTTATTCTTTGGCCCACTAAGCAATCACTTAAAGACCCCTGTTCTAGTAACCTGCCCAGCCTGGACCCTGCCACAAACAGATTCTGACTACCTTCTTCACCGTGAACTTCCTCTATCTTCACAGCAATGGCACCCATACCTGGAAGAGATGGCTTGCTGTTATATACCTAGGCCTGACTTCAAAAGCCTTCCTCTTCATGGCAGCCCAATGATATAGTGACTATTTCTCCAAAGGTAGTAGATTGGGAGGTAGCGAGACAGCAGCAACAAAACAGTCATTTAAACACAGGATTTTTATTTATTTATTTATTTTGAGATGGAGTCTGGCTCTGTCGCCCAGGCTGGAGTGCAGTGGCGCAATCTCAACTCACTGCAAGCTCCACCTCCCAGATTCACGCCATTCTCCTGCCTCAGCCTCCCGAGTAGCTGGGACTACAGGTGCCCGCCACCTCGCCTGGCTAATTTTTTTGTATTTTTAGAGATGGGGTTTCACTGTGTTAGCCAGGATGGTCTCTATCTCCTGACCTCGTGATCCATCCGCCTCAGCCTCCCAAAGTGCTGGGATTACAGGCGTGAGCCACCGCGCCCGGACAAAACACAGGATTTATAGCCAGACGGTAGGAGATTCCAATGCATAATTCCAACCCTAACACATACTAACTCATGTGACCCTGGGCAAATTAATTACCTCAGTTTCCATATCTATGAAATGGGATGATTAATATGAATTGTCTGTCATCAGTTATTGAAAGACTCACAATGGTGACAATGAAGACTAAATCAAAAAAATGGAAGGCTCAGATACTTTAAGAGCATGTGTGTCATTTCAATTCAGAAATGTGGAATGGGACAGAACAAGAGGCTATAAACTCAGGAAAGAGGGACTCCTATACACATTTCCTGAAAAAATCCCTGGGCCTAATGACTCAAGGAGTTAAAGAGAAGTAACAGTAAACCAGAGTGGCAAGAGTGTTCTAGCAGTCTTCTGAGGGCACTATGACTTTTTTTTTTTTTTGAGATGGAGTATCACTCTGTTACCCAGGCTGGAGTACAGTGGCGCAATCTCGGCTCACTGCAAGCTCTGCCTCTCGGGTTCATGCCATTCTCCTGCCTCAGCCTCCCAAGTAGCTGGGACTATAGGTGCCCGCCACCAGCACACCCGGCTAATTTTTTTTTGCATTTTTAGTAGAGACGGGGTTTCACCGTATTAGCCAGGATGGTCTCGATCTCCTGATCTCATGATCCGCCCGCCTCAGACTCCCAAAGTGCTGGGATTACAGGCCTGAGCCACCGCGCCCGGCCAAAGGGCACTATGACTTTTAAGAGATGGCATGTACTTGATATGCAAAAGGGGAGACAGGTTCCTTAACTTATAATGAAGACCACAGAATTTAGGGTGTATATGAGTGCCAAAAAATGTGACCATGACTTGTCTCCCTAAAGCTGACACAGCACAGATTTCATCTGTTAAAATACAGTTGGCCCTCACTATCTGTGAGGGAGCGGTTTCAGGACCCTCCTAGGATACCAAAACGCAGAGATGCTCAAGCCCTTTATATAAAATGGTGTAGTATTTGCATATAACCTATGCATATCCTCCCATATACTTTAAATTATCTCTTGATTACTTTAAATACCTAATACAATGTAGGTGCATGTAAATAGTTGTTATATTATACTGTTTAGGGAATAATGACAAAGAAAAAAGTCTGTACATGTGCAGTACAGATGCAACAGTCCTTTCTTTTCCTTGAATATTTATGATTCACAGCTGGTTGAACTCAAGGATGTGGAACCCACAGATACAGAGGGGCAGCTGTACCAGAAAAGGAAGGAATTAAGACATAGCATTAACATCATCACAGCTTACTCTTGACTAATATGAGAAAGAGAAGATACAGTCTAATCATTAGCTGCTTCAGAAACAGGCCAGCAGTATTTCTAGGTTTTATTTTCAGCTTGGTTTTGACCAGGTATGATCATACCATTTGGTTTGAAGTTCCTACTATTAAGAGGTCATGTGGAGTAGGGCAAGGTATGAGGTAACCTATTTCTCCTCCATTAGATTTGAAGTTACCTGAATAAAAGAACTTATGTTCAACTCTGTATCACACAGAGTTCCTTCAACCTATGAGAAACACAAATTTGTTGAAATAATATGAGTACTAGTATTCATTCTTTCATTCTGGGGTACAATCATACATAGGGCAATACAATCCCTACCCTCACAGAGATTACAGCCTACTGTTAAAGATAAAGTAAATAGGACAGGCATCTGTAATGCAGGTTAATAAATATTATAATAATGGAAGTTCATCACATAGGAGGAATACCTCATTTACACTTGCAGGCTCAAAAATGTTTTCCCAGAGGAAATGATAGCTAAGCTTTGACCTGAAGAGAACTCAGATCAAATGGGAGAGGAAGTGTTCTAAGCAGAGGAAACAGTATGTGTGAAGGGCTGGAGAAGATACACTAACTTTACCAGAGTTTAGGGAAATAAAGAATGGCTGGAACTTTATTTTGAGTGTGTGTTTGGGGGTGAGGGTGAGAGGAAGAGGGTAGAGGAGAGGAGGAGGAAGAGACGGAACATAAAACCGAAAGGTTAGAAGAAGCCATATTATAAAAGACCTTATCAGAAAATGTCATTAAAGGTTGGGAGCAGTGGTTCACCTGTAATCCCAGTACTTGGGGAGGCATGCTTGTGGCCAGGAGTCCAAGACCAGCCTAGTCAACATAGCAAGACCCCTTCTCTATTCTTTAAAAAAAAAAAAAAGTAAAAACAAATAAATAAAACATCATTAAAAAGTTTTATTTGAATATATCAGTCCATACGACTATTAAAAATGTTTTTGACAATTCTTTTTGGACATTCTCAAACACAACAGTAGAGATAATAGTATATGGAAAACTCAACAACAACAACAACAACACAAAAAAAGCAATTTTAAAAAGGCAAAGGGGCCGGGTGCAGTGGCTCATGCCTGTAATCCCAGCACTTTCGGAGGCTGAGGCGGGCGGATCACCTGAGGCTCAGGAGTTCAAGAACAGCCTGGCCAACATGGCAAAACCCCATCTCTACTAAAAATACAAAAATTAGCTGGGCATGGTGGCGGGCGCCTATAATCCCAGCTACTCGGGAGACCTGAGAATCGCTTGAATCCAGGAGGCAGAGGTTGCAGTGAACCAAGATTGTGCCAACTGCACTCCAGCCTGGAGACAGAGCAAGACTCTGTCTCAAAAAAAAAAAAGAAAAGGAAAGAAAAGAAAAAGAAGTAAGTGTCTTGCTGTTGCCCAGGCTGGTCTCAAACTTCTAGGATCAACTGATCCACCAGCCTCAGCCTCCAAAAGTTCTGGGATTACAAGAGTGAGCGCCACAGTGCCCGGCCCCTGTCTCTTTAAAAAAAAAAAAAAAAAAAAAAAAAAGATGGGGTCGGGGGAAGCTAACGAAATGTGAAATACCTTTTCAAGAGTATAAAGACTAAATAAAACTGCTACTGGTGCTCAGCTCAATTCATCGTATTTTTATATGCGTCTATATTCCCCCATTAAAGAGTGAGTAAACTGGCCAGGTACAGTGGCTCACACCTGTAATCCCAGCACTTTGGGAGGCCAAGGCGGTAAGATTGTTTGAGCCCAAAAGTTCGAGAGCAGCCTGGGCAACAGCCAGACCCTTATTTCTAAAAACAAACAAACAAAATAGTGGGGAGGACAGGGTCTTACTATGTTGCCTAGGCTGGTCTCAAACTACTGGGCTCAAGTGATCCTCCCAACTTCAGCCTTCTGAGTAGCTAGGACATAGGTGGGTGTGCCATTGTTCCCAGCTAGATATTTCACTAATCATAATTTATAATCTTAATAAGACATCATTTGTCAACATAATCATTCTTCTACTTCAAGACCAGCCTGGGCAACATAGTGGGACCCCAACTCTACAAAAAATAAACTAGCCAGGTAGGCTGGCATGTGCCTATAGTCCCAGCTATTATACTTGGCAGGTTGATGCAGGAGCCTGGGAGGTTGAGGTTGCAGTGAGCTATGATCCCACCACTCCCTTACAGCCTGGGTGACAAAGTGAGACACTGTCTCAAAAAAAAAAAAAAAACCCACAAACTGAGTAAACTACAGGTAGTGCCTGACTTCAGTAAGTACTGGATTTACCAAGCAGCTCTTAGTAGGGAGAACATGACTATTTCATCATGAATACCTATATCACACTGAAGAGTAATTGGCAAAAATGTGAACATACAAAACAAATAGATTAGGAATTTTCTTCCTAAGATTCACTATTGACTATTTGCAGTTAAACACATTCAAATGACTTAAATATAACATGAGAAATGGAGTGAATCTTTGAAGACTGAAATTGTCAGAACTTCCTTGTAGTAGCCTATGGCATCAGATGCTTTATTCAAAAGAAATTTATTATTATTATAATTTAAAATATTCTTTTACATACTCCTTTGCTGCCTATATACATGTAAAATATGACTAACACATTCATTGTAACTTTCATATACTTCTATTTTTTGAGACACAGTCTCACTCTTGTCGCCCAGGCTGGAGTGCAATAGTGCGATCTCGGCTCACTGCAACCTCGGCCTCGCAGGTTCAAGCAATTCTCCTGCCTTAGCCTCCTGAGTAGCTTGGATTACAGGCACCCGCCACCACACCCAGCTAATTTTTGTGTTTTTAGTAGAGATGGGGTTTCTTTCTTTTTTTTTTTTAAGATGGAATTTCACTCTTGTTGCCCAGGCTGGAGTACAATGGCACACAATCTCGGCTCACGGCAAGCTCCACCTCTCGGGATCAAGCGATTCTCCTGCCTCAGCCTCCCAAGTAGCTGGGAATACGGGCATGTGCCACCACACCCAGCTAATTTTGTATTTTTAGTAGAGATGGGGTTTCCCATGTTGGTCAGACTGGTCTTGAACTCCTGACCTCAGGTGATCCGCCCGCCTCGGCCTCCCAAAGTGCTGGGATTACAGGTATGAGCCACCAGGCCTGGCGAGACGGGGTTTCAATATGTTGGCCAGGATGGTCTTGAACTCCTGACTTCAGGTGATTTGCCTGCCTCAGCCTCCCAAAGTTCTAGGATTACAGGCATGAGCCACGGCCACCCAGCCCAATTTTCATATACTTTAGATATCTTCAGGTGGTCTAACATCAATTTCTTTAAAATCGTTTAGAACTCTGGAGATAGAGACTATCAACTTGAGTTATACACAGACTTTTTAAAAAGGTGAAATGTTCCTGTAGTTTCTAATATTACATAAATTATTTCTCCTTTAAGGTTATTTAAATCTATCCAAACATAAACCTAGAAATAAACTGTATGCATAGGGATCTTATATAAACACAAAACCAAATAAACTAAAAACATAAAACCAAATAAACTAAAAACTAAATATAAAACAATATAAACACAAAACCAAATAAACTAAAAACTAAATATAAAACTTCCAAACAAATTTAAATTTAACAAGTTACACTTTAAAAAAACAGGTGATGTGGTTTTGCTGAATTTAAATCTCTGCTCACAACATGAAAATGTACCAACTGCACCACAAGATATCTTTTAAGTTTGGAATGACTGGACTACTGAGTGCCTCATAATAAGACATGCACTTTTTCTTAGTTTCAATTATGCGACATTAATGCCACATATTACAAAATAATTTGGTCATTTAACTCAAAACCATCTTATTAAGAACATCTCTATTCTTTTCCTTAATATTAGTCCCCAACAACCAAAACAGTATTTACTTGGCATCACTAAAAACATAAACACAAATGCAAATTTTGACCCCAGGGTCAAGTGACAGTTATGAGTCAAATGATCTAGAATATGTTTAAGATAAAATACTAAATGTTTAAGTGCCAGAGCACTTTCAGATCTCACTTGAAAATACCGTGTTCATTGTATGATCCTGCCAGCAAATAAATAATGAAGTTTCCATTACCTGATAACCCACAGTCATCAGGAAAACGTTTCCAAAGCTGTGAATCATCTTCCACGAAAGTTAAAAATAAATCAGATTCATCTGTCCAAAATGACATAACTCCAAAAGTTAACTTTACAATTCTTGTTGTTACTGAAGCATCTGCATATTGTTTAACAAAGTTCCTGGGAGCAGCAAGATGGCTATAAAGGCCACAAAAGAAAAAAAAAACAAAAGAACTCCCTTCTTATAAATTATTATAAAGGACACTAGCCTGGGAGTTTAGAGACTTACATTCTAATCCTTCCTTGTCACTAATAGCTTCATAACCCTCTCTCTTGTTCTTAGCTTCCTCATTTGTCAAATGAGAGGAATGAATTAGCTGCCTTTTGAATATCTGCTAGCTATAAATTTCAATCCTTCTGATTAGGATTTCAGGACTCTATGATGATATTTCTAGTACTAAAATGGTTAACTCATAATTTACACAAATTAAAACCAAAACAGCTCAGTTTTTCCAAAACACCTTAGGAAGAGTTGCCCATCTTATTATCAGTAAAAACATACCACTACTTGAGAATACTGTATTTTACAGCTTTCTCATGAGAAAAACTAATTCATTAAAAAAGAAAAGTATGACAATTTTTAAAAATAAAAGTAAATTTTAATTAGAAAAACTCACACGAGGCTACATGTAGCAGACACTGATGTGCTGCCCCATATCCCCTTTCAGGAATGAAGGATTTATTGTCCAGCTGCTGAGAATGCTGGAAAACAGCCCTCGGCTGTCAATCCTCTTTAGAAATTACCTCCACTAAATTCAGTTGTCCTCCAAAGTGGCCTCCATCCAATGACTGATCAAACCTCTAGCCCTTACGCCCAACTTAGGACAATTCTGAGGGCTATCCCAGCTGCAGAGTTCCACATTGGGTTCAAGTGAGCTTTTTGTTGTAGCCTGTTTATCCCTCAGTTTATTTTCCATTCCTTTCACAGACACTGATTCTGAAATATCTCCCATAACAAACTTCACGCATGCTAACTGCTGCCTCAGCTCCCCCAGGGAACTCAATTTTAAGCCACTGGTGACAGGAATAATGTAAGAAAACAGGCTCTAAAATAAAGCACTGGAGTTGGGTCACCGACCACCTAGTCACCCAGCTGACAATGAGAACCCCATCACTGGTGATGACTAGAAAGGAGCCACTAGCACAAAGTGGCACTGCAAATGTTAAAACTTCCACTGGTGGTAAATTGGGTAGTTTTCCAGTAGAAGGGAATGTAGTAGCTGGCAAACCTTTTCGATAAAGGGTCACACAGTAAATATAATTACTTGGGCTTTGCATCATTTCATAGTCTTTTTTGTTGTTACTGTTTTACGACTCTTTAATAATGGGCCACCACAAAAAAAGGCAGGTCAAGAACTGGGTTTGGCCTGTAAGCCATACTTTGACAACCTCTGCATTAGAAGGTGCAATGTAGGCTAGGTGCACTGGCTCATGCCTGTAATCCTAGCACTTTGGGAGGCCAAGGCGGGTGGATCACGAGGTCAGGAGATCAAGACCATCCTGGCCAACATGGTGAAACCCCATCTCTACTAAAAATACAAAAATTAGCTGGGTGTGGTGGTGTGCACCTGTAGTCCCAGCTACTTGGGAGGCTGAGGCAGGAGAATCGCTTGAACCCAGGAGATGGAGAATGCAGTGAGCCGAGATCGTGCCACTGCACTCAGGGCTGGGTGACAGAGCGAGACTCCATCTCAAAAAAAAAAAAATTGTAATGTATCAGGTATTTGAGAAATATGAGGAAAAGAACAATTACAAGGACCATGAAATTGGATTGTTGTTGTTGTTAAAAGGCAACTGACCCTTTGGAAAACTATTAACAAGAGGCGAAAGTAATAGACAATAAAAAAAAAACCTAAATGTGAAAGCCAGAAGGTTCTTTGGTAGCATAAAAAGACACTCATTTCAAACAGCAGGATGCCACAAAAGGCTAAGGAACAGGATCAGGACCTAATCGTAACAGCAGCAGGGCTCAAAAGAAAGTTAAATTAAATTAAGGCCTGCATGGAAAAAGGAAATAACAGGGACGCTGAAAAATGGGAGGGGGACATGAGCAGATTAACTTAAAAATCTTCAATCCCCAGTGTATTGTATGTAGGCTGCCCCTCCCAGGGACAGCCAATTCTTAGAGACAGCAAGGCCTCAGCAAGGAACCTGCCTTTAATATACAAATGAATTAATCCAGAGCCACACCTCCTCTGTCTGGCCCCTACACCCCAGTAGGCAATATTCCTCTGCCTTAATCATCCTAGGCCAGGTAGCACACAACTAGGAACCAACTCTATAGATTAGAGCCCGCCAAAGTTATTCAAACTAGCCAACCCTAAACTGCAAAGCATCTGTTGTTTTTCCCATGGAAACCCTAATAAAGGCTCTGGCTTAAACCTTCCCCTCCTTCCTGTCTTCAGCCTCCTGACCACCCTGGAGGGCCCTGCATGGCATGTTGTGCCTCCTGTCTATAAAACCTGTGTGTATAACAAACTTTGTTTTCTTGAACTTCTTCGATGTCTCCTCTTATGGTCTCACCTGACTAGAATACAAACACCCAAGATCCCTTGAACCCTCTAAGCTCAGAGTAGGAACCCGTGCATCCTTATTAAGGGTTGCTATTACGAGCCTCCTTGACTTCCAATGACACAGAGAAGGTAATGTCAGCAAAAAAGGCAGAGTGGAGACCTCTGAAAATCTCTCCTTCATAAAAGCAACAAAAACATGGCAAAGTTGTAAAAATCAACTTTTTCAAAACTGTAGAAATAAACCAAAGGATTGTGGCAATCCGGGGAGTGTCCATTAAACAAATATGGCTGAATCTTGGTAGGAGCTACAAATTTTATGGCATTTTAACTTGCTACTCCCATTTCACTCCTTCCCATTTCCACAGTATCCATGAAATCCAATAGCCCACAGTCACTGTAAAAATCAGCAGCCACTGGAGGGGGCAGAACAGCGTTGGAGCCCCTTCAAAGTCCCATCCCTAAACAACTGTCATCTGATATATCTGGTGGTTCTGTGGAAGACTACTAGCAAAGCCATCTTTATTTGACCTGTAATCAAGCTCATCCAGCATAAACAGGTGTCTCCATGGGCACTTTTGGTCAAAAACAATCAGAAACAACTGTCTAATATTGTGGCTGCCTGAGGTATAAGATAATATTTGAGGCAAACAAGAAGCTAACTAAAAAGCTTAAAAAGAAAAGCTGGGAAATGAGATGTATGCAGGGGACTTTGAAAAACTCTGACATATTCCTGAGAACCTAGAAGGCCATACTCATGTAGCACTGTGCACATGCTCAGAAAAGACCAGAGGAGGACCTAAACTCTCACCTCTGACTAACATTAAGGCTTTGCACAGGCAGGAAGAGCTCAAGCAGAGTTGTAAATTCCTGGCTGAATGTTGAAGGCATGCCCCAACACACACATAGAGCCCCCTGGCAAAGACCAGAGGACTTACATGTTTTAGGCATCCAAGGAAATCTCTGCTCATTCAATAGCTTCTCTGCCCATTCACTCAACCACTAAGCTAACTGTGCAGAGACTTCAGTAACCACAGACAACAAAAAATATAGACTTCACAAAACAAACAACAAATAACCCTGGGGGGTGGGTGAATCTGATTTCCAGAGTTTCCACATTATATTAAATGTCTATAGTTTTTTAGTCAGACACAGTGGCACATGCCTGTAGTCTTGGCTACTCAGGAGGCTGAGGCAAGAGGATCTCAAGCCCAGTAGTTCAAATCCAGCCTGGGCAACACAGCAAGACCCAGTACCTAAAAAATAAAAGTTTTCAACAAAAAAATAACTAGGCATGCAGAAAAACAAGTAGGACCTATACACAGAGGAAAAGCAGTCAATATAAACTACTCCTAAGAAAGCCCAGACACTGAACTTTTTAGAATTTTTTAATTTAGAGACAGGGTCTCACTCTGTTGCCCAGGCTGGGTGCCACACTGTAGCCTCGCCCTCCTAGGCTCAACCAATTCTCCCACATCAGCCTCCTGAGGTGCTGGGACTACAGGTGCATGTGCCACCATGCCCGGCTAATTTTTTTATTTTTTGTGGAGATGGGGGGTCTCACTATGTTGCTCAGGTTAGTCTCAAACTCCCAGGTCAAGCGATCCTCCCACCTCGGCCTCCCGAAGTGCTGGGATTACAGGCATGAGCCACCGCACCTAGCCCTAGACTAAGACTTCAAATCATCTATTATAAATATGTTGAAAGAACTAAAGAAAATAATGTCTAAAGAACTAAAGGAAAACATATGAGAATGATATTTTACCAAATAAAGAATGTTAATAAACACACAAAAATTTTAAGAAAGAATCAAACAGAAATTCTGGAATTGGGAAGTACAGAAACTGAAATGAAAAACTCAATAGAAGGGCTCAACAGCAGCTATGAGCAGGCAGAACAATCAACCAACTTGAAGATAGGTCAACTGAGATTAGCCAGTCTGAGAACCAGAAAGAACAAATAATAAGGAAAAATGAACAGAGCCTCAGAAACCTGTGGGACACCATTAAGTATACCAACATATGCATGATGAGAATCAAGGAAGGAAAGAGAAGGACAGAAAAAATAATTGGAGAAATAACAGCCCAAAATTTCCCATGTGATAGAAAACATTACACATCCAAGAGGCTCAACGAATTACAAGATAAACTAAAAGAGATTCACATCAAGATACATCAAATCAAATGATTAAAAGCCAATAAAAATAAGAAAATCTTGAAAACATCAAAGAGAAGCAATTCATCACATACTAAGGATCCTCCCAAAGCAGCTGACTTTTCATCAGAAAACATGGCAGCAGTGGGATATATTCAAAGTGCTGAAAGAAAAGAGATTGTCTATATCCAACAAAACTATCCTTTAAAAATGAAGGAGAAATTAAATTATTCCCATATTAAAACAGAAAAGAACTTCTTGCTAACAGACTTACCCTAAAGAAATACTAAAGGGAGTCTTTCAGGCTAAAATATAAACACACCAGAGAGTAATTCAAATCCACCTAAAAAATAAAGAGTGCTAGTAAAGTTAACTCCATACGTAACTACAAAAGATAGTATAAACGTATTTCTGGGGGGCGGGGGGGAGTCTTTTTTTCTTCCCAATTTAAAAGGCAATCACATTAAGCAATAATTAGACATCTGTGTTGATGGGTATACAATAGAGGGACATAACTTGTAGCACAACAACTGCACAAAGAGAGGAAAGGAAATAAAGCTTTATAGGAACAAAGTTCTTTTATATACTATTATAATTAAAATGGGTATTAATCCTAACTAGGGCAACCAATAGGAAAATAACTCAAAAAGATACAATTCCAAGTCACTGCAAGAATCTTTAAAAAAAAAAAAAAGCAAGATTTTAAATGGTACCCAGGAAAATATATTAGCATAAAAGGCTAGTAATGATGAATGAGAAAAACAAAAAGGTATCTGATCTTCGGTAGTGAGGTTATCTTCCCCAGGGACCCTGTTTAAATAATAATGTTACACGTCAACCCATTCCTTATCAATCTTCTCTGCTTTACTTTCCTCTATATAGCACTTAACACCACCCAACAAACTTTACTTTCTATCCACTAGAATTTAAGCTTCAACAGGGCAATGGCTTTATTTTATTTATAGTGGCTGGCACACAGCAGGGGCTAAATAAACAGCCGATGAAGAAAAAAAAAAACAATAGGTAGAGATAAGCCTTACAAGGACAGAAATGTTTCTCATATTAACAGCAACCTAAGAAAAGGGGATGTGTGTGCACATATACAATCTGTAGACTTGGTAACAATAAAGAACTCCCCACCAGATAGGGTTCTATTGTCTCCGTTAAGTAGGAGTTGTAAAGACATATACTGAGTGAGGCAGAGGGGGTAGGGCTGAAGGTTTACAGAGAGTACCTAGCTGTGTTGGATGCTTCTGTTGAAATTGGTATCTAAGTCAGATTAAAAATCTGGTATGTTTGGCCACTGCAGCCTTAAATGAGCAGGTGATATCATATGAAACTGTCCACCAAAAATTCATATATTCTTAACAACTTAAACAAAAATCAGTGTTTGAATTTTAGAAGAATAAAAAGCAGCAGCCAAATGCAGTGGCTCACTCCTGTAATGCCAGCACTTTGGGAGGCCAAAGTGGGAGGACTGCTTGAAGCCAGGAGTTCAAAATCAGCATGGGCAACACAGCAAGACCATCTCTACAAAAAAATTTAAAAATTTTGCCGGGCATGGTGATGTGCGCCTGCAGTTACAGCTACTCGGGAGGTTAAAGCGGAAGAATCACTTGAGCCCAGAAGATCAAGGTTGTAATGAGCTATGATCCTGCCACTGCTACTGCACTCCAGCCTGGGCAACAGAGTGAGACCCCACCTAAAAAAAAAAAAACTGAATGCCCTGAATTCACATTTTGAGAAAAGCACCACATCAGATAGAAAGCACTAAATTTATCATAGTCAAGTAAAACTCGGTCGTACCAAAAGAATTGGAAGCGGGACCTCAGAGACATTTGTACACGTTATGTTCACAGCAACACTATTCACAATTGCTAAAACTGGAAGCAACTCAAGTCTCCATTAACAGACGAATGGATCTGTTATCTGTTATGAATGGCCCTTGGGAGGCCAAGGCAGGCGGATCACCTGAGGTCAGGAGTTCCAGACCAGCCTGGCCAACCAATATGGCAAAACCCCGTCTCTGCTAAAAACACAAAAATCAGGCCAGGCGTGGTGGCTCATGCCTGTAATCCCAGCACTTTGGGAGGCCAAGGCAGGTGATCACCTGAGGTCGGGAGTTTGAGACCAGCCTGACCAACATGGAGAAACCCCATCTCTACTAAAAATACAAAAAATCAGCCGGGCATGGTGGTGCATGGCTGTAATCCTAGCTACTCGGGAGGCTGAGGCAGGAGAATCGCTTGAACCCGGTGGGCGGAGGTTGCAGTGAGCCGAGATCATGACATTGCACTCCAGCCTGGGCAACAAGAGTGAAATTCCATCTCAAAAAAAAAAAAAAAAAAAAAACAAGGCCAGGCGTGGTGGCTCACACCTGTAATCCCAGCAATTTGGGAGGCTGAGGCAGGCGGATCACAAGGTCAGGATATCGAGACCATCCTGCCTAACATGGTAAAAACCTATTTCTACTAAAAATACAAAAATTAGCTGGGTGTGATGGCACACGCCTGTAATCCCATCTACTCAGGAGGCTAAGGCAGGAGAATTGCTTGAGCCGGGAGGTGGAGGTTGCAGTGAGTCAAGATCGCGCCACTGCACTCCAGCCTGGTCGACAGAGGAAGACTCTGTCTCAAAAAAAAAAAAAAAAAAAAAAATTAGCTGGTCACAGTGGCGGGCGCCTGTAATCCCAGCTACTCAGGAGGCTGAGGTGACAATCACTTGAACCCAGGAAGCTGAGGTTACAGTGAGCCAAGATCACGCCACTGCACTTCAGTCTGGACAACAGGGCAAGACTGCTTCTCAAAAAAGAAAAAAAAAAAAGGAAATTCTGAAACATAGTAGCTAAAATATGGATGAACCTTAAGGACACAATGCTAAGGGAAATAAGGCAGTCACAAAAAGGCATTTGTATGTATGAGTCCACTTATGTAAGGTACCTAGAGTAGTCAAAATAATAGAGACAGAAAGTAGTAGAATGGTGGTTTCCAGGAGCTAGGAGGTGGAGGGAAATGAGTTATTGTTTAATGGGTATAGCTTCAGTTTTGCAAGAAGAAAAGAGTTCTGGAGATGATGGTAGTAAAGGTTGCACAACATAAATGTACTGCCTACCACTGCAATAAACCTTTGAAAATGGTTAAGATGAGGCCGGGCACGGTGGCTCATGCCTGTAATCCCAGCACTTTGGGAGGCCGAGGTGGACGGATCATGAGGTCAGGAGATTGAGACCATCCTGGCCAACATGGTGAAACCCCGTCTCTATCAAAAATACAAAAATCAGCTGGCCGTGGTGGTGGGTGCCTGTAATCCCAGCTACTCGGGAGGCTGAGGCAGGAGAATGGCTTGAACCCAGGAGGCGGAGGTTGCAGTGAGCCAAGACCACGCCACTGCACTCCAGCCTGGTGACACAGCAAGACTCTGTCTCCAAAAAAAAAAAAAAGAAAAGAAAAAGAAAGAGAAAGTGGTTAAGATGGTAAATTTTATGTCATATGTATTTTACAATTTAAAAATTGGAAAAAAAAAAAACAAACAACTCAAGCTGGATCATAGACCTTGCTATGGTTTGGAGTCTGTCCCCTCCAAACCTCATTTGAAATTTGATTTCCAATGCTGGAGGTGGAGCCTAATGATATTTGGGTCATGGAGGGTGGATCCCTCATGAATAGATTAATGCCTTCTATGGAGGTGGCTAGCAAGTGAGTTCTCACTCCATTAGTTCCAGCAAAAGCTGACTGTTGCTCTCTCGCCATGCAATCTCTGTACGCACTGCTTTCTTTTGCCTTCAGCCATGAGTGGAAGCAGACTGAAGCCCTCACCAGATACAGATGCTCGATCTTGAACTTGCCAACCAACAGAATTGAGTCAAATAAAACCTTTTTTCTTTGTAAGTCACCCAGCCTGAAGTGTTCCTTATAGCAACACAAAATAAACTAAGACCTTAATGCAAAACACATCTTTCTTAAAAAAAAAAAAAAAAAAAAACTTGGTAGCAAAGCGAGATTTCTTGTACAGGATACAAAAAGCACTAGTTGGCTAGGAATGGTGGTTCATGCCTATAATCCCAACACTTTGGGAGGCCGACAGAGGCCTCCCAGGCACTTAAGCCCAGGAGTTTAAGACCAGCCTGGACAACAGAGTGAGACCTCATCTCAACAAAGAAGTTTCTGGGTGGGCGCAGTGGCTCACACTTGTAATCTCAGCACTTTGGGAGGCCAAGGCAGGCATATTACTTGAGCCCAAGCATTCGAGACCAGCTTAGGCAGCATGGTGAAACCCCATCTCTACAAAAAATACAAAAAATTAGCCGGGTGTGATGGCATGCGCCTGTAGTCCCAGCTACTCGGGAGGCTGAGAGGTGGGAAGATCACCTGAGCTCAGGAGGTTGAGGATGCAGTGAACCATGATCACACTGCCACACTCCAGTCCAGCCTAGGCAACAGGGTGCAACCCTGCCTAAAAAAAAAGTTAAAAAAAAAAAATTAGCGGAGTATGGTGGCACACACCTGTAGTCCCAGCTACTTGGTGGGGAGCTAAAGTAGGAATCACTTAAGCCATTGCATTCCAGCCAGGGTGACAGAGCAAGACCCTGTCTGAAAAAGAAAAGTACTAGTTGTGTTTCTAAAATAAGTTAAAATACATAAGAATTTAAAAAAAGAGGCTGGGCCTGATGGCTCACACCTATAATCCCAGCACTTTGGGAGGCCGAGGCGGGTGGATCACCTGAGGTCAGGAGTTCAAGGCCAGCCTGGCCAACATGGTGAAATCCTGTCTCTACCAAAAATACAAAATCAGCTGGGTATGGTGGCACATCCCTGTAATCCCAGCTACTTGGGAGGCTGAGGCAGGAGAATTGTTTGAACCCGTGAGGCGGAGTTTGTGGTGAGCCAAGATCGCGCCATTGCACTGCAGCCTGGGCAACAAGAGTGAAACTCCGTATTGAAAAAAAAAATTTTTTTTTTTTAAATCTTGGGGGAAAGTGACCACATACTGTACACCAAAAATTATCTGACACAGGTCTAAAACAATTTAGAAGTTAATTTTGCCAAGGTTAAGGACATGCCTGGAAGAACTAAATAGGGAATCCCAGAAACAGTCTGGTCTGTGCCTTTTCTCCAGAGATGATGCTGAGGGCTTCAGTATTTAAAGGGAAAAAGTGGGCTAAAGGTGAAAAGAGGAAAGGTATGGTAATCCGCATGTTGCAAGAAAAAAGGAGCAGCACTGGGCACAGTGGCTCACCCCTATAATCCTAGCACTTTGGAAGGCCGAGGTGGGCAGATCATGAGGTCAGGAGTTCGAGACCAGCCTGGCCAATATGGTGAAACCCCATCTCTACTAAAAATACAAAAATTAGCCGGGCATGGTGGCACACGCCAGAAGTCCCAGCTACTCAGGAGGCTGAAGCAGAAGAGTCACTTGAACCCAGGAGTCGGAAGTTGTAGTGAGCCGAGATCACGCCACTGCACTCCAGCCTGGGCGACAGAACGAGACTCCTCTCGTAGAGGGGATGGCAAGGGAGGGGAGGGGAGGGAAGGAGCAAGTAGGAGAATAGTCAATTATGTATTC
This sequence comes from Homo sapiens, assembly GCF_000001405.40. NCBI lineage: Eukaryota > Metazoa > Chordata > Mammalia > Primates > Hominidae > Homo > Homo sapiens. Next base: position 31,005,399 of record NC_000014.9, read on the forward strand.
ATCTCACAATCAGTAAATGGCACCTTACATAAGGTAAACATAGAGTAGCTACCTGTGGAAATACTTAACCTTTTTATCTGTAGCTATCTACTTATAAACAAAAGGAACCGCAATTTCTTGCATGACACAGCTTTTAGCTTAATATTTTTCCTTTGGCATAGTGAATTGGGGTCTCGAGTTTTTAGTTTCTTCTCACAATACTAATGGAGATGTAAGAGAGAATTGTGAAAAGATTCACTAACAGATGACTTGAAGAAATCTGACACCAAAGAATTCAGCAGGTATAGAATATCCTGCAGGCAGGCTCTACTCAAAATACAAGAATGATAAACTCTATTTTTACATAGCTAAAATTTTTTAAATCACAAGGGTGAACATCAGACAGAAAGTTATCTGGAGAGTTGGATAACCAATTATAAGTACAGCTCAGAAAACATAGCTGGGCACAGTGGCTCACGCCCGTAATCCCAGTACTTTGGGAGGCCAAAGCGGGTGGATCACTTGAGCTCAGGAGTTCAAGAGCAGCCTGGCCAACATGGTGAAAGCCATCTCTACTAAAAATACAAAAATTAGCCAGGTGTGGTGGCACATGCACACTTGTAATCTCAGCTACTCAGGAGGGAGGCAGGACAATCTCTTGAACCTGGGAGGCAGAGGCTGCAGTAAGCCGAGATCGCGCCACTGCACTCAGGCCTAGGTGACAGAGCGAGACTCTGTCTCAAAAAAAAAAAAAAAAAAGAAACAAACAAACAACAAAAAAAGGCACTCTGAGGAAACCAATAAATCATGGAAAGAAAAATTCAACAACAAAAACTCTACTATGCTCAAAAAATTCCATTATATAAAGGTAATACCACCCTTTAAAAGAAATCTAGGCTGGGTATGGTGGCTCATGCCTGTAATCCTAGAACTCTGAAAGGCTGAGGCAGGAGGGCAGCTCTTGAGCCCAGGGTAGCTCTTGAGACTGGCCTGGGCAACACAGTGAGACCTCGTGTTTACTAAAATTTAAAAAGTAGCCCAGGTGTGGTGGCTCACGCCTGTAATCCCAGCACTTTGGGAGGCCGGGGCAGGTGGATTACCTGAGGTTAGGAGTTCGAGACCAGCCTGACCAATATGGTGAAACCCCAACACTACTAAAAATATAAAAAAAGGCTGGGCATGGTGGTGGGCACCTGTAATCCAGCTACTTGGGAGGCTAAGACAGGAGAATCACTTGAACCTGGGAGGCAGAGGTTGCAGTGAGCTGAGATCGCGCCACTGCACTCCAGCCTGGGCAACAAGAGTGAAACTCCATCTCAAAAACAAAAAAAGAAAAAGAAATTCAAATCACACATACAAAAAAAAAGGATCTAGAATCAGAACAGCATCAAACCTTTTGAAAGAGACATGAAAGTTCAAAGACAGGAGAAACATCTTCAAAATGTTAATGTAGCCTGGTGCAACAGGGCAGGCCTGCAATCCCAGCCACTCTGGAGGTAGAAGTGGAAAGACATGCTTGAACCCAGGAAGTCCAGGCTGTAGTGGGCTATAACTGCACTTCTGAATGGCGACTGCACTCCAGCCTGGGCAACAGAGTGAGACCCTGTCTCTAAAATAAATAAATAAAGTTAAATAAAAGTATATTTCCAAACTACCAATCAAGTGTGAAAATAAAATACAGACATTTTTTAAAAGAGGTTAAGTCCCTAACATTTACCTCCTATCCAACTTTTCTCAAGAAACAATTAAATAACATTTCAGTAAAATGAAAGAGTAAGCCAAGAAAGGGTCCAATAAAAAGAGATTTCCGGAAGGACCGCAGCAGACATTAGTTTCAGAATAGTAACTTGATACCAAATCTTGAGAACAAGTCTACATCAGAGCAAGAGAATGGATATCTCTAGAAAGCAAGTCTTCTCCTCCCCCTCCAAGCACATACACAAAAGGCAGAACTGGTAGACAATGTGATGTGCTTGGGAGTCTTTAATTTAAAAACCCTAACAGTTGTAGAATCTTTTGGAAATATAGCAATACATACCTAGAAAACTAGGCAAATTAAAAAAGGAGGCAAATAACTCCAAATAAAACAAAATATGCAGAAAAGTAACCACAATATACATCTTAAGAGTTACCTATACTGGAATATTATCTATATTGGAATATGATGAAAGGAGATATAAGATGTGTAATAAATCCTACTAACATAGTAAGAAGCCAAAAGGTAATGTTCAATATTGTCAGATGGTCAGGTGCAGTGGTTCACATCCATAATTCCAACAACTTAGGAGGCCAAGGCAGGAGAATTGCTTGAGGCCAGGAGTTCAAGACCATCCTAGGCAAATAACAAGACTCCATCTCTACAAAAATAAAAAAAAAAAAACAGCCAGGTGTGATGTCATTCACCTATAGTCTCAGCTATGGGGAGGATTGCTTGAGCCTAGGAGTTCAAAGTTACAGTAAGCTATGATCCCACCACAGCACTCCAGCCTAGGCAGCAGGGTAAGACCCTGTCTCCGAAGTAAATAAAAAATTGGGCCTGGCGTGGTGGCTCACACCTGTAATCCAAGCACTTTGGGAGGCTGAGGCAGGCGGATCACCTGAGGTCAGGAGTTCAAGACCAGCCTGGCCAACAACATGGTTAAACCGAGTCTCTACAAAATAAAATTAGCCAGGCATGATGGCGGGTGCCTATAATCCCAGCTACTCGGGAGGCTGAGGCAGGAGAATCACTTGAACCCAGGAGGTGGGGGTTGCAGTGAGCCAAGATCACGCCGTTGCACTCTAGCCTAGGCAACAGAGTGAGACTCCGTCTCAAAAAAAAAAGAAAAAGAAAAGAAAACAGAAAAAATTGGCTGGGTGCAGTGGCTTATGCCTGTAATCCTAGCACTCTGGGAGGCTGAGGCAGGTGGATCGCTTGAGTCAGGAGTTCAAGACCAGCCTATACATCATGGCAAAACCCAGTCTCTATAAAAATACAAAAACTAGCTGGGCGTGGGAGTACACGCCTGTAGTCCCAGCTGCTCGGGAGGCTGAGGTGGGAGGATCGAGTGAGCCCAGGAGGTCGAGACTGCAGTGAGCCATGATTACACCACTGCACTCTAGCCTGAATGACAGAGCAAGACCTTGTCTCAAAAAAATAAATGAATCTAAAAATTATATATTGCCAGATAGGATATTTAGCAGCATCATTTTTAAAAAAATGCCAGAGACAAGAAATAGTGGTAAGTCTATTATTTAAATATAAGTAAATATCACAAGAGTTGAAAGTGGTTGCTTCTGGAAAGCTGGCCTAGAGAGGTGGACTGAGTAGGGAACAACCATTTTGGCTGTAAGCATTGTAGTATTTGCGTACATATTCTTTCAGCAGAATTTTAGAAACAGCTGGGTGCAGTGGTTTACACCTGTAATCCCAGCACTTTAGCAGGCCAAGGCAAGTGGATCACTCAAGGTCAGGAATTTGAGACCAGCCTGGGCAACATGGTGAAACCTTGTCTCTACAAAAAATACAAAAACTAGCTGGGCATAGTGACACACACCTATAGTCTCAGCTACTCAGGAGGCTGAGGAGGAAGGACCACTTGAGCCCAGGAGGTTTAGGTTGCAATGAGCCGTGATTGTACCACTGCACTCCAGCCTGGGAAACAGAAAGAGACCCTCTCTCAAAAAAAAGAAAAAAAATTAAGAAAAACAGTATTTTATAAACACACAAAAAAATGTAGATCTATGTATACTGAAATAAAATATTTAAAATAAATTAACTTAGTATGAGTTTCTTTTGTATCGATATATACATCCCAACAATTATTGACTGCAACAATTATATTACTACCGGTACTAGACATGAAAGGATATGAGATGACATAGCTATACACACACACCAATACATATATATAGTTGTATATCAGGGTTTCCCAACCTCGGCAATTATTAACATTTTGGGCTAATATTTTATTTGGGACATGGAGGGCTGTCCCGTGCGTGTTTAGTAGCATCCCTGTCCACTCTCCACTAAATGCCAGGACCACCTGCCTCCAAATGTGATAACCAAAAATGTCTCCAGACCTTGCCAAATAAATGCCCCATGGGAGCAAAACTACCCCCCCGCCCCCGCGCCCCAGTTGAAAACCACTTTTGCATTTGTACGGAAAAAATTCTGAAAAGACATGCACCCAAAAATATAGCAGTGGTTGTTCCTGGAAAATCAGGATTACAAAAAACCATTGCCAATTTTTTTTTTTTTTTTACATTTCTGTAACTTAATTTTCATATAAATGTATTACTTTAACTACAAATAAAAAATATTAAAAACTAATATAAAAACTCTCAAAATAAATAGAAGTGGCTAAACATAAACACAAAAAAATTTAAATACATCATAAAATAAAATCTTAGTAAGTAATAAAGCATATTTGACAGTTTCTAAACAATCAGTAAAAAAGAAGCCAGGTGCTGATATCATGCCTGTTATTCCAGCATTCTGGGAGGCTGGGGTGGTAGGATTGCTTGAGACCAGGTATTCAAGACCAGCCTGGGCAACATACTGAGACACCATCTCCATGAAAAAAAAATTTTTTAAGTAGCTGGGCATGATGGCGTATGCCTCTAGTCCCTGCTTCTGAGGAGGCTGAGGCAGGAGGATTGCTTGAGCCCAGAAGGACAAAGCTACAGTGAGCCATGATTGATAGCATCACTGAACTCAAGCCTGGGTGACGGTATGAGACCCTGTCTCTAAAAAACAAAAGTAAAATAAAAAACAAAAGAAGAAATCAGTAAAAAAGGAAATAGGAAAAAGACAAACTAGTCTATAAATTCATTAAAACTAACATATTTGCTTTGTTTTATAACTATTTTTTCTTTTTATTATTATTATACTTTAAGTTTTAAGGTACATGTGCACAATGTGCAGGTTAGTTACATATGTATACATGTGCCATGCTGGTGTGCTGCACCCATTAACTCGTCATTTAGCATTAGGTATATCTCCTAATGCTATCCCTCCCCCCTCCCCCCACCCCATATAACTATTTTTTCAACAATGACTATGTATTGGCATAAAGAATTCACTCCTGAAACTTATCAATTTTAATAAAAGAAAATAATCTACTTTATAATGTTTGGTGGGTCATTTTTTTAAAATAAGGAAAAATGTTTCCAATAATCCCATCACCAAAAAATCACAAAGTATTTAAAAATATCTGAACTTTTTCAACGTACTTTTTTCATATAGCTGATTTATGGCACACAAAACTTATTTTTAGTTTACCATAAGCATTGCATAGTCATTAAACATTCTTCATAAAATTTATTCATTTCAAAGGGATAAAGTAGCCCCCGCCCCACAGTGCATTAATCTCAGGCAATGATTCATTTTAACTGAAGTACCAGATGTGCTGGCTTATGCCTGTAATTCCAGCACTTTGGGAGGCCAAGGCGGGTAGATCACCTGAGGTCAGGAGTTCGAGACCAGCCTAGCCGACATGGCGAAACCTTGTCTTTCCTAAAAATACAAAAATTAGCCAGGCATGGTGGCAGATGTCTGCAATCCTAGCTACTCAGGAGGGTGAGGTGGGAGAATCACTTGAACCCAGGCAGCAGAGGTTGCAGTGAGCCAAAATTGCGCCACTGCACTCCAGCCTGGGTGACAGAGCAACACTCTGTCTCAAAAACAAAACAAACATTTTAATTGAAGTGATTTCTCTGATACTCCATTTCCCATGACAGGGAGGGGAGACAAAATTATAATCTAATAAAACCCAGAAAGTTTGTTTTCATTCCAGGATCAAACGAGGGCTTGACAAAGAGTATTAATTTACTCTATCCTGTGGACTTTTTCTGCATCCGGTGGACTTTTTCTCCTAGTATATACACACCACAGAAATTGTAAGTCAAGCTCTCATCTCTAACATTTTAATGAGATGTCCTCAGCAATTTCACTTATTTAGCAAATATTTGGCAGACATCTATTATGTGCCAGACCCTTTACTCTCAAACTGGGTATACATACCTGTAATTCCAGCAGTTTGGGAGGCCGAGGCGGGTGGATCACTGAAGGACAGGAGTTCGAGACCAGCTTAGCTAATATGGCAAAACCTCGTCTCAACTAAAAATACAAAAAATTAACAGGGCGTGGTGGCACACGCCTGAAATTACAGCTACTCAGGAGGCTGAGGCACAAGAATTGCTTTAACCTGGAATGTGAAGGTTGCTGTGAGCTGAGATCATGCCAATGCACTCCAGCCTGGGCGACAGAGCGAGACTGTGTCTCAAAAAAATAAAATAAAATTGCAAAACATGTTAAGTGCTAACAAGGAAATGACCAGGGAGCAGTTACATATGTAAAATAGAAAGATTCATAAAAACAGAGGCTAGAATCTCAATCCCCAACCCTTTTTATTTATTTTTATTTATTTATTTTTTATTTTTTTGAGGCAGTGGCTAACGGATGTAATCCCAGCACTTTGGGAGGCCAAGGTGGGAGGACCACCTGAGGTCAGGAGTCGGAGACCAGCCTGACCAACATGGTGAAACCCTGTCTCTACCAAAAATAAAAAAAAATTAGTTGGGCATGGTGGCAGGCGCCTGTAATCCCAGCTACTTGGGAGGCTGAAGCAGAAGAATCGCTTGAATCCAGGAGCCGGAGGTTGCAGTGAGCCGAGATCGCGCAACTGCGCTCCAGCATGGGCGACGGAGCGAGACTCTGTCTCAAAAAAAAGAAAACAAAAAAGCAACACAACAAATACTATTCCAGGCCACTGTGAAATGTTTTTGTTATCTGAGATATCTATCAGTGTCATATTGTTACCCTTATCCATTGTTACTCTCTCATATTATTTCTCTTTCAACCCACTTCATCCTATTATCTTTGTTTTCTTTCTCATTCTCTATTCTCCAGGATTTCAGTGAAAGATAACTTAAATAAAAGCAAGCCCCAGTTAACAGCTTTCAAAGCAAAAACATCCTAAGTTCAGATTTAAATGCAAGCCATGAAATAAAGTGTCACACAAAATTTTAAACTTTCCACAACTGCTAACAACTCTTAACAACAGCAACAAAAAGGAAACACAACAGAGTTTGAGGCAGCAAGACTGACTGCTCACACATTTAAGAAAGAACACAGCTACAAACGTTTTATGAAAATTTAACACAACTGTCCAGCAATAGTGGATTAGGTGGATCAACTTTGGCCTATCTACACAAAATACTATGCAGCTGTTAAAAAGAAGTGAGGATGTAGGGTCAGGCGCGGTGGCTCACGCCTGTTATCCCAGCAATTTGGGAGACCGAGGCGGGTGGATCACGAGGTCAGCAGTTAGAGACCAGCCTGAGCAACATGGTGAAACCCCGTCTCTACTAAAAATACAAAAAAATGAGATGGGTGTGGTGGTGGGCGCCTGTAATCCCAGTGACTTGGGAGGCTGAGGCAGAAGAATCACTTGAAACCTGAAGGCAGAGGTTGCAGTGAGCTGAGATTGTGCCACTGCACTCTACCCTGGGCAATAAGAGCAAAACTCCGTCTCAAAAAAAAAAAAAAAAGTAAGGATGCTCTCTATTAGCAGGTTTGGAATGATCTCTCAACATGTGAAATGAAAAAGTAAAGTAGGGAGGGCATAGTGGTTCATGCCTATAATCCCAGCACTTTGAGAGGCTGAGGTGGGCAGAATGCTTGAGCTCAGGAGTTCAAGACCAGCCTGGATAACACAGGGAGACCCCCATCTCTACAAAACAGTTAACAACAACAAAATTAGTCAGGTGTGGAGGCATGTTCCTGTAGTCCCAAACTTTGGAGGCTGAGGTGGGAGGATAACACAGGGAGACCCCCATCTCTACAAAACAATAACAACAACAAAATTAGTCAGGTGTGGAAGCAGGTTCCTGTAGTTCCAAACTTGCGAGGCTGAGGTGGGAGGATCAATTGAGCCCAGGAGATAGAGGTCGCAGCCAGCCAAGATCGCATCACCACACTCCAGCCTGGGCAAAAGAGTGAGACCCCCATCTCAAAAAAAAAACAAAAAAATTATAGTGAAAAATAGGTTATATAGTTTGCCACATTGTACCAGAAAAGGATGAAAACATTTGCTTTCATCTACCTACATAAAAAACACTAGAGAGGGACACACACAGACTAAAAAAAAAGTAGTCGATTACTAACTTGGCAGTGGGGGGTGGTAGACAGGATCATGGTGAGTATAAGACTTAATTTTGAACCACATATTACTTATTCAAAATATAATTTTTTTTAAAGAGACAGAGTCTTTTACCAGGCTGAAGAGCAGTGGTGTGATGATAGCTCATTACAACTTCAAACTCCTGGGCTCAAGCAATCCTCTCCCCTGAGCCTCCAAAGCTAGGAATACAGGTGCATGTCACTATGTCTGGCTAAATTTTTTCTTTTCTGTAGAAACGGGGGGGGTCTCACTATGTTGCCCAGGCTGGTCTCGAACTCCTGGCCTCAACCAATCTTCCTGCCTTGGCTTCTCAAAGCAATTTTATTATTATTATTATTATTATTATTATTATTATTATTATTATTATTATTATTATTTGAGACAGAGTGTCAGTCTATTGACCAGACTAGAGTGCAGTGGTGAGATCATGGCTCACAGCAGCCTTGACCCCTTGGGCTCAAGCGATCCTCCCGTCCCGGTTTCCCGAGTAGCTAGGACTACAGGTACAACACCATTGTGTCCAGCTAATTTTTTAAATTTCTTGTAGAGACAGGGTATCACTTTGTTGCCCAGATTGGTCTTGAATTTCTGACTTCAAGTTATCCTCCTGCCTTGGTCTCCCAAAGTGCTGGGATTATAGGAAGGAGCCTGTAAGTGTCCTGAAAGTGCAAAAATTGTTGTTGTTGTTGCTGTTCTGAGACAGAGTCTTGCTCTGTTGCCCAAGCTGGAGTGCAGTGACGTGATCTCGGCCCACTGCAACCTCCGCCTCCCGGGTTCAAGTGATTCTCCTGCCTCAGCCTCCCGAGTAGCTGGAACTACAGGCGCGTTGACACCACACCCTGCTAATTTTTGTATTTTTAGTAAAGACGGGGTTTCACCATGTGGGTCAGGCTGTTCTCGAACTCCTAATCTTGTGATCCACCTGCCTCAGCCTCCAAAAGTGCTGGGATTACAGGCGTGAGCCACTGCGCCCGGCCAAAGTGCAAAATTTTTAATAGGAATTTTTACGTCTGTTTATAAAGTCTATCTAAAAGTAGTCCAAAATTTTACTTTACATTTATAATTGCTTTAATTCTAGTCTTTTAAATCTTGTTCACTGAAACCACTTAGGTGTAATGCTATCTCAAGGTAATACCAATACCTTGTGTTTACCTTGGTTCCACTGAACACAAGGTACTGGTACTACCTTGAAACAGCATTATATATTGGTCAAAAGCACATCCTTTTTTAACCTTTTTTTCTTTTTCATTACAAGAACACAAAACCACTTTAAAAAAAAAAAAAAAAACAGGGTCTCACTCTGTTGCCCAGGCTGCAGTCTGTCACCCAGGCTAAAGTACAATGGTGCAATCTTTGCTCACTACAACCTACACCTCCCAGGTTCAAGCGATTCTCCTGCCTCAGCCTCCCAAGTAGGTGGGATTACAGGCATGCGCCACCATGCCCGGCTAATTTTTGTATTTTTTTCTAGAGACAGGATTTCACCATGTTGGCCAGACTGGTCTCAAACTCCTGACCTCAAGTGATCCGCCCGCCTTGGCCTCCCAAAGTGCTGGGACTACAAGCGTGAGCGCCACCGCGTCCAGCCTCACACCCACTTTTATTTATTTACTTTTCATTAGTTTCCTTGAAGGGTATTCTGTGTCCAGTAGCCTTACCAGGAAGGCTGCTTCAGAATTTGACACAAACCATGCCACTGGTTTCCACAGGTATGAGTTGCGTTTCCCCAATTACTATAGTTTTGTTCCGTTTGCCTATGTTATTCTTTGCTTTATACACATAAGCACAACTCTTAAATAGAATTCAGTTTCATCTTGGGCTTAAACACTTTCAATTTTTTTTTTTTTTTGAGACGGAGTTTCATTCATCACCTAGGCTGGAGTACAATGGCACGATCTAGGCTCACTGCAACCTCTGCCTCCCAGGTACAAGCAATTCTCCTGTCTCAGCCTCCTGAGTAGCTGAACTACAGGCATGCACCATCACACCGAGCTAATTTTTTGTATTTTTAGTAGAGACAGGGTTTCACCATGCTGGCCAGGCTGGTCTCGAACTCCTGACCTCAGGTGATCCACCCGCCTTGGCCTCCCAAAGTGCTGGGATTACAGGCATGAGCCACCGTGCCCCCAGCCAACACCTTCAATTTTAAGAAGAGCTGTATGCTCCTTTTGGCTCTGCAGACCTTACTTATAGCCAGGCCTTGGAAAGCAGCTGCCAAGACATTTACTTTTAGAAGTTCAGTTCTGTTCCCAGCAGGCCTCTACAGAACCTTGTGAGACAGGGACTCACTCTGTCACCCAGGCCGGAGTGCAGTGGGGTGATCATGGATCACCGTAGCCACAACCTCTGGGGCTCAAGCAATCCTCCATCTCACTCCTCCACCAGGTAGCTGGGACTTCAGGCACATGCTACCATGCCTGGCTTCAATACTGTTTTTCATTAGGGGAATGTAAATTAAAAACAGTGAGATACCACTGCATAACTACCAAAATGGTTAAAATCCAAATCACTACAACTCCAAAAGCTGAAAGGGGAGCAATAATAATTCTCACTCATTACTGGTGGGAATGCAAAATGGTACAGCCACTTTGGAAGATCATGTGGCAGTTTCTTACATAATTAAATATAATCTTACCATATGATCCAACAATCACACTCCCTGGTATTTACTCAAATTACATGAAAACTTATACGTCCACACAAAAACCTGCACATGGATGTTTACAGCCTTTACTCATAATTGTCAAAACTTGAAAGTAACCAAGATACCCTCCAAAAGGTGAACAAACTGTAGCACATCCATAAATGGAATATTGTTCAGCACTAAAAAGAAATAATCAACCCATAGAAAAGACAAGGAGAAGCCTTAAATACACTGCTACTAAGTGAAAAGGCTACATATTATACGATTCAAACTAAGGCAACCCTCTGTATCCAAGGGTTCCCCATTCACAGATTCAAACAATGGCAAGGCAAAAATATTCCAGAAAAATAATAAAAATATATATATATATATTTTGAGACAGAGTCTCGCTCTGTCGCCCAGGCTAGAGTGCAGTGGCGCGATCTCGACTCACTACAACCTCCGCCTCCCGGGTTAAAGCGATTCTCCTGCCCTCAGCTTCCCAAGTAGCTGGGATTACAGGCACGTGCCAGCACACCTGGCTAACTTTTATATTTTTAGTAGAAACGGCGTTTCACCATATTGGCCAGGCTGGTCTCAAACTCCTGACCTTGTGATCCACCCGCTTTGGCCTCCCAAAGTGCTGGGATTACAGTCATGAGCCACTGCGCCCAGCCAAAAAATAATTTTTAAAAATTATAGCAACTAGCCAGGTGCAGTAGCTGACACCTGTAATCCTAGCACTTTGGGAGGCCAAGGATGGCAGATAGCTTGAGCCCAGAAGCTCAAAACCAGCCTCAGCAACTTAGCAAAACTCTGTCTCTAGAAAAAATACAAAAATTAGCCAGGTGTGGTGGCGGGTGCCTGTAGTCCTAGCTACTCAGGAGGCTGAGGTGGGAGGATCACCTGAACCCAGAGATCAAGGCTGCAGTGAGCAGTGATTGTTTTACTGCACTCCAGCCTGGGTGACAGACTGAGACCCTGTCTCAAATAAAAAGTTTTAAAAAGTGTAACAACTATTTACATAGCATTTAGATTATATAAGTAATCTAGGCCGGGCGCAGTGGCTCACGCCTGTAATCCCAGCACTTTGGGAGGCCAAGGCAGGCAAATCACAAGGTCAGGAGATCGAGACCATCCTGGCTAACAAGGTGAAACCCCGTCTCTACTAAAAATACAAAAAATTAGCCGGGCGTGGTGGCGGGTGCCTGTAGTCCCACCTACTAGGGAGGCTGAGGCAGGAGAATGGCGTGAACCCAGGAGGCAGAGCTTGCAGTGAGCCGAGATCGCGCCACTGCACTCCACCCTGGGCGACGCAGCGAGACTCCGTCTCAAAAAAAAAAAAAAAGTAATCTAGAGATTTAAAATATACAGGAAGATGTGCATAAGTTACAAACTCATTGTATTGAGGGACTTGAGCATCTGAGGATTTTGTATCCTGGAGGAGAACCCCTGGAACAAATTTCCCCCAAGGATACCATGGGAAGGTATATGAATGTATTCTGGAAAAGGCAAAACTTTGGGGTAGGAGACTACTTGTACTTTCTGCTAAATTTTGCTGTGAACCTAAATTGTCTTATGAGGGGCAGTGAGTGTATACACACAAAAGCGAGCATACACAGTTATTTAGGCTGCGCACGGTGGCTCACACCTGAAATCCCAGCACTTTGGGAGGCCAAGGCGGGTGATCACTTGAGGTCAGGAGTTCAAGACCAGCCTGGCCAACATGGTGAAACCCCGTATCTACTAAAAATACAAAATAATTAGCTGGGCATGGTGGTGCATGCCTGTAATCCCAGCTACTCAAGGGGCTGAGGCAGGAGAATTGCTTGAACCTGGGAGGCGGAGGTTACAGTGAGCCGGGATTGCGCCCACTGCACTCCAGCCTGGGCAACAAAATGAAACCCTGCCTCAATTTAAAAAAAAAAAAAAAGGAAATTAATTTAAATAAATTTAAAACCATTTTGTTAAAAAAAAAAAACCTTAATAAAAATATATTTCAGGTCATGGGTAAAGAGTCTCTGTAGTCATGGCAACAGCCGAGGCAGGCTGCCTGCATACCAGCTACCAGTGATGGGGAGAAGCTGCCAGTCTACATCAGCCTGGGCCATAGTAAGCTGCTGCCACGGGGCCAGCAGGGTGGGCACCATGTTGCATTCATCTCTGTACCCCCAGCATCTAGCAGTGTTGGCATGTAGTGGGCACTCAAAGAAATGTGTGTTGAATGAACAATACCTGTGACAAGCAAGCGAACTTTATTCTTTCTCGACCCTTGTTCCTATGACACACCTCCTCCTGACTGTCACCGTCACTCCTTCAGAGCAGAGCTTCTCTAGGGAACTTGGATGCGAAACAACTATGGTAAAGGACATCCTGGCTGAAGAGGGACTGCACTTTGATGAGTTGAACAAGCTGTGGGTGTTGGACTCAGAGGTTACCCAGCAGACCACAGAGCTCAAAGAAGAGTGCAAGAACTTTGCGGACAAAACTGGCCAGTTTCAGAAAACAGTTGGTGGTTTAATTGAGCTTGTTGATAAACTTGCAAAAAAAGCGTAAAATGCGAAGATGAGGGCCATGGTGCTCCGAACTTGCTCAAATCAATAGCAAAGCAGAGAGAAGCTCAACAACTTCAGAACTCAGTAACTTCAAGCACTAATAGAATAAAAGAAAATTTAGGCAGGGCATAGTGGCTCACACCTGTAATCCCAGCATTTTGGGAGGCCAGGGTGGGCAGATCACCTGAGGTCGGGAGTTTGAGACCAGACTGGCCAATATGGTGAAACCCCATCCCTACTAAAATTCAAAAAATTAGTCGGGCATGGTGGCACACCTATAATCCCAGCTACTCTGGAGGCTGAGGCATGCCAGGCATAGTGGCTCATGCCTTTAATCCCAGCACTCCTGAGATGCCAAGGTAGGAGGACTACTTGAGGCCATGATCTCAAGACCAGCCTAGACAACATAGAAAGACCCTGTCTCTACTAAAAAAAAAATTAGCCAGGCGTGGTAGCACGTGCCTATAGTCCAAGCTATTTGGGAGGCTGAAGTGGGAGGACTATTTGAACCCAAGAGTTTTGAGGCTGCAGTGAGCTACGATCGCACCACTGCATTCCAGCCTGTGCAACATAGTGAGACCCTGTCTCTTAAAAATAAATAAAATAATAGAAAATAATAATTTGGAATGGACAATGAATGGATAGAAGTACAGGTAAAACAAGACTGATCATGAGTCGTTGCTGTTTAAGATGAGTGACACGTTTGTGGGAGGTCACAATACTATATTATTTTCTTACATGTTTGAAACTTTTCATAAAAAAATTAAAGGAGGGTTATATATAATACAATTGTCTTTATGATAAAAAGGATAAACTGTTAAGAGGGGCAATGGATGAAACAAACCTGTCAGGAGATTATCTCAAAGAATTCTGGCAGGAGGAGTACTCTGAACTAAGGCAGTATTAGTACAGAAACAAAAAGCACAGATTGAATCAGTTACTTCCTTAGATCAGCAGTCAGGCTTCATGGGCATTCTAAGCAAAATTTTCTTACCTTTTTTGAAAAAAAACTAGAAGAGGCTCCACAGCATTCATAATATATGCAAAGGGGACTATACAATCCCCCAAAAAATCAAGCATCAGTGAATTAGAATATACTTTAGGATACTGATGTTACCTATATTACTTAGCCTTTTGAATCATTATAGTCCAGTTCACTCATTTTCTTTTTTTTTTTTTTCTTTTTTAGATACAGGGTCTCACTGTTGCCCAGGCTGGTCTCCAACTCCTGGGCTCAAGTGATCCTCCCATTTCAACCTCCCAAAGCGCTGGGATTACAAGCGTGAGACACCACACCTGGCCAGTTCACAGTTTAAATGAAGCTCTTTCCTACTTTAGAACTTCTGCTAAATGCTGTAGCTTCCAACTGGCATGTTCTTTGTACAATTAGGTATTCCCGATACTTCAGATCTAGAAGTATACATTTAGGAACTTTATGAGAATTAAATGTACTGAAGAACCAAAAATAATGTCAACCATATAGAAAGTGTTCAATAGGTCAGGCGCAGTGGCTCATGCCTGTAATCCTAGCACTTTGGGAGGCCAAGGCAGGCGGATTACTTGAGGTCAGGAGTTCAAGACCAGCCTGGCCAACATGGTGAAACTCCATCTCTACAAAAAATACAAAAATTAGCTGGGCGTGTTGGTGGGTGCTTGTAATTCCAGCTACTCAGAAGACTGAGGCATGAGAACTGCCTGAACCCAGGAAGTGGAGGTTGCAGTGAGTTGAGATAGCACCACTGTACTCCAGCCTGAGTGACAGAGCGAAAACTGTCTCTAAAAAAAAAAAAAGAAAGTGCTCAATAAATATTAGGTATTATCTGAAACTCCATTACATATACAGGTTTCCTATCACCATTTATTCTCTCAGCATTCTGCTAATTTGTTGTAACATTTTATTGGCCAGGCATGATGGCTCATGCCTGTAATCCCAATACTTGGACTTTGGGAGGATGAGGTGGGAGAATCATTTGAGCCCAGGAGTTCAAGACCAGCCTGGGCAACAAACTGAGAACCCACCTGAACTAAAAATAAAAACAGCTTGGTGTGATAGTCCATGTCTGTAGTCCCACCTACTCGGGAGGCTGCAGCAGGAGGATCAGTTGAGCTCGGGAGCCTGAGGCTACAGTAAGCCATGTTGGCACCACTGCACTCCAGCCTCGGCAACAGAGTAGGACGCTCTCTTGAAAAAAAAAAAAATTATTTCTAGAGTATAAGCTCCCTGAGGACAAAGTCTGTGTCTCATACATCATTATACACCCAGGATCTAGCACAAAATCGCACTCAAATATCACCAAATAATCATGCTGGAATCAATAAAACTCACAGGCCATACGCAGGGGGAAGGTTCAATGACCTCTATAGTACTAGCGATGGGGAGGATAGTGTTAACTTTAATGTGGCAAGGAATAAAGAATGAGCAAGTGTGTTTTGTCAAGGGAAAGAGGCAGGCACTTGAGATTAACTGAATGGATGTATTGAATTTGAGGTAGAAAAACTAAACGGAAGTTAGAAATACAAGGGACATCTGGACGCCAAAAATCTAGTAGTGGTTAAGAACATGGCCTCTACAGGCAGTCTAAGTTTAAATCCCAGTTCTACTGCCTCCTAGTTGCATAGATTACTTAACCTTTGGGCCTCGATATGCCAGTGTCAGAAAAAATAAAAAAAAGACACCAATTATACCTGTATCAACCTCACTGAGTTGTTTTGAGAATTAAATGAATACTGAATGAATTAAATGAATACTGAAATACTGAAGCACTGAAATAACAATTAGGAAAGAGTAAATAAATGCTAGGTATTATTAAGATGGTACATGGTAGCTAAAAATCTGATTCTGAATATACAGTGAGAACATAAAATAGAACCAGAACCCCACATAATAACAACTGGGAACAAAAGAAAGAAAACATATGAAGAAAAGTGATAAGTGGATGACAGGAAAAACAGAGCGGAAGCAAAAGAAAACAGTTTTGAAGGATTTGTTAACAACAGAGTGTTGGTTAAGTACATACGGTTTATAAGGCCAAAGGATTTGGCAATTTGAAGGTCAATCATGAACAGAAAACATAGTGTTCTACGAAGTGTTTAGAAGGGAGGAGAGAAGAAAGCGAAAAGGCAGACTACAGAGTGGGGTTAATGGGTAGTGGAGGAGCATAAAGAGAATTCTAGATCAGTGGTCCCTAAACTTCATTTCAAGGGCTTCAAAAAGAAACAGGGAATCTGACACAAGGTAGTGGACTCCCTTAATACTATCAATAAAATTTTTTTAACTATTATCACCATCATCTGAAAAAGGAAATGCCTAACAGTAAAAATGTATGAAGGCTAAAAATCCCAGAACAAAGGGAACACCTTTATGAAAAATCACTGTCGGCCGGGCGCGGTGGTTCACGCCTGTAATCCCAGCACTTTGGGAGGCCAAGGTGTGCAGATCACGAGGTCAGGAGATCAAGACCATCCTGGCTAACACGGTGAAACCCCATTTCTACTAAAAATACAAAAAAATTAGCTGGGCGTGGTGGCAGGCACCTGTAGTCCCAGCTACTGGGGAGGCTGAGGCAGGAGAATGCCGTGAACCTGGGAGGCAGAGCTTGCAGTGAGCCAAGATGGTGCCACTGCACTCCAGCCTGGGCGACAGTAGAGCGAGACTCCATCTCAAAAAAAAAAAAAAAGAACATAAACTCTTTGACTACATTTTCTTGTATTAGCTATGTCATATTTTTACACTTGGCAAACAAGCATTTTGTATATACCCAAAATCCACTTACTACATACAAACTATAAAGAAAAATATAAGGACACATTAGCAATATATATAAACTATGCCTTGCAGCAGCATCACAGGCGCTCAATAAAACTTTATTGAAATGTACTCAAGTGGTGTGGGCCACGCAATACTAGATGAAGAATTACAAGTCAGATTCCACTCTATAAAAAAGAGCTAAGACAGTATAACATAATGGTTACAAGAGTGGTAACATGACTACAGGCTTTGGAATCAGACAGACTTGGGTTCAAATCTCAGCTGCAATACTTTATGGCTAGGTGACCTTGGCAAAATGATTTAACCTACCTAAATTTGTCTCCTCACCTGTAAAACAGGAATACTCACCTCATGAGGTTATAGTGCTGATTAAATGGCAGTTTCTAACTTTTAGAAGTCGTAACATGATAGATGTTGCTGCTTAAAGATCCTTAAGTTAGTAGGAGATATTTTGCTTAGACTTACTTGATTTCTTCATTTTTAAGGGGGGAATCTCCTGAATTTTCCATTTTCAGGGTTTTCAAAAGCTGGTCTGGAATAGTAATTTGCAAATCCTAGTGTCTTTTCCATGACAAGATTTTAATGAATCTACTATGAAATTACAAAAAAGAAAAGTGTAGTGTAGTAATTTTTCTCTTTAACAGGCACTACTGTGAAGAAAGAATCACTTGTAGAACTCTAAAAAATATGCAGGCCTCTTATCCTCTGGAGATCTGGATTGATCTAGGGCTTGAAGAAAATGGACTGTCTGTGGAATTTTGGTAATTCATGTTATATAAAAGTTAAGAAACCACTGTCCTATGACCTTACTAACAATGCTTTACCTGAGTCTAAGGTAAGGAAGAATCAGAGACAGAAGAGCTTTAAGATGTGATCCTTTAGTTTGGTTCCAAGTTTCTAAGACAGACCTTTACTCTAAATTCTTTTTACAGAGAACAGAATCATACTGTAAAGTTCCTTTTAATATCTTTCCCAAAGCCAGGGAAAATATTATTCCCCATTAAAATTTTACATCAATATGGGGTATTCCTTAAGCTCTTCACGTTCTCTATTGAAACTATTCAATAATTAACACTTTAAAAATCTGTGTACATGACAGTGCACTGGAGACTGTACATAATAATATGTAAGTTGTCTTATTTCTAGATTGTCTTTCTTAAAAATAGGTTTAAGTTTACAGTAAAAATCCACTGATGCTTCACTACACCCTCCCACAAATATGTATTCAACACATACATTTTAAAATACGCATCTCACAAGCAATCTCAGTAGACTGAAGGCACCTAAAGCAAACTAGAAACCTTATTAAGTTAACCCAATAAAACATTTTAAATATATAACTCAAAAAAAAAAAAACCAACGCCATCATGAACATTTTATTCCAAAAGAATCAGTATGAAATAAAAAAGAGTCTAGAAACACTGTAGGACTTCTTCAAAACAAGGAAACAAACAAAAACTTAGGATGGCTAATAACAGTACTGTACCAATAGAATTGAAAGCAAGCAAGCAAGCAAAAGGAATCTACCTTAAAACACTGCTGCTGCTGTTAAGGAGACCTAGAAGGGAAAGCAAATGCTAGAGCAGGCAATAAAGGCTTCTTTAATATATAGTATAGGTTTTACTAATTTGGGCACAAGATATCTTTCTTCTCAGCTGCTTACATTAGTGAAGTTTATGGGTGAAAAATGCAATTGCTAACTTGAAGAGTGTTGAAATCCAAACTTGCATACAACAGTACAAAGGTCTAAGAAACCATAGCAGGGACTGGTGAAGTATTATTTAGTGAGCTTAGGCCTTACTGCATTTGTCAATCCAAATTTTAAAAACAAATGCCTTACTTACTTTACTCACACAGAAAATTAAGTTTGCAGTATGTAGTAGAAAGCTGTATACCAACAGAATTCTATAAATTTTAAGTATGTTAAAGCAGACTGTACACAACTTAAACCAGTTTTGACTTCAGCTTTTTTAAAGTTATGTAATTTTAAAGCCCAATATTATATCAAAACACAATTGTAAAGCACTGAAATGACTAACAAGTGTTACTTTTTTTTAAGACTTCATACAGTGTCAAAATACCCAAGTATTTTTTACTTTTGAAAAGTTTAACTTCACCCACTTTGTGGAGTCATATAAAAGTTTACTAGTTCAGAACCAAACTAAAGAGATGCATATTTGAGGACACCCTTTCTAGTTAATCCAATCCTCCTCCTTTCAGCACTACATTTGCCTAACGATTCACCATAGGCATATGACATATATGACAGCAAATACTGCTTACCCCCTAAATACACAACAGTCTGAAGAACAGGTGCAATACTATTTAGACACACGCTTTTTCCTTCTAAGCCTAAATTTGCCCTGGAAAGGTATTTAAAAATAAACACAAATACCCAAGAAAGTTAAATAACCCTTTCAAAAAGATGCAGCAATTTTGAGATCCAGGACATGAGCTGTTAACTACCAACAGCTTCCAAATGTGCAGCCTATCAAAGGTTCACATTATGAGGATCGAGTCAAGCTCAACTATGAAGGGTTCCGAGAACATCTCACTTTGCTTCTCCTGCAAGAGTAAGTAACATGATATAACTACGTTTCACTTCAAGGGAATATTAAATCTCTTCAGTCGTTTCATAAATACAGCATCGATCGTCTGGTTTGGTTTTTTTATAGATAAAGAAACGGATGGGGGAAAGGAGATCTAGTGGAGAGTACTGTAAAAAGAAAAATTCAGTGCTGAAAGCGTTGATGAGTCACTAAGTAAGGAATAACTACAGAGAATCCAAGTGAGTAAGGCAGCATCTCAGGTGAGAAAGTACTTAAAGTTGACGATGGGAAATAAAACTTCACAGGTCAGTCCCAAGTCACTGTGCACCCTAGCAGCCCAGGAAAGAAGCGTGGCTGTCAAGGGGCAAGCGCGTACCAAGTCTGAGGGAGGGGGCCAGATACGCCAAATCGGAAAGGGGGGTGGTCCGGAAAAGGGGGGTAAGATGCCTATCCTAGTCCCTCTCTTCGGGCTCTTCATCTCAAGAGGAACAAACAAGAGCAAACTCAGTGTTGAGAGGCCCCAAACCGGACTCTCCCACAGAGAGGTGCTCGGTCCCAAGCCCCGGAGGCCCGGGAAGGCCGCCTCCGGAGGAGCCCCCGCAGACGCCATACTAAAAGCCAAAATGGCTGCCCCGAGGAGGCCCGCACCGCGTAGCCAGTGAAGGTTGGGGAGCAAGCTTATGCGGGAAAGAGGGAGGGGGACTCCAGGAAAAGCCGTTGAGAGGACCATCACAACCTGAGCAGCACAGGTAGGTTCCGCTCGGCCTCCCAAGGCGCCGGCTCCGGCTGAGTGGAGTCCCCAGCCCCACCCCCCGGCCGGGAACCCAGCCGCCGCAGCTCCCGCACACCGACCCCAACGAGGTACCTGCAGTTCGGCCCGTTCCACCTCCCAGTGCGCCCGCTCCATCTCGAACCGAGCCCACTCGTGCTGGATGTAGTGCAGTATCCCCGGGATAGTGTACTGCTGCGGCCGGGACAGCTCGGGGCCTGCCGCGGGACCCGCTCCCTCGGAGGCCGGAGGACCCCCGCCGCCCGCCGCTCCGTTCCCCCCGGGCGAAAGGCCCAGGTTCCCCCCAGGTCCCTGCTGCTGCCGGGGAGGGGCCGCCATCCCCGGGCCGCCACCACCGCCTCCGGCAAGCTCGTCCATTGTGTGTGGGGCCCCGGCCGGGGCGCAGGGCGAGACGCCGACAGCTGGGGGAAGGGCCGGAGAGGGTGGCCCCGCGCTGGCTGCGGGGCGGAGGCCGGCCGGGAGAGGGGCGGGGAAGGGGTCGTTGCTGTGTGCCTGCCGTGGGTCAGAGCAGGGAGCTGCCGGCTGCCGCCATTACAATCCCTCCTCCATCTGCCCGTCTCACTCACTCACTTTAGGGGAAGGGGGGGCCTCGGCGGGAGGGGTGGGGGGAGAGTTGGGAAGGGGATAGGCGGAGGGCCGTCACTAGCGCACAGCATGCTGGGTAGCGAACGCAGCCTCACGCTTAATCGCCAAATAGAGTCCGGCCTCACCCTACGCCGGCGCACTGAGAACGCAGCCCGGGTCGCCGTTAGAGGGCGGGGAAAGAGCTCGGGCTCCGCCCCTAGGCCCGCCCTCAGACCCGATCCGGTGTCTGGCCGCAGCTACCGGACACCTGGGCTCCGACTCTGACTTTTGGAAGCGAGGCGGCCTTAGGCTTCCTGGTTATCAGTTTCCTTTTAGCAGGCCGTCCCCGGGCGCTGTTTCCTTCCCAGGGGTCTCTCACCCGTGTCCCGGCTTTCTGAGCTGGTTGTTAACCTGGCTGGTCGCTCTGGCCGACCGCATCCCGTCTCGGATTCCTGACGTTTCTTTTTCATTCTTTGAGTGTTTCAGGCAGTCCCAAGGGTGGGCCCTCTTTCCCTTCCTGTCACTCGCTCTGCCTCTGGTTTCTTAGAACCAGTCAGTTCTCTGCTGGCAAATAGCCAAGATCCTCCGGCTGTGGTTACTGATTCCTCGTCTCTGTCTTGAGCCTGGGCTTTGGTCCCATTTCTATGCGCTCGGTCGCCCGTCGTAACTTATTCCACTTTGCGTCCCCTCTTCTTTCCTTTTCTGGAATGGGTTGTGGGGGGGTTGGGAGAGGGGGAGGAGCGATTTTTTTTTTCTTGGGAGAAGAAGAGGTAGTGAATTCCTTTAGATCTTGACGATGATGGGTAGAGGGAGAGAAGTTTGAAGGAGACTGGCTAGACTAACAATTTGATACGGTAGAAATGAATGGGCTCACAAATATTGTCATCAATAGACTATTTTGATCGAAACAGAAAATAAAAGCACTGTGAGTACAACTTAAAATCCTAGATGAATGTTCTCCTGGGTCATTAAATGTTTAAGTGAATATGGCCGGGCGCGGCTGCTCAAGCCTGTAATCCCAGCACTTTGGGAAGCCGAGGTGGGCGATCACTTGAGGCCAGGAGTTCGAGACCAGCTTGGCCAACATTGTGAAACCCCATTTCTACTAAAAATACAAAAATTAGCCGGGCATGGTGGCGCACACCTGTAGTCCCAGCTCCTGGGGAGGCTGAGGCACGAGAATTGCTTGAGCCCAGGAGGCTGAGGTTGCAGAGAGCCGAGATCGCACCACTGCACTCCAGCCTGGGCGACAAAGCGAGACTCCGTGTCGGCAAAAAATTTAAAAAGTTTGAGGAATGTAACATATACATAAGAGACAAGGCTAATATTTTAAGTACAATAGTGGGTACTTTTATGTGCTTAGTTTCCTAGAAAATATCCTAATGCACTAGTGTGTTTCTAAAAATTAATATAGCTAAGAAGCATTTGTTTGAAAAATAAGACAAAAATAATTAACAACATAAGGAAATTAGGTTCAGTAATTATATTAATAGCGATGCAGGAAAATTGCATTGAAAATTTGTTACTTTTTAAAATTTTTTTTCTTTACTGCAAAAGCCAATAAAACTTGTACTATGGAGTATGCACTACCAACCAATCAGGAAGTAATTTCAAAAGAGATTAAGTAATGCATCTTATTTTATCACATCTGCTTTACTGTTATTACAGTTTAATGGAAAGCAGATTGGACCTGTTACTCATGCTGCCATGTTTTATTTCTATATGAAATGAGATCTTAGATTGCAGTACTATAATGTTAAGGACCATTTCTTCAAATTATTATTTTATTTATTTTTTTTTTTTGAGACAGGGTCTCACTCTGTTGCCTGGGCTGGAATGCAGTGGTGTGAGCTCTGCTTGTTGCAACCTGGAGCTCCCTGGCTGAGGTGGTCCTCCCACTTTAGCCTCCTGATAGCTGGGACTCCAGGTGTGCATCCACCAAGCCCAGCTAATTTTTGTATTTTTTGTAGAGACGGGGTTTTGTCATGATGCCCAGGCTAGTCTCCAACTCCTGGCTCAAGTGGTCCACCCACCTTGGCTTCACAAAGTGTTAAGATTACATATTTCTTCAAATTATTAAAGTACTATTTATCTTAGAGTTACCAACATACAACCTGTTTATTCATCCAATTCCTTTTTAGGGGGCGTCATAGCACATAAAAAGCTCAGAAAAATTATGCTGCCTCAAAGACATACACACACATACACACACACACACACACACACAGAGACATTTGTGGCCAGGTGCGGTGGCTCACACCTATAATCCCAGCACTTTGGGAGGCCGAAGCGGGCAGATCACTTGAGCTCAGGAGTTGGAGACCAGCCTGGCCAACATGGCAAAACCCCGTCTCTACCAAAAAGTACAAAAATTAGCTGGGCGTGGTGGCGCTTGCCTGTAATCCCAGCTTCTCTGGAGGCAGAGGGGGCAGTGAGCCGACATCATGCCACTACACTGTAGCCTGGGTGAAAGAGAGAGTGAGATTCCATCCCAAAAACAACAACAACAACAAAAACCATTTGTGAGAATGGTTGACCTGATGATAGCATCAAAAGAAGACTAACATGCACACTTATAACTGGTAACTTGAGCTTAAGGAAAGACTGGATTTCTTATCCTTTTTGTCTCCTCACCTACCCTCAAAACAAAAACAAAATCTCTACTTCTATTATCTACCTTATTAAGTGACACTACATCCAAACTTGAAGCCTAGCAGTCATTCTACTACCTTTCAGTCAGCCCCCACAAACCAATTTCATTCTCAGTAATATCTTTCCTGTGGATTCTATTGTCTCTCTTTATACTTTAGTTTAAACCTTCCCACCTCCATTCTACCCCCACTTTGCACTATCACTGCTGCCTGATTGATCTTCCTAAAACAAAGGTATGATTCTGTCATTCCTCTGTTTAACATAGTTTAGTGATTTCTAAATTTAGTATAAAGCCCAAATTTTAACATAAGCATATAAATTGATCTAGATCCATCCTACAGTCTAATCTACCATAACACTATCATGCCACCTCATTCTTCTCTTCAGCCAAACTGCCACTGTTTTTGGTTCCTCAAATGTATAATGCTATTTCATTCCACAGTAATTTAACACATGCTGTGCCCCATTGCCTATCTTCAAAACTCAGCTCAGATCAGGCACAGTGGCTCATGCCTGTAATCCCAACACTTTCGGAGACAGAGGTGAGAGGATGGCTTAAGCCTAGGAATTCGAGACCAACCTGGGCAACATGGCAAAACCCTGTCCCTACCAAAAATACAAAAATTAGCCAGAGTGGCCACGTGAGTCTGTAGTCCCAGCTACTCTGGAGGCTGAGATGGGAGGATCACCTGAGCCCAGGAGGTCCAGGCTGCAGTGAGCCATAATTGCATCATTATGCCACTGCACTCCAGTCTGGGCAACAGAGCAAAACCCTGTCTTAAGACAAACAAAACCCTTCCCCCACAAAAAAAAAAAAGAAAATACTCAGCTCAAGCATTATTTTGTCCAAGAAGCCTCCATATCCCTGAATTCTTTTGACTCACTATTCTATTGTAGTAGCCTCCCTCCCATGCTTATCTCTTTTTTTCTTTAATCTTTTTTTTTTTCTTTTTTGAGACTGGATCTCACTCTGTCACCCAGGCTGGAGTGCAGTGGCACAATCTTGGCTCACTCCAGCTTCAGCCTCCCCAGCTCAAGCGATCCTCCCACCTCAGCCTCCTAAGTAGCTGGGATGGGACCACAGGCATGTGCCACCATGCCCAGCAAATATTTTTGTATTTTTTGTAGAGATGGGTTTTCGCCATGTTGCACAGGCTGGTCTTGAACTCCTAGCAAAGTGCTGGGGTTACAGGTGTGAGCCACTGCACAGGGCCTTATCTAATAGTTTTTACACTATATTTACACCATCTGTGTACTGATCAGTAACACTGATACTAAACACTCCAAAAGCAATACTTACACATAGTGAGTACTCAATTTTTGCTTTATTCCTTTCTATTTTTTGTACAGAGGGAATCTCACTATGTTGCCCAGGCTGATCTTAAACTCCTGGGCTCAATCTATCCTCCCAGCTCAACCTCCTGAGTAGCTAAGACTACCTGTACACAACATCACTCCAGGCTATTTTTTGTTTTTAATTTTTTGTAGAGATGGGAGTCTCACTGTATTGCCAGGGTTGATCTCTAACTCCTGGCCTCAAGCAGTCCTCCTTCCTTGGCGTCCCAAAGTGGTAAGATTACAGGCATAAGCCACTGAGCCCAGCCCGTTTTTTTTATTTTTTAAGAAGTACTGATTGGCTACGATTTTTCAGGTGCTCTACTGCTCCCTGCTGATCCACTGTGACCCAGACACGTAATCTCTGCCTTCACAGAGTTTCTAGTCTAATTTTAGGCAAATACTTAGCACCAACCACTCTGGCTTCCTCAATATTTTGTCCTGATCCGTCTTGAAACTACCTTTCTTGAAACTTCAAGTGTGCTGCCTATTTAAAGAATTCCAACGGAATGTGACTACGTTCATTTTAATCATGGTTTTATAAATATCAGTAATGCAATTGATATGGTTTGGCTCTGTGTTCCGACCCAAATCTCATCTCCAATTGTAATCCCCACGTGTCAAGGGAGGGAGGTTATTGGATCATGGGGACGGTTTCCCCCATGCTGTTCTCGTGATAGTGAGTTCTCAGGAGATCTGATGGTTTTATAAAGGGCTCTTCTCCCTTCAATTTCTCCTGTCTCTCCTGCCCTTCATGTAAGATGTACTTGCTTCCCCTTCTGCCATGATTGTAATTTTCCTGAGGCCTCCCCAGCCATGCAGAACTGTGAGTCCATTAAACCTCTTTCCTTTATAAATTACCCAGTCTCAGGAAAGTTCTTTGTAGCAGTATGAAAACGGACTAATACAGCAGTCTTTGACTTCATCCTTCTTAGACCATAAAGTCATTTATCTGAAGGATTGCAGCCTTGTAGAAGGGAAGGACCTCTACCCCTCTTGTTCAAAACTGTACCCCAAGAGTCTGGGAAAGGGTGGATCTTCAAATGTTTGATGAATAACTCAAATTTAGACTAGACTAATATGAATATTTTTTCGTCACGTCAATCATTTTTGTTAGTTGTTACTGTCATTATACCAGTTGTCTCTTAAAGTTCAATAACCAGAACTGCCCTGAGTTTTGAAAGTAAAGAACACCAATATTTCCTCCTCTATTGGAAAAATATTTTGTAAACTCTTGATGTTGTGCTTTGGTTCATGATTCCTGATGACACTCTGGAGAGAGCTTCTAGAATCTTGTCCTCTGTAGATAATGAGCTCACCCAAGCCACATTATCACCTACAACTCACCTAACTGGAACTATCTCCCTAAACTGTGGCTGAGTCATTTCCTCTCTTAAAGCTCACGTTCGAAACTTCCTATTTGTTCTGTCCTTTCATCAGTCCTGTTCATGCCTCCTCCATGCCCATAGATTCTCCCAGTTTCAATCTGTTGCTGATAATCTTCAACAATGCCTATTTGCCAGCCTATGCAACATGGGGAGACCCTGTCTCTACAAAAAATAAAACAATTAACTGGGCGTGGTGGCAGGTGCCTGTAGTCCCAGCTATTTGAGCGCGGGAGGTTGAGTCTGCAGTGAGCTATGATCACACCACTGGGTGCCCAGCCTGGATGATAGAGTGAGACCTTGTCCCAAAAAAAAAAAAAAAAAAAAGAAAAAAGAGCTGGGCGCGGTGGCTCATGCCTATAATCCCAGCACTTTGGGAGGCCAAAGCGGGCAGATCACCTGAGGTCAGGAGTTCGAGACCAGCCTGGCCAACATGGTGGAACCTCATCTCTACTAAAAACACAAAAAATTAGCCAGGCATGGTGCAGGCGTCACCTTTGAAACTTCCTAAATAGGGTGTCTAATCTTGGACACCGTATGCTTATTCTATTTTGGACCAGAGAGGAACTTTTCGTATTTCATGTGCATGTATGATGTCAACAAAGATAGGTTAAGGAATTCCAGGCTTTTAAATAAATCAGAAGTAGATAAAACTCAAATGTCTTCTTATCAGTTATTACAATACCTGATGTTCAAAGAGTGTTGACCGGGCCTCTGAGGACTGTATAGCTCCCTGTAATTACTCACCCAGAATGTACATTTTTTTTTTTTTTTGAGATGAAGTCTCACTCTGTTGTTGCCCAAGCTGAGGTGCAGTGGTGCGATCTCGGCTCACTGCAACCTCCACCTCCTGGGTTCAAGCGATTCTCCTGCCTCAGCCTCCCAAGCAGCCTCCCAAGTAGCTGGGACTACAGGCATGTGCCACCATGACCGGCTAATTTTTCTATTTTTAGTAGAGACAGGATTTCACTATGTTGGCCAGGCTGGTCTTGAACTCCTGACCTCATGATCCGCCCGCCTCGGCCTCCCAAAGTGCTGGGATTACAGGCATGAGCCACCACGCCCAGCCTCGTACAGTTTTATATCTTGCTGACTAGGTACCTGGCATCCTTCTACCAAAGAGTTCAAATCAATTCACAAACACTAATCTAGTCATCTTTTTTGCATCATCTGCAAAGGCTATAACAAATATTCTTATCTCCACAGTGAAGAAAGAAAGCTGAAGAGCTCTTGGTCACTTCAGTAAGTACTTAGTAGAAGTTCTCACTCTTTACATCAGTGAGTGTATATGTGTATTTGGAAACTAGAAAGTCTCCCCGCACAGTTCTGCCTGCTGTCATCCTATCAATGGGTTCATTATTACTGTCTCTGGTTCTCAAATCATTTACATGTTTGAAATTATTTTTAGATAGTTTTGGGGTGATCCAGTCACTCAGGGAAATGACATAGTGTTTAATTTTTTTTTTTGAGATGGAGTCTCGCTCTGTCACCCAGGCTGGAGTGCAGTGGCGTGATCTCGGCTCACTGCAACCTCTGCCTCCCGTGTTCAAACAATTCTCCTGCCTCAACTTCCTGAGTAGTTGGGACTACAGTCATGCGCCACCATGCCCAGCTAATTTTTGTATATTTAGTAGAGACAGGGTTTTACCATTCTGGCCAGGCTGGCCTTGAACTCCTGACCTTGTGATCCACCCGCCTCAGCCTCCCAAAGTGCTGGGATTACAGGCGTGAGCCACTCCGCCCGCCACAGTG
This sequence comes from Homo sapiens, assembly GCF_000001405.40. NCBI lineage: Eukaryota > Metazoa > Chordata > Mammalia > Primates > Hominidae > Homo > Homo sapiens. Next base: position 31,033,517 of record NC_000014.9, read on the forward strand.
TTTACATTTATAAACAGAGAGAGCAAGCAAAGTATTAGACTCCAGAGGAAGATCTTTAAGAAGAGCTGACATGTGTTCAGAAACCAAAGGAGCAAAATGTTTAATGCATGTGTAACAGAAAGGAGGCAGCTCTGACCTGCACCATGCTTCAACCTGCCAAATAAGATCTACTTCTCATTATAGTGATTGACTTTGGCTAAGAAAATTGTAGAAACACAGGCAGGGCACTTGAACCCTTTGGATAATATTCTGTGAGGAAAAGGAAAAGGATCTTCACAGATTACAGAAAATAGATACCAAACCTTTAGGAAACTCAGCATGCTGTATAAAATTGTAGTCCAAGTTTATTCTGTAATTGTCTCCTGGGTATGAGTAAGAAAAAAAATAGGCTGTGATAATATTGTTTAATAGCTAACTCATAGAGATGTCAAAATTGAAAAGAAAAAGAAAGGATTGCCTGGAGCCAAGTCCCTCCTGGACATTGGCTAAGAATGAACAACCAGGTCTGTAAACATAAGAGCAAAATGACTGGAAGATGTGACTAATTGGTAAATTGCCAAAAGTTTGCTAGGTAATAATTTAACAGGCTTGGTTTGTCATTGAAGCAGCAGGGTGAGTATTCCAAAGAATGACACCAAACATGGACACCTGGCCCAGTAAATCTATGCTAAAGACAGTGTTCCTTTGGAGAATATGTTAAATTGGCAAAAAGTCACAAAAACATATTTTTTATAACAGCATATTTTTAAATGATGGTAACCTTTAGTTTTGGCTTTCTGTTAGTAGAAAGTACATGACAATTATCTTAACAAAAAAAAGACTGAAGAATTATTTATAGGCATTTAAAATAACTCCTACTTCTCTTTGCTTCTTTTGTTTTATAGTTTTTATAGTTTCGTAACAATTGGATATTTAAAATTGTGTTATACAGTGTTGTGCATAGACTTTTTTTGGGGGGGAAACAAACTCTCACTGCATTGCCCAGGCTGGTCTCGAACTCCTGGCCTCAAGGGATCCTCTTGCCTCAGCCTCCCAAAGTGCTGGGATTACAGGCGTAAGCCACTACACCTGTGCCTAGAAGTTTTGTACTTAATTTTTTTTTTTTTTTTTTTTTTTTTAGACAGAGTCTTGCTCTGTCATGCCCAGCCTGGAGTGCAGTGGTGTGGTCTCGGCTCACTGCAACCTCCGCCTCCCGGGTTCAAGCTATTCTCCCACCTCAGTCTACCAAGTAGCTGGGATTACAGGCACCCGCCACCACGACCAGCTAAATTTTTTTTTTTTTGTATTTTTAGTAGAGACAGGGTTCCACCATATTGGCCAGGCTGGTCTCAAACTCCCGACCTCAGGTGATCCACCTGCCTTGGCCTCCCAAAGTGCTGGGATTACAGGCATGAGCCACCGTGGCCAGCCCCACTTAACTTTTTATTTTGAAGAACTTCAGTTATGGAAAAACAACAACAAAAATCTGATGAACTCCAATTACAAGATTTTGCCATTCTTATTTCATCTACTCTACTTTTTTTCTGTGTGAAGAAATGTTTAACGTAAATACCAGACATTATATTATTTCATTAGTACATAGTTCTCTAAGTATCTTTAACAGATTAGGAGTTTTTGCTTCTTTTTTTTAGCAAAACACCATACCATTATCACACCTACAAAATTAATGGTAATTCCTTTTTTTTTTTTTTTTTTTTGAGATGGAGTCTAGCTCTATCGCCAGGCTGGAGTGCAGTGGTGCGATCTCTTCTCACCGCAACCTCCGCCTCCCGGGTTCAAGCAATTCTCCTGCCTCAGCCTCCCGAGTAGCTGGGATTACAAGCACACGCCGCCACACCCAGCTAATTTTTGTATTTTTAGTAGAGATGGGGTTTCACCATTGGCCAGGATGGTCTTGATCTCCTGACCTTGTGATCTGCCCACCTCAGCCTCCCAAAGTGCTAGGATTACAGGTGTAAGCAACCACGCCCAGCCAGTAATTCCTTTATACAATCTAATCCTCAGTCCATATTTGATTTCCCCCAATATCTCAAAAAACAATTTTTTAAAAAAAAGATGGTAATTCCAAATCAGGATCCAAACAAAATCCATACATTTCATTTGGTTGTTACGTTTTTAGGTCTTTTTTTTTTTTTTTGATGTGCGTTTCTATGACCCCCCTCATGGTCATGCCATTTATTTATTGAAGAGACCAGGTTATTTTTTTTATTTTTTATTTTTTTATTTTTTTTGAGACAGAGTCTCGATCTGTCACCCAGGCTGGAGTGCAGTGGTGCGATCTCGACTCACTGCAACTTCCGCCTCCTGGGTTCACTCCATTCTCCTGCCTCAGCCTTCCCGAGTAGCTGGGACTACAGGTGCCCGCCACAAGGCCCGGCTAATTTTTTGTATTTTTGGTAGAGACGGGGTTTCACCATGTTAGCCAGGATGGTCTCGATATCCTGACCTGGTGATCCGCCCGCCTTGGCCTCCCAAAGTGCTGGGATTACAGGCGTGAGCCACCGTGCCTGGCCAGAGACCAGGTTATTTATCCTGGAGAATTTCCCACATTTGGATAATTACAATTATGTTATCATTTAATATATTATTTCCTCCTCCATATTTTCTATTTTTATTTTAAAAAAATAATCTAATATATTGTTGCATCACGAATTAGTAACAAAAAAGAAAAAAATAATAATTTAATAATTTGTTCAATAGCAATAGATAACCAAAAAATAAATAAAAAGAAAAAACTAATAATCTAAAATTTTTGATACAGATGGGATCTCACCCAGGCTGGCCTCAAATTCCTGGGCTCAAGCAATCTTTCCACCTTGGCCTCCCAAAGTGCTGGGATTACAGGTGTGAGCCACCGTACCTGGCCCATATTTTTTATTAAGTGTTTATTTTTTATTTTCTTGGCAAAAAAATGCTTATTTGGGGATACAGCATACTTCCTGTGGCATCACACCAGCTGGCACATAATGTCTAGCTATCTGAATTTTAGTAATGTTACTAAATTTGATTAGCCTGACCTAGCTATTATTGTCAGCTTTAGCTAGCTAGCTATTAACATACATACTGTATTCTACCTTGCTCAGTGAAGGGCCTGTCCTGCAAAGGAAATTCCACCAGGTGTTTCTGGGAGCTTTAGGCTCATTCCCTTGCAGTCCTTGGCAACAGGGACCCTACCAGGCCTCCTTCCAGTTCCCACTGTGATTCTTAGTTTCACACTCACTTCTAGTGGGGCTCCTTTTTTAGGTGATGACTTAGTGATTTCTGGGTTTCTTGGTTCTTGTGATGCTCTCAAGTCCTCTTTTTCTTTTTTTTCTTTTAGATGGAGTCTCGCTCTGTCGCCAGGCTGGAGTGCAGTGGTGCAATCTCGGCTCCTGTAACCTCCACCTCCCAGGTTCAAGTGATTCTCCTGCCTCAGCCTCCCAAGTAGCCGGAACTAGAGGCGCATGCCACTATGCCCGGCTAATTTTTTGTATTTTTAGTAGAGACAGGGTTTCACCATCTTGGCCAGGATGGTCTCGATCTCTTGACCTTCTGATCTGCCTGCCTCGGCCTCCGAAAGTGCTGGGATTACAGGTGTCAGCCACCACGCCCGGCCAAGTCCTCTTTTTCTAACCTCCACTTCTGCCAGGACATGCCTTGCCTTACACACATGCACACACACACGCACACACACCCTTCCCACCCCAACCTCTCCCTCCCACCCTGTATCTTCCTCCTGTTCTTGTTGCTACCTTAGTTTGGCCCCACCAATTAATTAGCATCCTAAAAAACGTTCCAGGGGATGTTTTTTCACATAGTTTTTGGTAGAGATGTTGTCTGTAGATGTTTTCTTTTGCTATCCTAGTTGTTTTCACTGTTATTGTGAGGAGGTTCGGGAAGATCCCAGAATCTGCTGCTGCCATCACCACTACTTTCTTTGCTTCTCTTCACTCTTGCATTTTTAAATTTTAAATTGCCTGCTCTTTCTCCTAAAGTGATATATTGTAGCCCTGCTTTTGAAATATTTTCATCCGACCACTATTAAAGTCATTATGACATTTTTTACTAGTCCAAAGATTGTGAGATACAGAAGTGTAAATTTAAGTATATATATTCTCTGGGCAACAGTTGGGCAGGCTCTTGTCTGACAATTTAAATTTATTTACATTTTTAGCTGGATGCAGTGGCTCATGCCTGTAATCCCAGCACTTTAGGAGGCCAAGGTGGGAGGATTGTTTGAGCCCAGGAGCTCAGACCAGCCTGGGCAACACAGTGAGACTCCTGTCTCTACAAAAAAATAAGAAAAAAATTAGCCAGGTGGGCTGGCATTTGCCTGTAGTCTTAGCTACTCAGAAGACTGACATGAGAGGATCTTGAGTCCAAGAGTTCCAGGGTGTAGTGAGCTATGATCACACCACTATACTCTGGCCTGGGTGACAGAGGGAGACCCTGTCTCAAAACAAAACAAAGCAAAATTCATATTTAGCAAGAGCTGTAACATGTTGCTACACTTTATTGTGAAATTCAAAATAACATAAAGTGCTTCTGGGCTAAGGACAACCAAGCAGGCCACCTGAAAAGTCTCTGTGTTCTACTCTGACGACTGATCTGAATGAGGATGGTACCAAGTTCAGATACACTTCTGTAAACTTGGCTTGGATAACATTTGCCTGGTATGTTTTATTTATTGCAAGTGGAAAGAGTGATTAGCTCAACTTTCTAAAAGAGAAAATCAGACTTAAGAATTTTGGAAGTATTATTAGCCCTAATCACAAATATTAAACACACTATAGTGAATATAGTAATTTAAACTTTATTGTCCTAAATTTTCACATTATCTGATTGAGCCACTTCTTTGACATTTTAGGCTCCCTGTTGAGATCAATTACAAGTAAATAATCTGTTAGAATTGTACCTTTTGTGGTGTGCTCCAGGGTCAAGATCTAAGCTAGCAAAACATGCATATTAGCCATGAAAAGCTTTTATATAGAGGGTACAAAAGGTTGGATTTAAACGAGCGAATGGGGAGTGAAATTGTACATCCATGGTCCTGTTACAGCCATCACTGAATTAACTAGTCTTGAGGCAAACCCAGAGGTAATGAGCTTTGGGTGAGAGCACAGACTTGAAAGCCACATACTAAATGAAACTGGGTCTTCCTCAACCATTTCACTGAGTGACCTTTGGCAAGTAATTAAATTTTCACATCTGTAAAGTGGAGATAAAAAGTCTCTGACTCACAGAGCTATGAGGGGGATTAAATAGATATAGTTAAAGCATTCAAAACAATGCCTGGCACCTAATGAGCACTGTAAGCACTTCCTATTGTTATTATGCTCTGTTCCTGAGTTGGTGAGTTGGGTGGTATTAGCACATTGTATTACCAAGAGTGAGTAATACTGCCTTTCAAGTTATAGCAATGGAAGTCTTTCACGACCACCATCAAACATTGGGAGCATTAATGACTCATTTGTTTTTGTTTTTTTAAATGTAGAGGTTTTTTTTTTTTTTATTGTTTGCTTGTTTGGTTTTTTGAGACGGTCTTGCTCTGTTGCCTTGATCTGTGGCATGATCTCAGCTCACTGCAGCCTTGACCTCCTGGGCTCATGTGATCCTCCCACCGCAGCCTCCCAAAGCACTGGGATTACAGATAAGAGCCATGGAGCCTAGCCTTAATGTAGCTTTTACTTTTTCTTTACTTTTTTTTTGAGATGGAGTCTCGCTCTGTCGCCTAGGCTGGAGTGCAGTAGCGTGCTCTCGGCTCACTGCAACCTCCACCTCCCAGGTTCATGCAATTCTCCTGCCTCAGCCTCCCAAATAGCTGGGATTACAGGTGTGAGCCACCATGCCCAGCTAATTTTTGCATTTTTAGTAAAGACAGGTTCTGCCATGTTGGCCAGGCTGGTCTCAAACTCCTGGTCTCAGGTGATCTGCCCGCCTCGGCCTCCCAAAGAGCTGAGATCACAGGCGTGAGCCACTGTGTCTGGCCCTAATGTAGCTTTTAAAAACACTTAATTTTAACTCAAGAAACACTGTATTTAATTAGGAAGGTCTTAAATACAATAGGTGTAGTTTTGTTTTTTTTTTTTTTTTTTGAGACGGAGTTTCGCTCTGTCGCCCAGGCTGGAGTGCAGTGGCGCGATCTCGACTCACTGCAAGCTCCGCCTCCCGGGTTCACGCCATTCTCCGGGTTCACGCCATTCTCCTGCCTCAGCCTCCCGTGTAGCTGGGACTACAGGCGCGCGCCACCATGCCCGGCTAATTTTTGTATTTTTAGTAGAGACGGGGTTTCACCGTGTTAGCCAGGATGGTCTCGATCTCCTGACCTCGTGATCCGCCCGTCTCGGCCTCCCAAAGTGCTGGGATTACAGGCGTGAGCCACCGCGCCCGGCCAATAGGTGTAGTTTTACAGTATTATTTTCTTGTATATTTTTAGGGGAAAATTCACATGGTAATTAATTTTTCCCCAGGTAATATGAACATTAGAGTAAAAGACTTTGTAATGTTGAAACAAATTAATTGCTTATAAATTATGGAGCAATTGTTTTACAGAAACAGTCTCCATAATCCCAGTACTGCACTTAAATTCACTTATAGTCTACCAGTCAACTTGTCAGAGATATAGTTTGTGTAAAGTCAAATTACTCTGCATCTTTTTTTTTTTTTTTTTTCCTGAGACAGGGTCTCGTTCCCTCCCCAAGGCTGGAGTGCAGTGGCCTAGTCACAGCAGGCTGCAACCTCAACCTCCCAAGGCTCAGGTGATCCTCCCCTCTCAGCCTCCCAAGTAGCTGGGACTGTAGGCAGATGTCACCATGCCTGGCTAATTTTTGTATTTTTTGTTGAGATGGGGTTTCGCCATATTGCTCAGGCTAGTCCTCCACATCTTAGTAAGCTTTCATTTATTTGTTTCTTCCTTAACACAAAGCTATAGGAAACATAGGTAAATTAAATTTTAATTCTAAATTCCTTTGGTTTGATTTGAACTTAAAATCTGTAACATTGCACTCGACCTTAAGAACACTCACAGACTTGTCATTTGAATCCTAATGCAGTGCTGTTAGGTGATCACTGCCCATTAAATGAAAAGAAAAATGTACTATATGAGAAAAATCTATTTGCTTTGTATGTCTTTCACAGTCTTTTTTCCTTTTGTTATTGTATTTATTAATTTTCGAGACTATCATAAAACAATTTGGATTTAAATTGTGTCTTGGACCAGAATTTGATGAGACTTTTTGGTCAGTTTACCAAAATGGCTTTAGGTCAAGATCTGCGAGCCACATGAAGCTTTATAAATTTTTCAGATATACTACTAGAAAAATGATAGGCCAGTTTTCTTTGGGAATCAGGATATCTAATAAGAATTTAAAAAATTAGATAAGATGTACATAACATGGTGAAACCCCGTCTCTACTAAAAATACAAAAAATTAGCCAGGCATGGTGGCGGGTGCCTGTAAGTCCCAGCTACTCGGGAGGCTGAGGCAGGAGAATGGTGTGAACCCAGGGAGGTGGAGCTAACAGTGAGCTGAGATCGCACCACTGAGCTCCAGCCTGGGTGACAGAGTGAGACTCCATCTCAAAAAAAAAAAAAAAGTACGCAAATTAAATGTATCAGAATCCAGAATATCTGGTTTGAAATATTTTGTTTGTTTGTTTATTTTTTTGTTTTTGAGACGGAGTCTCACTGTGTCACCCAGGCTGGAGTGCAGTGGCGTAATCTCTGCTCACTGCAACCTCCACCTCCTGAGTTCAAGCAGTTCTCCTGCCACAGCCTCCCTAGTAGCTGGGATTACAGGCACCTGCCACCACACCCAGCTAATTTTTGTATTTTTAGTAGTGAGGGGGTTTCACCTTGTTAGCCAGGCTGGTCTCAAACTCCTGACCTCAGGTATCCGCCTGCCTCGGCCTCCCAAAGTGCTGGGATTATAGGCATGAGCCACCATGCCCAACAGGTTTGAAATATTTTTAATTTGAGGGGAAAACTTGATTCACCATTTATTAGAAATGGGAAGTAATCTGTAGTAATCCTAGTTCTCTGCAGTTTCTCCTTTGTAACATCACATGCATCATGGCTCATTGCAGCATCACTATAGCACCTCCTGGGAGCATCCCAGGCACAACAATCTCTGGTCCCCACTGCCTTTCTCTAAAATTAAGATATTGGATATTCTTATGAATCCAAAAATTTGACAAAGAGTTTTCACCACTAAGCACAAATATTTCACTTGTGTGGCTAATTTAGAACAATTGAGAATAAGATTCCCCTTGCAGGGCTTTTTCTTTGCCATTTCTAACCTATACCCACAGTTTGTCAAAGTAAGTATTTAATTCCCTATTTTAACATTATTTTATTTTATTTTTTGATATGGGGGTCTCACTCTGTTGCCCAGGCTGCATCTCTGCTCACTGCAGCCTCCGCCTCCCAGGTTCAAGCAATTCCCCTGCTTCAGCCTCCGTAGTAGCTGGGATTACAGATGCATACCATCACACCCGGCTAATTTTTTTGTATTTTTAGTAGACACAGGGTTTTGCCATGTTGGCCAGGCTGGTCTCGAACTTCTGACCTCAGGTGATCCACATGCCTCAGCTTCCCAAAGTGCTGGGATTACAGGCATGAGCCACCGCACCCGGCCAACATTACTTAAAATGTCTAAATAAATTACCCTTGGCACTAAAACCAAATAAAAGAAAGATAATTTTAGAAGAAATTTTATTTTGATTTTGAAAGATATTGTTGTCTTCATTATGTACAGTAATGGGAAGCTTGGGTCTGCTTGCGACTAGCTTTTCTGTCCAAAGAGTAGAAGGTAGAATATGATGATCCAAGTTACTTTTAACTTTAAATGTAGGGAATAGATAGCAACAACAGCACACACAAACATGCACACATGGGTACATACACACTCTGGCCATTACCACTTTATATCTTTTTAAACTGTTCTTACCTCCTCTACCATCAGGGAATTCTGCTAGTCAGTTTCTCTCTGGCAAATGCTTGATTGACAGTCTACTCTCAATGTCTCCATCCCCCACTCCACAGACACAGAGATGATTAAGGAGTAAAAATAAAACAAGTACTTTCAATCAATCAATGTAATGGTCTATATATAGTATATAGATTCCTCATCCTCAGTTTTTCTCGCCAGCCTGGATCATATTCCTGTAAAAATCTTTAAAATTCTTTAGTTCAACTCCCTAATTTAGGATAGAAAGTCTGACTTGAACTTCTTTGAAAATACAGTATCCTTTTCAGTAAAACATTTGGCTTCCCTCTGCTTTATTAATGTATACTTTAAAGTTGCAAAGAACTACACTTATTTGGACTTAAATTGTATCTTGGACCAGAATTTGATGAGACTCTTTGGTCAGTTTACCAAAATGGCTTTAGATCAAGATCTGAGAGCCATATGAAGCTTTAGAAATTTTTCAGATGTAGCTGGGCACAGTGGCTCATGCCTGTAACCTGTAATCCCAGCACTTTGGGAAGCCCAGGCGGGTGGATCACCTGAGGCCAGAAGCTCAAGATCAGCCTGGCCGACATGGTGAAACCCTGTCTCTACTAAAAATGCAAAAATTAGCTGGGCATGGTGGTGCACGCCTGTAGTCCCAGCTACTCGGGAAACTGAGGCGGGAGAATCGCTTGAACTCGGGAGGCGGAAGTTGCAGTGAGCCGAGATCATGCCACTGCACTCTAGCCTGGGTGACAGAGCGAGACTCTTTCAAAAAAGAAAAAAAAAAAAGAAAGCAACACACATACCTGTATGTTTAATGCCAAATTAATCAAATATGGCTGAAATATTTGTTGAGTGACTCAAGACTTTAACAGAAAAAAGAAAAAGTTTCATCCAAAGCTACTTCAAATATACTTTGAATCATAAAGGAGGGATTTTGAGAGAGAGACTGAGAGGGGGTAGTGGATGGGAAAAAAGGTAGAATGGAACAGGTACAGGAAGAACAGGTTTCTTGAAGTCAAATTTCAGTAATCTTAGGACTGTAGTAGGGAGAATCTGTTGGGAAGAGAATCTTACCTACACTGGAGAGTAGGATGAGGAGAGAAAGGAGGTTCTGGAGTGTTTCACATTTTCCTTATCTCATTTAGCCCTCACAATAACTCGGCAACAGAGTTAACGTTATTCATAGTTGACAGGTGAGAAAACTGAATCATCGTAGAATTCAAGTAAATTTTGAGGCAAAGAAACAATGTTTTTGTTATGTACAAACATAATATAACAAACTCTGAGGGAGGTGATCCAAATTAGATAAAAATCTGCTACTGACCAGTATTATTTCCTCCCATTTATGGAGAAATTCAGAAACAGCTAAATTATTAATACTTGGAAGCTGATGGAATGAATCAATATGGCATGGCAAAAGAATCTCGCAGTTGCCATTTCCATATTTCCTGAGTTTAAGACATGCTGATTAGATGCTCTTAGCACATCCATTTTGAAAAACAGCACATATTTTAAAGACATATGGCATTTAGAAATGTCACAATAAATGAAACAGTAGCTTAATTGTTTAGGGTAAACATTTATTTTACAGCTAGATAACTTTGTAAAATTATATAATTTAACTCAATGTTTTTAAAACAAACTGTAAGTATGTATGTATGTGACACAAAAAGTAACATATCTCTTAAAATCTGGGAAATTTAAAACCAAGTAACAATATAGAATAAATATTGCCCCTAATCCTACTATCCGGAGTTAAGCAAAATGCACTTTACTATAACCCTTCCTTTTCTACTTATTATGTCATAGTAGTGCTGGACTTTCCAGAGACAGGGTTTCTACATAGTAGCTCACAACTGTTCCAAGGAGTAGGAGAAACACATTATATGTCTGGTAATTTTTTTTTTAAAGACAGAGTCTCACTCTGCTGCCCAAACTAGAGTATTGTGGCATAATCGTAGATTACTGCAGCCTCAGTCTCCTGGGCTGAAGCCATCCTCCTGCCTCAGCCTCCCAAGTAGCTGGAACTACAGGCACATGCCACCATGCCAGGCTAATTTTTTTTTTCTTTTTTTTAATAGAGACAGGGTCTTGCTATGTTGCCTAGTCTGGTTTCAAACTCCCCAGCTCAAGCAATCCACCCACCTCAGCTTCCCAAAGTGCTGGGATTACAGGCCTAGAACCACGAACCTGGACCTGCTAGTTTCTAAAAAAAAAAAATTTGTAGAAATGGGGTCTTGCTATGTTTTTCAGGCTGGTCTTGAACTCCTGGCCTCAAGTGTATATGTTTATTTTTAATGAACCAGGCACTATGCATTTAATTCCATGGTCCTGTTGCCTAATGCATTCCAAGGGTAATCGTTCACATTTCCTAAGATGAACCTTGTGAAGAGTGTCAGGTTTGGGGGCAGACATGACAGTATATTCTTTATTTTAAAAGATACGTTTTCTATAATTTTTTTTTTTTTTGAGATAGAGTCTCGCTCTGTTGCCAGGCTGGAGTGCAGTGGTGCAATCTCAGCTCACTGCAACCTCCACCTCCCGGGTTCAAGCAGTTCTCGTGCCTCAGCCCCCCAAGTAGCTGGGATTACAGGAGTCCGCCACTACACCCGGCTAATTTTTGTATTTTTAGTAGAGACGGGGTTTCACTATGTTGGCCAGGTTGGTCTCAAACTCCTGGCCTCAAGTGATCCGCCCGCTTCGGCCTCCCAAAGCGCTGGGATTGCAGGCGTGAGCCACCACGCCCAGCCTGTTGTCTATAATTTTTTAAAACAACTTTAGGTATAATGTATATACCATAAAAATTTTTATGAACCGTTTTACCACATACCGTTTGATATGGTTAGGCTTTGTGTCCCCACTCAAATCTCATCTTGAATGGTAATCCCCATAATCCCCATACGTCAAGGGAGAGACAAGGTTGAAGTAATTGAATCATGGGGGCAGTTTCCTCCATGCTATTCTTGTGATAGTGAGCGAGTGTGATAGTGAGTGAGATGACATCTGCTGTGACCCTTTCCCCCTTCACTTGGCACTTGTCCGTCCTGCTGCCTTGTGAAGAAGGTTACTTGCTTCCCCGTCGCCTTATGCCATGATTGTAAGTTTGCGAGGCCTCCCCAGCCATGCTGAACTGTGAATCAATTAAACTACTTTCTATTATAAATTACCTAGTCTCGGGCAGTTCTTTATAGCAGTGTGAAAGCAGACTAATACACCATTCAAAATATATAGTTCTGTGGTATAATATGAAATATATTTGGCCTTTGTTCCTGATTCCTGTGACAAAGCCCCTAATACTCTTGAAATTTCCTAAGTAGTAGGTGTGTCTTTTGTTATTCACACTGAGCCCCTTTCATAACCCCTGAGTTTATACTAATAAAGTGACCTAGAGTGAGTCCGTAGATAGCCTCAGGGTGGGGCCAGTCTAGGAAAGACCAAGTGATGAGAGGATCAGAGAGTTGGAAATTTCATCCCCACCCTCCAGCCTCCAGGAAAGGGAAAGAAGGAGCTAGATTTTTTTTTTTTTTTTTTTGAGACGGAGTTTCACTCTTGTTGCCCAGGCTGGAGTGCAATGGCATGATCTCGGCTCACTGCAACCTCCGCCTCCCAGGTTCAAGCAATTCTCCTGCCTCAGTCTCCCGAGTAGCTGGGATTACATACCACGCCCAACTAATTTTGTATTTTTAGTAGAGATGGGGTTTCTCCATGTTGGTCAGGCTGGTCTGGAATTCCTGCCCTCAGGTGATCCACCAGCCTCAGCCTCCCAAAGTGCTGGGATTACAGACATGAGCCTCCACACCCAGCCAGAAGATTTTTTAAATCCCCAAAACAAAGCCCCAACCTTTCTTCTCCTGATCCTGGTAGCCACTAATCTACTTTCTATCACTGTAGATATGCTTTTTCTGGACATTTCTTATTAGTAGAATCATATAATAGGTAGTATTTCTGCATCTGGCTTCTTTCACTTATTATTTTTAAGGTTCATGCATTTTGTTCCCCTTAATTGATGAATAGTTTTCTACTGTATGGATATACCATGTTTTGTTCATCTATTCATTAGCTGATAGAAATGTTTTCATTTCTCTTGGGTATATACTTAGAAGTAGAATTGCGGCCGGGCACGGTAGCTCACGCCTGTTATCCCAGCACTTTGGGAGGCCAAGGCAGGCGGATCACAGGGTCAGGAGATCAAGACCATCCAGGATAACACGGTGAAACCCCGTCGCTACTAAAAAATACAAAAAGTTAGCCGGGCATGGTGGTGGGCACCTGTAGTCCCAGCTACTCAGGAGGCTGAGGCAGGAGAATGGTGTGAACCCAGGAGGTGGAGCTTGCAGTGAGCCGAGATCGTACCACTGCACTCCAGCCTGGGCAACAGAGCGAGACTCCGTCTCAAAAAAAAAAAAAAAAAAAGAAGAAGTAGAATTGCTGGATAATATGGTAAATTTGTGTTTAACTTTTTTGGAAACTGCCGATTTGTTTTCTAAAGTGGCTGTAGCATTTACATTCCCACCAGCAATGTATGAACATTCCAGGGTCTCCACATCTTAGCATTTGTTACTGTCTGCCTTTTTTATTATAACCATTAAAGTAGGTGTGAAATTGTATCTTACTGGGGTTTAAAACCACGTTTGTATTTTCCCAATGATTAAGGGTGTTGAACATTTTTTCACATGCTTATTTGTCATTCATATATCCTCTTCAAATTTATTTCCTAATTCATTGTCTGTTTTTTAATTATGTTGCTTGTCTTCCTGTTAAGAATTCTTTATATATTCTAAATCCAAGTCCTTCATCAGATTCATGGTTTGCAAATCATTTTTTCCAGTCTGTGACACTTCATTTTCTTAATAGTGTCTTACGTGGGTTTTCTTGTGGTGTGTGGGCAGGGGGAAGTTGTTTGTTGGTTGGTTTTTATTTTTTGAGACACAATCTTTTTTTTTTTTTTTTTTTTGAGACGGAGTCTTGCTCTGTTGCCCAGGCTGGAGTGCAGTGGCGCGATCTTGACTCACTGCAAGCTCTGCTTCCTGGGTTCACGCCGTTCTCCTGCCTCAGCCTCCAGAGTAGCTGGGACTACATACAGGCGCCCGCCACAATGCCTGGCTAATTTTTTATGGTTTTTTTTAGTAGAGACTGGGTTTCACTGTGTTAGCCAGGATGGTCTCGATCTCCTGACCTTGTGATTCGCCCGCCTCAGCCTCCCAAAGCGCTGGGACTACAGGCGTGAGCCACCGTGCCCAGCCTTTGAGACACAATCTTGCTGTGTCACCAGGCTGGATTGCAGTAGTGCAGTCTTGGCTCACTGCAACCTCCTCCTCCCAGGCTCAAGCCATTGTCATGCCTCAATGACAAGCCTCCCGAGTAGTTGGGATTACAGATGTGACTGCCACACCCGGTTAATTTTAGTAGAGATGAGGGTTTTGCCATGTTGGCCAGACTGTTCTTGAACTCCTGGCCTCAAGTGATTCGCTCACCTCGGCCTCCCAAAATGCTGCGATTACTGGTGTTAGCTACCACGCCCAGCCTTAAATTTGTTTTTTCTGAAAGTTTATACAGGTTTAGTGCTTGCATTTAGGTCTATGATCTGTTTTGAGTTATTTTTGTATGTGGTGTGACATAAAAGTATAAATATATTTCTTTAATTTTTTTTTTTTTTTTTGAGATGGAGTTTTGCTCTTGTTGCCCAGGCTGGACTGCAGTGGCATGATCTCAGCTCACTGCAACCCCCGTCTCCCAGGTTCAAGTGATTCTCTTGCCTCGGCCTCCCAAGTAGCTGGGATTACAGGCGCCCACCACCACACCTGGCTAACTTTTTGTATTTTGTATTTTTAGTAGAAACGGGGTCCCACCCTGTTGGCCAGGCTGGTCTTGAAATCCTGACGTCAGGTGATCCACCCACCTCAGCCTCCCAAAATGCTGGGATTACAGGGATTACAGGCATGAGCCACCATGCCTGGCCTATTTTTGTAATTTCTTAAATAAAAATTCTAGCCAGGACCACGCACAGTGACTCACACCTGTAATCCCAGCACTTTGGGAGGCTGAAGTGGGTGGATCACGAGGTCAGAAGTTAGAGACCTGCCTGGACAACATGGCAAAACCCCGTTTTGCCAAAAATCTCTGCCAAAAATACAAAAATTAGCTGGGCGTGGTGGCACATTCCCGTAATCCCAGCTACTTGGGAGGCTGAGGGAGGAGAATCACATGACCTCAAGAAGCAGAGTTTACAGTGAGCCAAGATTGCGTCATTGCACTCCAGCCTGGGTGACAGTGAGACTCTGTCTCCAAAACAAAAAAACAAATCTAGCCACGTGCTGGTAAGTGCTTGACAAAATAATGGTTCTTCCGTATCTGCTGAGAACATTTTCAACTTTGGGAGAGACACCCTGTGGTTTTGAGGGAGGAGGCTACCACCCAACCAGCCAGATCCATGACCAAATGAAAGAAATTATTCATAATACCTATATGTTTGTGTAGGACTATCCTATTAGTTATGTCCCTCTAGAGAACCCTGACTAATGTCCAGGCACAGTGGCTCACGCCTGTAATCCCAGCACTTTGGGAGGCAGGGCAGATCACCCTAGGTCAGGAGTTCAAGACCAGCCTGGCCAACATGGTGAAACCCCATCTCTACAAAAAAAAACAACCAAAAACCCATTTCTACAAAAATTAGCCAGGCATGCCGGGCGTGGTGGCTCACGCCTGTAATCCCAACACTTTGGGAGGTCGAGGCGGGTGGATCATGAGGTCAGGAGATCGAGACCATCCTGGCTAACACGGTGAAACCCTGTCTCTACTAAAAAATACAAAAAATTAGCCAGGCGTGGTGGCGGGTGCCTGTAGCCCCAGCTACTCGGGAGGCTGAGGCAGGAGAATGGTGTGAACCCGGGAGGCAGAGCTGGCAGTGAGCCGAGATCGCACCACTGCACTCCAGCCTGGGTGACAGAGCAAGACTCGGTCTCAAAAAAAAAAAAAAAATATATATATATATATATATATATATATATATATGTATATATATGTACACACACACACACACACACACACACACACACACATAAATTACCCTCAAGCCTAAACATCTGCATTATACTGGTAAAAATTTAAATATTTAAACAGTATAACCATAAAGGTGCATGTAGACTTATATACTCAGACACACACACAAACAAGCCCTCTTCACTTTATTTTTTAAAATTTTTATTTATTTGTTTGTTTATTTTGAAACACGGTCTTTCTCTGTCACCCAGGCTGGAGTACAGTGGCACAATCTCGGCTCACTGCAACCTCTGCGTGGGCCACCATACACGGCTAATTTTTTTGCATGTTTTGTAGAGTCAGGGTTTCATCATGTTGCCCAGTCTGATCTCGAACTCCTGGGCTCAAGCGATCTGCCACCCTTGGTCTCCCAAAGTACTGGGATTACAGGCATGGACGCCATTCCCGGTGCCCTCTTAACTTTATTTATTTATTATTTTTTGTTTGGTTTTGGAGGAGTCTCCCTCTGTCGCCTAGACTGGAGTGCAGTGGCATGATCTCGGCTCACTGCAACCTCCACTTCCCAGGTTCAAGCAGTTCTCCTGTCTCAGCCTCCTGAGTAGCTGGGATTACAGGCATGCGCCACCACACCCTGCTAATTTTTGTACTTTTAGTAGAGACAAGGTTTCACCATGTTGGTCAGGCTGGTCTCGAACTCCTGACCTCAGGTGATCCACCTGCCTTGGCCTCCCAAAGTGCTGGGATTACAGGCGTGAGCCACCACGCCTGTCCTAATTTTTGTATTTTTAGTAGAAACGGTTTCACCATGTTAGCCAGGCTGGTCTCGAACGAACTCCTGACCTCAGGTGATCTGCCCACCTCAGCCTCCCAAAATGCTGGGATTATAGGCGTGAGCCACCGTGCCCGGCCTATTTGTTTATTTTTTTACTTGGAGTGTTCTTCAGTGTTACCCCATCTTCACTTTAATATGAATACTTATATCTCTCTGATCTCTGCTTTAAAAAAAACTAACTTTTTATTTGGAATTATTTTATTTATTTTATTGTTTAGAGACAGGGTCTTGCTATGAGGCTGGTCTCAAACTCCTGGCCTCAAGCAATTCTCCCACCTCAGCCTCCCAAGTATCTGGGATTACAGGTTTGAGTATTTGGAATAATTTTAGATTTACAAAGGTTGTGAAGATAATACAGAGAATTTTCGTATACACTTGCCCATCTCCCCTAATGTTATCCTCTCACATTACCATGATACATGTATCAAATATAACAAATTAACATGGATAGCATTATTATAACTAAACTCAGATTTTGTTCACATTTCACCAGTTTTTTCATTAGTCCGTTTTCTATTCCGGGCTCCCCTCCACGATACCATGTTGCATTTAGTCATCTTATTTCCTTAATCTTCTCTGGACTGTGATGGTTTTTTAGTCTTTTCTTGTTTTTCATGACTGTGGCAGTTTTGGAGAATACTGGTGAGAATGTCTCTCAAATTGGGTTTGTCTAATGTATTTTCTCATGATTGGCTGGGCTCGGTGGCCCATGACTGTATTCCAGCACTTCAGGAGGCTGGAGCGGGAGGATCGCTTGAGCCCAGGAGTTCAAAACCAGCCTAGGCAACAAAGCAAGACCCCATCTCCACAAGAAAATAAAAAAGTTAGCTGGGTGTGGTGGTGCATGCCTGTGGTCTCAGCTACACAGGAGGCTGCGACAGGAAGATCCCTTGAGCCCAGGGAGTCAAGGCTGCAGTGAGCCATGTTTGCACCACTGCACTCCAGCCTAGGTGACAGAGCAAAACCGTGTCTCAAAAAAAAAAAAAAAATACGGTGTAGATATGCTGGACAAAGGGGATATTCACATCCCAGGCACAGCAGAGCAGGATGGCACAAAACTTCATCATGCTACTCAGAACAGCGTGCAGTTTAAAACTTAAGAATTGTTGCAGGCACTGTGGCTCACGCCTGTAATCCCAGCACTTTGGGAGACCGAGGCGGGCAGATCACCTGAGGTCGAGAGTTCGAGACCAGCCTGACCAACATGGAGAAACACTGTCTCTACTAAAAATACAAAAAAATACAAAAATCTTTATCTATTTAGATGTTCACTTTGCATAGTTGTAATCCATGTGAATGTAGAATTTGGCATTTTGATTTTGCGACTTAACATTATTTATATACATTTCCCCATTCTTTTACAGAGTTTGCGTATTCAATTTATTTATTTATTTATGAGACAGAGTCTTGCTGTGTCACACAGGCTGGAGTGCAGTGGTGTGATCTCAGCACACTGTAACTTCCCCCTCCCGGGTTCAGGCAATTCCCCTGCCTCAGCCTCCAGAGTAGCTGGGATCACAGGCATGCACTACCACACCTGGCTAATTTTTGTATTTTTAGTAGAGCCGGGGTTTAGCCATGTTGGCCAAGCTGGTTTCAAACTCCTGAGCTCAAGTGATCCACCTACCTCAGCTTCCCAAAGTGCTGGGATTACAGGCATGAGCCACGATGCCCGGTCCATATTCATTTTAATAATTAAAAGACATGGCCGGGTGAGATGACTCACTCCTATAATGCCAGCACTTTGGGAGGCCAACGCAGGAGGATTACTTGAGCCCAGGAGTTCAAGACCAGCCTGGGCAAGATGGCAAAACCTCATCTTTACAAAAAATACAAAAATTAGTTAGGTGTGATGACGTGTGCCTAGAGTCACAACCACTAGGGAGGCTGAAGTGGGAGTATCACCTGAACCAGGGGACATCGAGGCTGCAGTGAGCCATGATTGCGCCACTGCACTCCAGCTTTGGTGATAGAGTGAGACCCTCTCGGGGAAAAAAAAGACATGAAGTTGGTATTAACAATTCTCAGTTTGTAGTATCTGCGCTTGCTCCATGTTTCACTATTTATAATGTTATAAACATTTTTATGCATATAGATTTTAATTATACCTTAGGATAAATTCCTAAGACTGGGATGCTTGAGTTAAAAGGTAAAATCATTGGCCAAGCATGGTGTCTCACACTTGTAATCCCAGCACTTTGGAAGGCCAAGGCGGGCAGATCACCTGAGGTCAGGAGTTCGAGACCAGCCTGGCCAACATGGTGAAACCCCTTTTCTACTAAAAATACAAAAAAAATTAGGCAGGCATGGTGGTGAGTACCTGTAATCCCAGCTACTTGGGAGGCTGAGGCAGGAGAATCACTTGAACCTGGGAAATGGAGGTTACACTGAGCCAAAATTGTGCCATTGCACTCCAGCCTGGGTGACAAGAGCAAGACTCCCTCTCAAAAAAAAAAAAAAAAAAAGGTAGAATCAATCATTTTCATGATTTGTTGTTGCATTCTAGCAGGTTACATGGCAGAAAGTGTATAGCAATCTAAAAGACCAGTAAAAATGTGTAAATATACATATCTATTTCCCTGTAGACTTATCAGTACTTTTTCCCTAATTTAATACAAGAAAGGAGGAAAGGAAAGAAGTCAGTGTGCTAAATTTTTTTTTTTTTTTTTTTTTTTGAGATGGAGTTTCGCTTTTGTTGCCCAGGCTGGAGTGCAATGGCACGGTCTCAGCTCACTGCAACCTCTGCCTCCTGGGTTCAAGTGATTCTCATGCCTTAGCCTCCCAAGTAGCTGGGATTATAGGCACCCACCACCATGCCCAGCTAATTTTTGTACTTTTATTAGAGACGAGTTTTCACTATGTTGGCCAGGCTGGTCTTGAACACCAGATCCCAGGTGATCCACCCACTTCAGCCTCCCAAAGTGTTGGGATTACAGGCATGAGCCACCGCGTCCGGCCTTGTGCTAAATGTTTTTACAACAATTATGTCATTTGCCTCATTTAATTTTCTCCATCAGTCAGTAAGGTAGCTATTACTCCCAGTTGACAGTGCAAGGGCTGGGTGCCATAGGCCCCCGGGATGATGGCCAGAGGGCAGATACCAAAGGTCAAGTCCTGGAATATTGCCCAAGCCAGAGCTGGAAGAAGAAATCCAAAGCAAGTCACGAAGAACAGAGGCCAGAGAAGGAATGGGGGCCAAGGCACTGGATCAAATGAAGGGAACCGAAAGCCTGAGCTGGGTTGGGAAATGGGAGGTCCTTTGGATGAATTCTAAATTCTAAAACACATCTTTTTAGTGACTTTTTTCTTTTTTTTTTTTTTTTTTTTTTTTTTTTTGTAGAGACAGTGTCATTATGTTGCCCAGGCTGGTCTTAAACTTCTGGCCTCAAGTGATCATCCTGCCTCAACCTCTCAAGTGCTGGGATTGAAGACATGAGCTACCATGTCTGGCCTTTAGTAACCTTTTATAGGATCCAGCCAGGGCTTGTGAGTGGAATGGGTTCATTTAAAGATACCAGAAGAGAATAGTTGCTAAGACATTTTAGAGTTCATCAATTTATCACATTTATGTTTAAAAAAATAATAAAGTTGCTACATCTGCATACATATTTACATGATGTACAGAGGAGGTCTAAAAGGATAGGCACTAAACTTAAAAACATTGGATATATCTTTGGGAAAATGAATGGGATTCAGGGCAGGAACAGGATATGAGGGTATTTTATATGTCTGCTTTGTTGGAATACTTATGTGACTTTTTTAAAGGAAAAGTTATTGCTAGAAAAAGCTTTCATTCATTCTTTCATTTATTCAGTTAACATTTATTGGATGCTCACTGTATACTAGGCACTGTGTGAGGATCTGAAGTAAGGTATAGATTCTACCCACTAGAAGAAGTTCACGTTCTGGTATAGTGTTTTTCAAACTTTGACTCAGTCTGTTAGCAAGTTCTGAAATTAAAAATCAGTTGGTCATATTATATTATAACCCATAGTATAAAATAAAATATCTGTGAGGCCATACTTACATAAATAATAATTGAGTAAATAAACAAATGACCTGGGCAACATAGCAAGACCCCGTGTCTACAAAAAATTTTTTTTTAATTAGCAGGGCATGGGCTGGGCCCAGTGACTCACGCCTGTAATCCCAGCATTTTGGGAGGCCGAGGTGGGCGGATCACAAGATCAGGAGTTTGGGGCCAGCCTGGCCTATATGGTGAAACCCTGTCTCTACTAAAAATACAAAAATTAGCCAGGCGTGGTGGCAGGCACCTGTAGTCCCAGCTACTTGGGAGGCTGAGGCAGGAGAATTGCTTGAACCCTGGAGGGTTTAGGCGGAGGTTGCAGTAAGCCAAGATTGCGCCACTGCACTCTGGCCTGGGTGACAGAGCAAGACTCTGTCTCAAAAAAATAAATTAATTAAATAAAATAAAATTAGCAGGGCATGGAGGTACGTGCCTCTAGTCCCAGCTACTCTGGAGGCTGATGTGGGAGGATCACCGGAGGCTGGGAGCTCAAAGCTGCAGTGAGCCATGATTGCACCACTACACTGTAGCCTGGGTGATAGAGCAAGACTCTGTCTCAAAAAAAAAAAAAAAAAAAAAAAAAAAAACAGTGACAGGTCATACTGATAGTATGTGCCTTTGACATGATATGATGCAAATGGCACTTTACCTCTGTGCTCTTTCTCCCAAAAAGACATAACCTCTGTCTAATAATAACATCAGACAAATCCCAATCAGGGGACATTCCTTAAAATACCTGACCAATACTCTTCAAAACTGTCAAGGTATATCTCTGTATATCATGTAAATAATTAAATATATATATTACATTATATATATATATTACATCTCACATTTACATTATATATATTTGTATACTGGGCCACAATGTAAAATCTTTCTCTCACAGTCACAGCTTTAAAAGTCTAAATTGCTTTTCTGGTAGGAGATCTCAACATGCAATAAAATGGTTATTATATAGACTACAGACAGGATTATCAGCTCTTTGTAGTTGGGAAGAGAGGATTGGAATAGGCAGGAAAAGCTTCACCAGGGAAAAGACAACATGTTATCATGATGACACTGGCTAATCCTTATGTAGCACTCGCTGTGTGCCAACTGCCTAGCCTGTTCTAGGAATGTTACATATCCTAACTCCTTTAATTCTCACAACAACCTAGGAAGTGAGTACTGTTACTGTGGCCATTGTACAGAAGACTGAGTTCTAAAAGATTAAGTATCTTGTCCAGGGTCACAAAGCCACTAAGTAGTAGAGCCAAGCAGTCAGGCTCCAGTTCATGCTCTTGACTATTAAACTATACTGTACTAGTACTACATGTTTTCTGGGTGAAAATTTGCTTTTTAACTTTGGGGATTTTATTTAAATCACTTTTCAGGAGGCAAAAAAGAAATGTTTTTGTCTGATATTACCTTAGTGTTTGTGTGTGTATTATTACAATGTTATGATTCTGGGGTACATAAAAAGCATTTAGAGCTAGAAAGAATGTTAATTGTCATCAACTATCATTTTCTTTTTTTTTTTCTTTTTTCTTTTTTCTTTTTTTGTTTTTTTGAGACGGAGTCTCACTCTGTTACCCAGGCTGGAGTGCAGTGGCATGATCTCGACTCACTGCAACCTCAGCCTCCTGGGTTCAAGCGATTCCCCTGCCTCAACCTCCCAAGTAGCTGGGATTACAGGCGCCCACCACCATGCCAGGCTAATTTTTTTTATTTTTAGTAGAGATGAAGTTTCACCATGTTGGCCAGGCTGGTTTTGAACTCCTGACCTCAAGTGATCTGCCCGCCTCGGCCTCCCAAAGTGCTAGGATTACAGGCATGAGCCACTGTGCCCGGCCTTATCATTTTCATTTCTAAATCTACATACTCTACTTTTTGTTTTCTCTTTAGAGACGAGGTCTTGCTCTGTTGCCCAGGCTGGAATGCAGTGGCTATTCACAGGCATGATCATAGTGTACAGCAGCCTCAAACTCTTGGGCTCAACCAATCTTCCAAGTAGCTAATACTATGGATGCATGTACCTGGCTACATACCATACTTGTTTTTTTTCTTTTCTTTCTTTTTTTTTTGAGATGGAGTCTCACTCTTGTCGCCCAGGCTGGAGTGCAGTGGCGCGATCTCAGCTCACTGCAACCTCCGCCTCCTGGGTTCGGGCGATTCTCCTGCCTCAGCCTCCTAAGTAGCTAGGATTACAGGTGTCCGCCACCACACCCAGCTAATCTTTGTACTTTTAGTAGAGATGGGGTTTCGCCATGTTGGCCACACTGGTCTCGAACTCCTGACCTCAGGTTATCCGCCCGCCTTGGCCTTCCAAAGTGCTGGGATTACAGGCGTGAGCCACCGTGCCCAGCCTATACTGTACTTTTTCATGCAGTGATTCGTTTGGCATTTTCCAGATTAATTGTGCAGCGGTGTTAGAAAAGAGAATAATGACTGGATCACTTCCAAAGCTACCTGAAGTTAATGCTCATTAAGCTCAAGTGAACATTTGGCTGGGCACAATGTCACGTCTATAATCCTAGCACTTAGTGAAGCTGAGGCGTGTGAATCACTTAAGTCCAGGAGTTCAAGACTAGACTGGGCAACTGGAAACCCCGCCTTTACAAAATATACAAAAGTTAGCTGGGCATGGTGGTGTGCACCTGTAGTCCCAGCTACTTGGGGGGCTGAGGTGGGAGGATTGCTTGAGCCTGGGAGGTCAAAGTTGCAGTGAGCTGTGATTGTGCCACTACACTCCAGCCTCGGTGACAGAGTAAGACCCTGTCTCAAAAAACAGAACAAAAAAAAGCTTAAGTGAACATTTAATGACACTGATATGTAGAGTGAGGCAATGTGATAGATTAAAGACAGCATTGTAGTATGAGTCAGGGGAGCAGAATTCAGGACTTCACTCTACATCTCTGATCAGTTTTCCCATCTACAAAATGAAGGGAATACACCTCAGGGATGACAAATATAAGGTGCATATGTTGCCACTCCCTGCTTCCTAACCTACAACTGACATGCCATCCTTTTGTTTTGAACCTGGAAGCAGCTCCAGAATCCTTCCCAAAGCAGCTATTAACAGTTAGTCACAGTTGACACCCAAGTTGAAACCCATTTGCCATCTTTGGATATGACAATCTGTAAAGACTCTCCTAGGTCTAACTCCCAGAAATACGCCATCAGAAATATAATACCTGCTCAATTCAATGTGTACTTCGTTCAGCCTCTTCAATCTCTCTTTTCTCTGGGCATTAAGTTTACATCATGTGGTTGCTGGGACATGGATCTGAGCATATTCTACTTTTATGTTGTTTTGGTTTATTTTATTTTTATTTTATTTATTTATTTTTTGGAGACGAAGTCTTGCTCTGTCACCCAGGCTAGAGTACAGTGGTGCAGTCTCGGCTTACTGCAACCTCCGCCTCCTGGGTTCAAGTGATTCTCCTGCCTTAGCCTCTCAAGTAGCTATGATTACAGGCACCCGACAACACGCCTGGCTAATTTTTTTGTATTTTTAGTAGAGAAGGGGATTCACAATGTTAGCCAGGCTGGTCTCGAATTCCTGACCTCAAGTGATCCACCTGCCTCGGCCTCCCAAAGTACTGGGATTACAGGCGTGAGCAACTGCACCCAGCCAGTTGTTTTTTTTTTTTTTAGAGATAGGGTCTCCATCTGTCACCCAGGCTGGAGTGCAGTGGAGTGATCATAGCTCACTGTAGCCTAGAATTCCTGATCTCAGCCTTACTCTCCCAAGTAGCTGGGATTACAGACATGAACCACCACACCCAGCTCTTGTTTTTTCGCTTGTTTGTTTTTTGTTGTAGAGGCATGGTCTCCTATATTGCCTAAGCTGGTCTTCAACTCCTGGCCTCAGGTGATCCGCCCACCTTGGCCTCGCAAAGTGCTGGGATTACAGGCATGAACCACCTCGCCTGGCCCCGTATTCTACTCTGAATCTACCAGTCTCACTAGTCTTAAAAGCATGTTCATGCTAATCCAAGGAAAATGCTTGTTTGATTCCTGCTCTAAGTAACCTTAACCTTCTTTTCCTCTCGGGGTTTTCTAGATTCCCTTGCTAGGGCATCCTAGCACCATTTGTGTAATGCTTTCCCCAGTGAAGTTGCCTTCTTTCTTCTTCCTTGATGTATATACACACATTCACACAAGCTTTTGCCTGTAGCATCTACTGACTTCCTTCCTGGTCATCAAAACATCTTCCCCATCTCTGTGTGTGTATGTGTGTGTGTGTGTGTGTGTGTGTGTGTGTGTGTGTGTGTGTGTGTGTTTAGAGATAGGATCTTGCTCTGTTGCCCAGGCCAGAGTAGGAGTGCAGTGTTGTGATCATAGCTCACCACTGCCTCCAATTCCTGGGCACAAGCAGTCCTCCCACCTCAGCTTCCTAAGTAGCTGGGACTATAGGTACACACCGCGATGCCTGGCTTTTTTTTTTTTTCCTTTTTTTTTAGTAGACATGGCGTCTCACTGTATTTCCCAGGCTGGTCCCCAACTTCTGGGCTCAAGCTATCCTCCCACCATGGCCTCTCAAAGTGCTACAATTATAGGTGTGAGCCACCACACCTGGCCCCTTGTGTGTCGTTAAATGCAAATAGTTTAAAACAGGAAGTTCATACCTGCTCCCTGACCACTCCCAACACTTGTCTAAGCATATTCCCTTCTTACTGTCCTACCTCAGTTTCATAATTATTTCATCTCCCTCCTCCTTGATGATTAATAACCATGATAGGTGCTTACAGCATTCATCTTCAGTTCTCAGATGTGTACTTGTCTCTTGAGTCTCCACATTGTTTATTTTGGCATTGTATATTCTATAGTAAAAATAGTTTACAGTTGTGTTTCTCTAGTTTTTTACCACTGCATCATGCTACAGTTAAAATTGTCTAATGTTTAAGAGCATGCAAGAAAAGAAAGATATATGCAAGTCTTTAGAAGCCTTCATTTACTCTTTTCAAAACTTAACATCCTAATGAATATCAATTCAACATGTCCTTATTTGTCATCCTTGTTCTTGAAGTCAGTGGGAAGGAATGCTGTGCTTGTAAGGTAGAAACCAATTTGATCCCTTGTTGTAACACCTCAGTGAGATCTTTTTACATCTCATTTTACCACTTAATGCAAGCAGGACATTTAAAGGCAAAGGTTTGGCCATGAGTACCTTTGAGACATTTTTTTCCTTTTACCTGGCAGTTGAAATCCAAGGTATAGAATTATAATTTCTAACTATCATAAAGATGGTTTTTAAATAACTTTGCTGAAATGGAGTAAAAGAAAGGATGGTAATCTTAGCTTCCTGGTAACCTGCCGTAATTTACTGACAATAATTTGTGAGGCAAATAAAAGCAGCAGTTAATACCAAATGATTAAACACCACAGAGTATGTTGCAATCCCACCCACAGCCATGAGCTTATCTTCCTGGAAAAGGGAGTGAATGGCCACAGGCCTCCCCCATGGCACAGCTGTTATATCCCCAGCTGAGCTGGTCTAGATAAATGAAGGCAACAACCCCAGGCTTGGCCACACTGGGCCTGGCTCTTTACAGCTTAGTGTGTAGAATTGCTGTAAGATAACCACCTGTCTGATAGGGCTTAGGAAACAAGAAATGAGCTGGGAGGACAAAAAAATATATATATATATATTTATTTATTTATGTATATATATGTATTTATGTATATATGTATATATATTTATATGTATTTATGTATATATGTATATATATTTATGTATATATGTATATATATTTATATATTTATGTATATATATTTTTATATATATAAAACTTAGTCCAAGTATTATATCATAATGTTGTTTCTAGTTGCAGCAAGGAAATAATACAGTTGACTCTTGAACAACACAGGCTTGAACTGCACGGATCCATTTATATGCACCTTTTTTTCCCACCAAACACAGATGGAAAATACAGTGTTTGTGGCATGCAAAACCCCAGTTATATGGGGCTGATTTTTGTGTAGGTAGGTTCCACGGGGCCTACTGTGGGACTTGAGTATGCACGGATTTGGTTATACTCAGGGCAGTCCCGGAAACAATACCCTGCATACCAAGGGTTGACTGTAATGAAAACAGCTCAGTTGTAAAGTGAATATTTACTGTAGACCAGCGCCTTTGCTAAGTGCTGTTTGTGTTACCTATCTCACTCTCACACCTCAGAGGTAGCCATCCCCCTGGGGTTCAAAAAACCCAAGCAACTTAAGCGTCACATGGCAGGTACGTGGCAAAGCCAAGACTTGAGCCAGGTCTGTCTTACTCAAGTCTGAGCTTTTAAGCAATGCCTTCTCCTGTCTCCTCAAGCAGGCAAAATCCCCAAAGAAAAAAATACTTGCTGGTTTCAGCTTGACTTAGCTGCTTAGCTCAGTGCATAGTGGGACCCACCCTCTATTGTGGTGTTCCCCAGCCTCTGTATTTGCTGGGATTCTGATTAGTCCAAGAACCACTCATTCACCAAAGGTCCTGTTCTTCCATGCAATCTGCTTATTTTGCTAGATGCATGGGATGACACATGAATAAAGGACATTCAGGCATCTAGTGAAATATGGAGAATCATAAAGGAGAGTCTTGACTCCACTTTTTTTTTTTCTTTTTGAGACAGAGTCTTGCTCTGTCACCCAGGCTGCAGTGCAGTGGCACGATCTCGGTGCACTTCAACCTCCGCCTCCCGGGTTCAAACAATCCTCCTGCCTCAGCCTCCTGAGTAGCTGGGACTACAGGTGCATGCCACCACACCCAGATAATTTTTTTGTATTTTAGTAGAGACCGAGTTTCACCATGAGGTCTGGAACTCCTGACCTCAAATGATCCACTTGCCTCAGCCTCCCAAAGTGCTGGGATTACAGGCATGAGCTACTGTGTCTGGCCTAATTTTGGTATTTTTTAGTAGAGAGTGGGGTTTTACCATGTTGGCCAGGCTGGTCTCAAACCCCTGACCTCAGGTGATCTGCCCACCTCAGCCTCCCAAAGTGCTGGGATTACCGGCGTGAGCCACCGCTTGCCTGGGCAGTCAACTCTACCCTTCAACAAGCATGGATGCCTCATCAAACAGATAATTAATGTTTTGTGCTCAAAGAGGCTGTGAAGTAGATCAAGCCCTGTAAATCAGCCTCTGACTGGTATTCTGACAGCCGAGCATTTAGCAAACTGACTCTTAACAGACATCTAAGGAACTGTTGCTAAGATCGCTAGCTGCAAATGCTTACCTGGGATGACCTAGCCCTGTAATAGTCTCCCCCGCTTTCAGTCTCCTAAGCAGCAGATTGGGAAACTGGTCCCTGCTAAAAGTGACACCTAATATTTGTGAATCAGTTGCAAGTATACATTAAAATCAATTTTTTTTTTTTTTGAGATGGAGTCTCGCTCTGTCACCAGGCTGGAGTGCAGTGGTGCGATGTCAGCTCACTGCAATCTCTGCCTCCCGGGTTCAAGTGATTCTCCTGTCTCAGCCTCCTGAGTAGCTGGGACTACAGGTGCATGCCACCACACCCAGCTAATTTTGTATTTTTAGTAGAGACAGGGTTTCACCATGTTGGTTAGGATGGTCTCAATCTCCTGACCTCATGATCCGCCCGCCTCGGCCTCCCAAATTCGGTGCTGGGATTACAGGCATGAGCCACCACACCTGGCTGTAAAATCGCATTTTTAACAAAGATTTCAGATTGATCTATATGCCACATTTATTCTACATCATTTCTCATTTATTCTAGACACAAATTTAATGTTTTGTATATAGCAAATAGTGATAAAGTGAATGGGAAGATTTTTTTAATCCTGGAGGTTTATTTATTTATTTATTTACTGAGACAGAGTTTAGCTCTTGTCACCCAGGCTGGAGTACAATGGCACAATCTTGGCTCACTGCAAACTCCACCTCCCAGGTTCAAGTGATTCTCCTGCCTCAGGCTCCCAAGTAGCTGGGATTACAGGCGCCCACCACCATGTCCAGCTAATTTTTGTATTTTTAGTAGAGATAGGGTTTCACCATGTTGACCAGGCTGTTCTTAAACTCCTGACCTCAGGCAGTCCGCCCTCCTCGGCCTCCCAAAGCACTGGGATTACAGGCATGAGCCACTGCACCCGGCCAGGTCTATTTATTTTTAAAGGACCTTAGGAATCACCCTCCTCAGGGTTCTCAACCTACAGCCCAGGATAGGTGTCAGGAAAGTCTGTGGATGTCCTGAGGTTCTTTTGCAGCATTTAAGTACATACCTCCTTGCACATTTTTCTGTAAAAGATTCATTAGCTTTCTTTGTATTCTCAGAGGGGTCTGTGTTCTAGTTTAATATACTTGCATTAACAGATGGCGATGCTAAAGTTAATGAAATCAAATGGATTCTCTGATAGCACACAGTAATAGTTCACTAGGAATTGGCCAGGCGCGGTGGCTCATGCCTGTAATCCCAGCACTGTGGGAGGCCAAGGTAGGCGGATCACGAGGTCAGGAGATCAAGACCATCCTGGCTAACACGGTGAAACCCTGTCTCTACTGAAAATACAAAAAATTATCTGGGTGTGGTGGTGGGCACCCGTAGTCCCAGCTACTCGGGAGGCTGAGGTAGGAGAATGGCATGAACCCGGGAGGCGGAGCTTGCAGTGAGCCGAGATTACGCCACTGCATTCCAGCCTGGGGGACAGAGCACGAGACTCCGTTTCCAAAAAAAAAAAAAATCACTAGGAATTTATGTTATAAGCAAATATTGGCTGGAGGCAGTGGCTCATGCCTATAATCCCAGCACTTGGAAGGCTAAGGCAGGAGGACCCCTTGAGGCCAGGAGTTCAAGACCAGCCTGAGCAAAATAGTGAGACCCCCATCTCTACAAAAATAAAAATAAAGGCCGAGCGCAGTGACTCATGCCTGTAATCCCAGCACTTTGAGAGGCTGAGGCGGGCAGATCACTTGAGGTCAGGAGTTCGAGACCAGCCTGGACAACATGGTGAAACCCATCTCTGCTAAAAATACAAAAATCAGCAAGGCATGGTGGCAGGCACCTGTAATCTTAGCTACTCAGGAGGTCGAGGCTGGAGAATCGCTTGAACCCAGGAGGCAGAGGTTGCAGTGAACTGAGATCGACTGCACCATTGCACTCCAGCCTGGGTGACAGAGTGAGACTCTGTCTCAAAAATAAAAATAAATAAAAGTAAAAATTAGCTGGGCATAGTGACATGTATCTGTAGTCCCAGCTACTCCCAGCTACTTGAGAAACTGAGGCTAGAGGATCACTTGAGCCTAGGAGTTCAAGGCTATAGTGAGCCATGATTGTACCACTGTACTCCAGCCTGGGCCAGTATCCTCAGGACTGTTAAAGTCATGAAAAACGAGGAAGACTGAGAAACTGTCCCAGACCAGAACAGACTAAAGCAACATGACAATTAAATGCACTATAGTATCCTGGATGGGATTCAGGAACAAAAAGAGGACATTAGTGGAAGAATCGATGAACTCTAAATAAAGTCTGGAGTTAATAATAATGTACTAATATTGGTTTCTTAGTTTTGGCAAATGTACCATGGTAATGTGAGATGCTAACAATGGCCATCTTTGCAACTTTACTATAAATCTAAAATTTCAAATGTTAAAGTTCATTTAAGAACTATTACTCATCTTAGTTTTTTGCACTGGTTCTCACAGATATCACAAAACGTGAATACAATATTGTCAGCTGAGCCAGACCAGCCAGCTCTGGTGGTCATGATGAAAGAAGGACTGGCCATTGATGAATATTATGCTCACTTGCATTGATTTTTCCAAAACCTATGTTGAGTGTAAGAGAAACAAATATGAGATTCAATACAACTGAGTTAGACATAACAGCACAAGCATGAACCCCTGAATGAGGAGGATGAGTTAGGGGTGTCATGGATCCATGCATGTGCTTGGCCTTTGAACCGCAGCCCACCTCTGACACAAAGTCATGCAGTGACTTTGGGTATCTTCTTTTCTTTTTCTTTTTTTTTAAGAGTCTTGCTCTGTCACCCAGGCTGGAGTGCAGTGGCACAATCTCAGCTCACTATCACCTCCACCTCCCGGGCTCAAGAGATTCTCCTCCCTTAGCTGGAGTACAGTGGCACCATTTCAGCTCACTGCAACCTCCGCCTCCCGGATTCAAGCAATTCTCCTGCCTCAGCCTTCTGAGTAGCTGGGATTACAGGTGTGCACCACCATGCCTAGTTAATTTTTGTATTTTTACTAGAGCCAAGGATTCACCATATTGGCCAGGCTGGTCTTGAACTCCTGACCTCAAATGATCCGTCTGTGTTGGCCTCCCAAAATGCTGGGATTACAGGCATGAGCCACCGCGCCTGACCAAGTGTCTTTATTTCTAAACTTTAACCTGCTTGACCTTAAAGTAAGGATAACAGACTTGATAAGGTGGCTCACGCCCGTAATCCCAACACTTTGGGAGGCCAAAGCAGGAGGATCACTTGAGCCTAAGTGTTCAAGAACGGCTGGCAATATAGTGAAACCTCATCTCTACAAAAAGTTAAAAAATTAGCTGGACGTGATGGTGCATGCCTATAATCCTAGCTATTCAGGAGGCTGAGGTGGGGAGATCACTTGAGTCCAGAGGCAGAAGCTGCAGTAAGCTGAGATTGCACCACTGCACTCCAGCCTGGGTGACAGAGCGAGGCCCTATCTCAAAAATAAAGTAAGGATAACAGAAGTACCTACCTCAAACAATTGTGAGAATTGCTCAGCACAGCACCTTACAGAGCCTGTTATAGGGCCTGGAGGAATTTGATAAATTGATATCACTACTATTATTTCCACCACTAAGGAAAGAAAAGCTTTACTATAGATCTTGTCTCCATTGCCCATAAAATAAAGCCCAAATTCCTTAGCATGACTTCTAAAGCCAATTATATCATATGTGAGTAGCTTAATTTCCTGCAACTATTCTTCCCATGCCCTGAACTGCAGCCCCAGTGAACTTTCCAGAGCTTTCATACCTGTTTTCTCTGCCTCAGTCTTCCCCTGTAGCTCATTCTTCACGACCTCACATCAGTGCCCCTTCTCCGGGAAGCAGTTCTTCACTCTCCTGTGATGTTCCTTGTCCCTCCCTTCTGTACACCTATGGAAGCGGACCTGTCCCAGTTATAACTCATCACCTTGTACTGCCGTTGTTTACCTACCTAGCACCTTTGCTAGATGTAAAAATCAGAAGATCAGAAGTCCTTACTATTTCATCTTCACATTCTTCTGGTGCTTGACACATCGTTGTTACCCAGCAAAATGAATGAGTAAATTGAATGAATAGAAACAGAAGTACTGCAGTTGCTCAGAATTATTTTGGAGAATAACTGATGAAAATTTATCATTGGTTTTTATTTTTTTATTTTATTTTATTTATTTATGTATTTTTTTGAGACAGGGTTTTGCTCTGTTGCCCAGGCTGGAGTGCAGTGGCGCAATCTCGGCTCACTGCAAGCTCCGCCTCCGGGGTTCACACCATTCCCCTGCCTCAGCCTTTCAAGTAGTTGGAACTACAGGCCCCCGCCACCACGCCCAGCTAATTTTTTGTATTTTTAGTAGAGACAGGGTTTCACCATGTTATCCAGGATGGTCTCGATCTCCTGACCTTGTGATCCACCTGCCTCGGCCTCCCAAAGTGCTGGAATTACAGGCATGAGCCACCACACCCGGCCTGGTTTTTATTTATTAAAACCTCAATTAGTTCATAGGAATAAAGACTGATATTATCAGATGATATTTACTACTACTTTATTTACTGTTTATCTATAAAAACATTTAATATAATTATTTGAGAAATTTGATCTTGCCTTTCTGGTTTTGTTTGTTTTTGTCTTCAAGGTTCCAGTTACAGCCATCCCTTGTCATAACTTTTGAACTGTATTTGGAAAAATACTGGCCAGGAAAGAAAAATGATAAAATTTTTCCTCATGGTGAATAAACAAGGGCAGACTCGACTTTCTAAGTACTATGAACATGTGGATATTAATAAGCGTACACTTCTGGAAACAGAAGTCATAAAGAGCTGTCTCTCTCGATCCAATGAACAAGTAAGTCTCTGGTTCTCTCTTTTATCTCTGCATTCAACTCAGCCTTGGCAGATTTGTTATTAGTGAGTCTCAGGGGCCATCATTTTCTTTGAGCTATATTCCTTCAACAGCTACTAAAGAAAATAAGTGATGTGAAATGAAAAACTGAAAGAAGCATAGCTCTCTTTACATCCCTTTAAGAAAACAAAAACAAGGAAAACCTGGAAGAATCTTGGCTTCTTATTTAAGTCAGCATATTTGTCTCAATGCACCTTGGAAACGACAGTAAAATTTCCTTCTGCTAATAGACACACCTCTTCTTTTTTCATTCCTATGAATTCAGCCCTTGAAACTCTCATGAGTGCCTGTATCAGGTAGCTTTCTATAAGCCAAAAAATGAAGATCAGATGATTGGTGTAGAGGTGAATACTGAAGACCCATTTTGTGCCAGAGGATAATAATATTATTCTCAAATCGGGTGGTTTTATTCTGCTTATTATTTTTGTAAATATACCACCAATATAATACTGAAACCAGTGATTTAAAAACAAAACAAATTTGATTATCTAGGTGGGGAAAACGGAAATTAAGAATTCATGTGAAACAACAAATTTATCCATCTTCCAAAATGGAGGTTAAGGCTGGGTGCAATGGCGCACGCCTGTAATCCCAGCACTTTGGGAGGCTGAAGCGGGTGGATCACTAGAGGTCAGAAGTTCAAGACCAGCCTGGCCAGCATGGTGAAAAATTAGCTGGGCGTAATTGTGCACAACTGTAGTCCCAGCTACTGGGGAGGCCGAGGCAGGATTGTTTGAACATGGGAGGTGAAGGTTGCAGTGAGCCAAGATTGCTCCATTGCTCTCCAGCCTGAGCGACAAGAGCAAAACTCTGTCTCAAAAAAAAAAAAAAGGAGGTTAAATAGGAATTTTTAAAACTGCGTCCTTTTTTTTTTAATTTAATAGTTTTTTTTTATTATACTTTTAAGTTCTAGGGTACATGTGGACAACATGCAGGTTTGTTACATATGTATACATGTGCCATGTTGGTGTGCTGTACCCGTTAACTCGTCATTTACATTAGGTATATCTCCTAATGCTATCCCTTCCCCCTCCCCCCACCCTACCACAGGCCCCGGTTTGTGATGTCCCCCACCCTGTGTCCAAGTGTTCTCATTGTTCAATTCCCACCTATGAGTGAGAACAATTTTTTTTTTTTTTTTGAGATGGAGTCTTGCTTTGTCACCCAGGCTGGAGTGCAGTGATGCCATCTTGGCTCACTGTAACCAACCTCCACTTCCCGGGTTCAAGCGATTCTCCCGCCTCAGCCTCCTGAGTAGCTGGGATTACAGGCTCGTGCCACCACACCCAGCTTATTTTTGTATTTTTAGTAGAGATGGGGTTTCACCATGTTGGTCAGGCTGGTCTCGAACTCCTGACCTCAAGTGATCTGCCTGCCTCGGCCTCCTAAAGTGCTGGAATTACAGGCATGAGCCACCGTGCCAGGCCAAAAACTGAGTCCATTTTGCAAAGAATTTTTTCCCTAGCTCATACCTTGAACACAATATTTTTTTTTTTTGAGACAGAGTTTTGCTCTTGCCCAGGCTGGAGTGCAACGGCACGATCTTGGCTTACCACAACATCCACCTCCCAGGTTCAAGCGATTCTCCTGCCTCAGCCTCCCAGGTAGCTGGGATTACAGGCATGTGCCACAACACCCGGCTAATTTTGTATTTTTAGTAGAGACAGGGTTTCCCCATGTTGGTCAGGCTGGTCTTGAAATCCTGACCTCAGGTGAGCCACCCGCCTTGGCCTCCTAAAGTGCTGGGATTACAGGCATGAGCCACCACGCCCGGCCCCTTGAACAAAATTTTTATGAAGAATTTTATTTAAAGAATTACTTAATCCGGTCCTAAACTTGCCAAATCTGTTGGAAATTACTCAACAACTGAGGGAAAATCAGAAAACTTGTTTAACTTGTGCATTAATTTTGTCAGTTCTCCATTTCACTGCATAATGGGCTGCCTGTGAGCACCAGTGCTAAATCATCAAATATTAAACCACATCAGTGCTCAGAAATAACATGGTACAAATGTGTCTCCCTTGGCATCTCAACTGATTTTTCAGTTGGGACATCACAGAGTTCCTCTTTGAATTACTACTTTGGCCTGCCATGGCACACACTGTTTCATGTTGTCAGACGGAAACAGAAACTGTTAAAGGGCTGTGTTAATAGCCACATACTTTAAGTAAAAGTAAATACTCTTAGAAGCATTCCTGTTTGAATCTTTCTGCAGAATGCAGGCACTCAATTTCAAACATCATTTTCACTGATAGGTTACCCTTTGAAATGAAAGCTTTGGAATGAATATACTGTTAGATACTTTTGATGCATTCTGAATTATTTTAGATTTTAAAAGGAGCCCACTGGGCTTTTGGCATAATCAGGCACCAAAGTAGCATAATAGCAGCTTAGTTTTTATCCATAGAGGTGCTTTGATACTTTTTTTTTTAATGTCAGAAACTCCTGAGAAGCTTTGAAAAATGTTCCTCAGTTCTTTCAAAAAGGTTGTGTTTCCTTGAAAGATCCAGCTGAGCAGAGATCCCACTGGCTCTACAGTGAGCCAAACGCTGCAGAATGCTTCTGTACTCATTACCTTTATCCTAATTTTAAATAAAAGCCTAAATTCCTCCAGATGGCTTTCCCATAGAGGAATTTCCATGGTCAAAATTTGCAGCTTCATTCCCAGGTGCATCCGGGCACCTAAGAGCAACACATCCAGCACACCCTAAAATCCAGAAGAAGAGTAACCTTGTGCTTCTGCCCACTCTCCACCTCCCATCCACTCAGCGCCTTCCCATAACTCTTTGTACAAAGGTGATAGGAAAGGGATGAATGAGAAGGGAGTTTTTCCATGTGTCAGTGGTGGCAGGCTAGTTATTAATTCATATGAAGCAATGTTTACAATGCGAGATTTTGTCTAGCATCTGCCACAAAGAAGGCATCTTTAAATAATTTATAAAATAATCTACATGGATTCTTTTCATGAGTCTAGGAAAAAGCAACCAATTTTTGTTTGTTTGTACCATGTATTTGGCTCCTCAATGACTATTAAATAGTACAAAACTGAGAATATCTAATTGCTTCCAAAAAAATCTTGGGGAGGTGAGAAGAAGAAAATCTTTATCGTGTTTGCTTATTTTCGCTTCAGAGGCACTTTAAAATGCTGATTATGCATTACCTTTGCCTGCTGACTTCCACGCAGAGCAAAGCAAAGGAACAAGAAGGAGTGTAAGTGGGAACCCATGTGAACCCTCAGACTTTTTTCCAATACTTCTCCAGTTTCCACTAGAGATGCTTCCAAGTGGTCCCCTGAATATTGTGAGAAGGTCACCAATGGTTGTGTAACATCTTAATATTCTATATTTCTAGGAATGTTTGTCGGGTAAATCAGAACCTAGAACTTACGCATGTCATTTTAAAGAACTCTCTCTCAGCCACAGGAATTAATATCTCATTGTGTTTTGTCTAGTGCTCTTTCATTGAATATAAGGATTTTAAGCTGATATATCGGCAGTATGCAGCTCTCTTCATTGTGGTTGGAGTTAATGACACTGAGGTAAGATAATAGAAGAGCCCTTGGAAAATGCAAGAATTTCTTTCTACTTGCCTCCCTAAGAATTATGACTCTCTTGATTTTTTTTAGACAGAATTTTGCCCTGTCACCAGTCTGGAGTGCCGTGGCATGATCTCAGCTCACTGCAACCTCCACCTCCCAGGTTGAAGCGATTCCCCTGCCTCAGCCTCCCAAGTAGCTGGGATTACAGGCATGTGCCACCACACCCGGCTAATTTTTTGTATTTAGTAGAGATGGGGTTTCACCATCGAGGCCAAGATGGTCTCGATCTCCTGACCTCATGATCCGCCTGCCTCAGACTCCCAATTTATTTTTATTTTTATTTTTTTAAGAGACAGGCTAGAGTGCAATGGCACAGTCATAGCTCACTGCAGCCTTGAATTCCTGGGTTCAAGCAGTCTTCCCATCTCAGCCACCTGACTAGCTGGGACTGCAGGCTCACACTCCCAAGCCCAACTTATTTTTTTGCTTTTATTTTCTTTTAGAGATGGGATCTCACTGTATTGCCCAGGTTGGCCTAGAACTCCTGACTTCAAGCGATCTTCCTGGCTTAGCCTCCCAAGTAGCTGGGAATACAGGCACAAGCCACTGTGCCTGGCTAGGATCTTGGTTTCTAGCAAGGATGAGGAAAGCTGTGTGGAAGAGAAATATCTAGGATGTTTCTTGGATTAGATCAGGAGCTTGCAAAGTAGAGAAGCCCCAAACCACAGAATGCCTTTTTCTGTTGTAAGCAATACCAGTGCCCTGCCCTTGTTCTCTTGAACAATGAAGCAGGTCAGATAAGTATAGAGGCCGACTGATTTTGGCATTAAACATGGGCTGAGGCCGGGCGCGGTGGCCCATGCCTGAAATCCCAGCACTTTGGGAGGCAGAGGTGGGCAGATCATGAGGTCAGGAGATCGAGACCATCCTGGCTAATACAGTGAAACCCCGTCTCTACTAAAAATACAAAAAATTAGCTGGGCGTGGTGGCGGGCGCCTGTAGTCCCAGCTACTCGGGAGGCTGAGGCAGGAGAATGGTGTGAACCCAGGAGGCAGAGCTTGCAGTGAGCCGAGATTGCGCCACTGGACTCCAGCCTGGGCGACAGAGTGAGACTCCATCTCAAAAAAAAAAGGGCTGATATATCAAAAGCCAGAGAAAACTCTAAAGATGATTGTATGGCAGTTACATCACCCCAAATTTATTTAGTTCACCCCTTCACAAATGCCACTCCCAAATCAATAGCACTTATGGCCATGGAATCCCTGAAAGGATGTTTTAGATCTAACTGAAATATTGATTTGTTGTTTTTTATCCATGAACCAAACTTTGAAGTGGTTTTCCCATCTTCACAGATAGAAAAATGATGGCATGAAGAGCCTGAAAAATTGCTTAAGCCAATTTGTGGTAAAGTCAGGAAATAGATCTAAGAACTCTAAGTGCTAGACACTAAGATTTTAATCTGGCTAGATTCATCATGGACTTCAAAAAAAAGAAAAAAAGATTCTTTTGGAGATGGAATCTCACCCTGTCACCAGGCTGGAGTGCAATGGCATGATCTCGGCTCACTGCAACCCCTGCCTCCTGGGTTCAAGCGATTCTCCTGCCTCAGCCTCCTGAGTAGCTAGGACTACAGGC
Organism: Homo sapiens; assembly: GCF_000001405.40. NCBI lineage: Eukaryota > Metazoa > Chordata > Mammalia > Primates > Hominidae > Homo > Homo sapiens. The sequence goes on from NC_000014.9 coordinate 31,071,566, forward strand.
ACCCACCATCACGCCCAGCTAATTTTTGTATTCTTAGTAGAGACAGGGTTTCACCTTTTGGCCAGGATGGTCTCGATCTCCTGACCTCATGATCCACCTCCCTCAGCCTCCCAAAGTGCTGGGATTACAGGCGTGAGCCACCGCACCCGGCCTAAATTTTTTAAGACATGGTCTCTCTCCATCACCCAGGCTAGAATGCAGTGGCACCTTCACGTCTCACTGCAGCCTTGACCTCCTGGCCTGAAGTGATCCTTCCACCTCAGCCTCACAATCCCGAGTACCTAAGACTACAGGCGCACACCAAGATACCTGGATATTTTTACTTTTATTTATTTATTTATTTATTTATTTATTTGATTTTTTTTGGGGGGGTGGGGATGGAGTCTCGCTATGTCACTCAGGTTGGAGTACAGTGGCACAATCTTGGCTCACTTCAATCTCAGCCTCCCAGGTTCAAGTGATCCTCCTAGGTTCAAGCAATTCTCCTGCCTCAGCCTCCCACGTAGCTGGGATTACAAGCATGTGCCACCATGCCCAGCTAATTTTTGTATTTTTAGTAGAGACGAGGTTTCACTATGTTGGCCAGGCTGGTCTCAAGCTCCTGACCTCAAGTGATCTACGCATCTCAGCCTCCCAAAGTGCTGGGATTACAGACATGAGCCATTACGCCAAGCCTATTTTTTTATTTTTTGTAGAGAAGAGGTCTCATTATGTTGGTGAGGCTGGTCTTCAACTCCTGGGCTCAAGTGATCCTCCCACCTCGGCCTCCCAAAGTGGTGGGGATTACAGGTGTGAGCCATCACGCATGGCCTTTTTGTTTTTTAAGATAGGACCTCGCTCTGTTTCCCAGGCGGGAGTACAGTGGTGCCATCATAGCTCACTGCAGCCTGGAACTCCTGGGGTCAAGCCATCCTCCTGCCTCAGTCTCGCAAGTAGCTGAGACTACAGGCATGCACCACCACACCTGGCTAGTTTTTAAGTTTTTTATGGAGACAGAGTCTCACTATATTGCCTAGGCTGGTCCTGAACTCCTGGCCCCAAGCCATCCTCTCACCTTGGCCTCCCAAAGTGCTAGGATTACGGATATGAACCATCACATCTGGCCAAAAAAAATCCTAGAAGTTAAGGTTTATCTACATTTCCCCCATTGATAAACATCTTTTAAACAAGTGAGTGATAGAACTGTTCTGAATATTTGTCAGTGGGAGGCTACTTTCCTCACATTATCGGTTCACTAAGCCACATGCTCTAAAACCTGGACACTGACTGGGAAGTTCTATGTCTGGTTTACATGGGAAGCGACACTAAAATTGATTGTACCTTTCTTCTTTTATTGTAGAACGAGATGGCTATTTATGAATTCATTCATAACTTTGTGGAAGTTTTAGATGAGTATTTCAGCCGAGTGGTAAGTCTAATGGCTAAAAAATGGTTTACTTCCTCAACCCAGTTTCCCAGAAATTGAGTCTCTTTGGATCTATATCAAGAACATGTGTTAATACAGAGTTTTAATAAGTAAAAGTTAAAACTTAAGTGATGCCAAATTTTCTTTATCTTTCCTTCTGGTTTATCCAAAGTGTTACAAGCCTATACATGCCTGAGATCTTTATAAAGAACTGGAAAAAAAAAAAAAAACCTCTTATAGCAGGGCGCGATGGCTCACGCCTGTAATCCCAGCACTTTGGGAGGCTAAGGTGGGCAGATCACAAGGTCAGGAGATGGAGACCATCCTGGCTAATACGGTGAAACCCCGTCTCTACTAAAAATACAAAAAATTAGCTGGGCGTGGTGGTGGGCGCCTGTAGTCCCAGCTACTCCGGAGGCTGAGGCAGGAGAATGGCGTGAACCCGGGAGGCGGAGCTTGCAGTGAGCCGAGATCCCGCCACTGCACTCCAGCCTGGGCAACAGAGCGAGACTCCGTCTCAGAAAAAAAAAAAACCCTCTTATTTGTTTTCTCCCAATTATGAGCTTTTGCTATCTGACTTGCCCCCTCTTTTCTTCTTCCCTCTGCTTTCTTTTTTTATTTTTTATTATTTATTTATTTTTTTATTTTTTGAGACAGAGTTTCGCTCTTGTTGCCCAGGCTGGAGTGCAGTGACGCGATCTCAGCTCACTGCAAGCCGTGCCACCACGCCCAGCTAATTTTGTATTTTTAGCAGAGATGGGGTTTCTCCATGTTGGTCAGGCAGGTCTCAAACTCCCCACCTCAGGTGATCCACCCGCCCGCCTCGGCCTCCCAAAGTGCTGGGATTACAGGCGTGAGCCACCGTGCCTGGCCCCCTCTGCCTTATTTCCTAAGACACCAGGATGCTTTTCACTTTAAGAATCATTCCCATCCAAACCCTTGTTTTGAGGGTCAAAAGTCAATTCTCCTTAGGGAATATGTGAGCTCCTTTCCGAAAATCTTTTTAAAGCCATTTTAATAGCTATATTGAAATATATTTTATGTATAATACAGTTCACCCATTTAAAGTGTGTAATTGGCCGGGTGTGGCTGACGCCTGTAATCCCAGCACTTTGGGAGGCCGAGGTGGGTAGATCATGAGGTCAGGAGTTGAAGACCAGGCTGGCCAAAATGGTGAAACCCTGTCTCTACTAAAAATACAAAAAATTAGTTGGGCATGGTGGCACCTGCCTGTAATCCCAGCTCCTCGGAAGGCTGAGGCAGAGAATAGCTTGAACCCAGGAGGCAGAGGTTGCAGTGAGCCAACATCCCACCACTGCACTCCAGCCTTAGTGACAGGGCGAGACTCCGTCTCAAATAAATAAATAAATAAATAAATAAATAAATAAATAAATAAAGTAAGCTGGGCGCGGTGGCTGACGCCTGTAATCTCAGCACTTTGAGAGGCCGAGGCAGGCCGATCATGAGGTCAGGAGATCGAGACCACCCTGGCTAACACGGTGAAACCCTGTCTCCATCCTGGCTATCACGGTGAAACCTGTTTCTACTAACCATACAAAAAATTAGCCAGGCATGGTGGCGGGCGCCTGTAGTACCAGCTACTCAGGAGGCTGAATGGCGTGAACCTGGGAGGCAGAGCTTGCAGTGAGCTGAGATCACGCCACTGCACTCCAGCCTGGGCGACAGAGCAAGACTCCGTCTCAAATAAATAAATAAATAAAGTAAGTGTATAATCAAGCTGGGTGTGGAGGCAAGCATCTCTAGTGACAGATACTCAGGAGGATGAGGTGGGAGGATGTTAGGAAATTTCATCACCTGACAAAGAAACGTACCCATTAGCATTTCCCCCTCATTATCCCCTCCACCCACACCAGGTAACCAGTGATCTATCTTTTTTTCTTGGTAAGTTTTTTATTTTTATTTTTTATATTGATACATAAGAGATGTAGATATTTTCAGAATACTTGTGATAATTTGATACATTCATATAATGTATAAAAACCAAATCAGGATAATTAGGATCTCTATCACCTTAAATATTTATGTCTTCTTTATGCTAGGAACATTTGAATTATTCTCTTAGCTATTTTGAAATATACAATAGATTATTATTAACCATAGTCACCCTACTGATTTATCAAACACTAGGTCTTATTTCTTCTATCTAATTGCATATTTGCACCCATTAATCTACCTCTCTTCATTTCCTCTTTTCCTCTTCCTCTCCCAGCTTTTGGTAACCACCAATTTACTGTCTATCTTCATGATATCTACTTTTTTACTTCCCACATGAATGAGAACATGTGATATTTGTCTTTCGGTGCCTGGCTTATTTCACTGAACATAATGACCTTCAGTTCCATACATGTTTCTGCAAATGATAGGGTTTTATTCTTTTTTATGGCTGAATAGTATTCCATTGTGTATATATACCGTATTTTCTTTATCCATTCATCTATTGGTGGGTGCTTTGGTTGATTCCATATTTTGGCTATTGTGGACAGTGCTACAATAAACATTGGACTGCAGACATCTCTTAATGTATTGATTTCCTTTCTTTTGGATATATACCTAATCTACTTTCTGTGTCTATAGATTTGTCTGTTCTAGATATTTCATATAAATAGAATTGTACAACATGTGATTTTTGTGTGACTGGCTTCTTTCATTGAGTGTAGTGTTTTCAAGATCCATCCATGTTATAGCATATATCAGTACTTCTTTCCTTTTTCTTGCCAGATGATATTCCATTGTATGGATGGATATACCAATTTTTTTTTTTTTTTGAGACGGAGTGTCGCTGTTGTTGCCCAGGCTGGAGTGCAATGGCGTGCTCTCAGCTCACCACAACCTCCACCTCCCAGGTTCAAGCAATTCTCCTGCCTCAGCCTCTCGAGTAGCTGGGATTACAGGCATGCACCACCATGCCCAGCTAATTTTGTATTTTTAGTAGAGACGGGGTTTCTCCATGTTGAGGCTGGTCTCAAACTCCTGACCTCAGGTGATCCGCCTGCCTCGGCCTCCCAAAGTGCTGGGATTACAGGCGTGAGCCGTCACGCCTGGCCGGATATACCAAATTTTTTTATCCATTCATCAGTTGATGGACATTTGAGTTATTTCCAGTTTTTGGCTACTGTAAATAATGCTCATATGAACATTCATGGATGCGTTTTTGCATAGAACCATGCTTTCAGTTCTCTTGGACTACCTAGGAGCAGAATGTGGTAACTCCATGTTTAACATTTTGATGAACTGCCAAACTGTTTTCCAAAGTGTTGGTGTGATTCAAATTCCCATCAGGAGTGCATGAGGGTTTCAATTTCTCCACATCCTCACCAAAACTTGTTATTGTCTGTCTTTTATATGATAGCCATCCCAGTAGATGTAAAGTGGTATAGAGGCCAATGAACTGTAGTTGTCATTTGTGTTTCACTAATGGATAAGGATGTTGAGCATCTTTTCATATGTTTATTAGCCATTTGTCTATCTTCTTGGGAGAAATGTCTGCTCAAATCCTTTGCCCATTTTTACATTGCATTATTTGTTATCTTATTGTTGAGTTGCAGGAGTTCTTTATATATTCTGAATACAAGTCCCTTATCAGATATATGATTTGAAAATATTTTCTCCCATTCCTTTGTAGATGTTCAATTGTTCCAACATCATTTGTTCAAAAGACTGTTCTTTTCCCCCAATGAATTGTCTTGGCCCCCTTATCAGTAAATCAATTGGCCATAAATGTAAGTGTTTATTTCTGGCCTCTCACTTTTGTTCCATTGATCTCTGTGTCTAGCCTTACATCAGTAGCACACTCTTTTGATTTCTGTAGCTTTGTATCAAGTTCGAAACTCACCAGTCTTTTAAAAAAGAATCAGTAAAGATGTTTTACTTTGGTACCATAGGCCTTCCTGAGCTTTAGTTAGACATTCTTGAGAAGTAGCAGCGGCACAAGCTTATCTTTTTATTTTTATTTTTTTTGAGACGGAGTTTTGCTCTTGTTGCCCAGGTTGGAGTGCAATGGCGTGATCTCGGCTCACTGCAACCTCCGTCCCGGGTTCAAGCGATTCTCATGCCTCAGCCCCCCAAGTAGCTGGGATTACAGGCATGCGCCACCACGCCTGGCTAATTTTTGTATTATTAGTAGAGACAGGGTTTCTACTTTTTCCATGTTGGTCAGGCTCGTCTCGAACTCCCAACCTCAGGTGATCCGCCCGCCTCAGCCTCCCAAAGTGCTGGGATTACAGGCGTGAGCCACCACACCCAGCCAGCACAAGCTTATTTTTTAAAGTTGTTTTTTTTCATTTCGCATTTAAATAAAAACAAGGAATTTTTCCAAGCTTCTTCCTGAGGCAGTGAGCAGAATGTGCTCCATAATTAGTAATATTGTGTGCACTAAAACCCGGAAAGGGCAAAAGTCCAATTAGGAAGTTAGGTCTTCAGCCCACCTCCTAATGCCAGAAGTGAGGTTTGGCAAACTCCTTCTTCATGGGACAGTCAGCTAGCCTGTCTTCATTGTCTTAGTGCAGCAGTTCTCAAAGTCTGATTCCTGGACCATTAGCATAGGTTGAGAACTTGTTAGACAGACAAATTCTGGGCCCCATCCCAGACCATTGCATCAGAAGCTGTAGGTCAAGGCCCAGAAATCTGTTTTAAGATGACTTCCAGGTGATTCCAGGTGATTCTGGTTTCTGGTACATGCTTAATTTTGGTAATCATTGCCTTAGTGCATGAGGCTTGCTGTCAGCCATTTTTGTTTTTTTTCTTTTTTCTTTTTTTTTTTTTTTGAGATGGAGTCTCGCTCTGTCGCCAGGCTGGAGTGCAGTGGCGCGATCTCGGCTCACTGCAACCTCTGACTCCCTTGTTCAAGCAATTCTCCCACCTCAACCTCCCGAGTAGCTGGGATGACAGGCACGTGCCACCACACCCAGCTAATTGTTGTATTTTTAGTAGAGTTAGGGTTTCACCATATTGGCCAGGATGGTCTCGATTTCCTGACCTCTTGATCCACCTGCCTTGGCCTCCTAAAGTGCTGGGATTACAGGCGTGAGCCACCGTGCCCGGCCTTTATCAGCCTTTTCTTGATTCAAGAGTTGGTGTTGGGAACGTGCCTTGTGGTCTGTGATGTGGAAATGCATCTAGCCAGGAAGGGGTTGGTGCGTTCCAAAGCTGAAAGATACCAAGAGGTGGTCATTCCAGAGACTGGCCTTGGGGACAGAGGACATGGAGACTGGCTTTAAAATCTATCTCTGTGTTGATTGCTTGGCAAGAGCACCATAGACCAGCACTGTTCAGTAAAACTTTCTGCAGAGATAGGAATGTTCTGTACCTGTGCCATCCAATACAGTAGGCATTAGCCAGATGTGGCTCTTGAGCACTTGAAATGCAGTTAGTATAACTGAGGAAATAAAGTTTTAATTTTACTTAATTTAAATCTCCACATGAGGTTGGTGTTTACTGTATTGGACAGTATAGCTCTAGCTTCTGCTTACCTTGTGATGACCACTCTCTTGTTTAGACAGACTAGTTGCAAGTCAGGGTCTATGATCAGAGCTGACCATGATTAGCCATTTCAAGGTGACACCCACCAAGAAGAATATAATTTCCCAAAATAATAATGTTCTAAACCTAGGAGAATAAAAAGTGGGTACAAGTACTATCATTGCTAAGGTTTTAAAAATTATTATTATTATATTCAGTAACTGAGAATAAATAGCATATTGCTGAATTATAGGTATAATTTTAGGGAGAGTCAGTGACCACATAAACCACGAAAGTAAAGATTAGAATTTAATTTCAGCCAGGTGATTATGCAGGACTTGGACGGTAGGTACTAAGGGATGACTTGGCTTAGGATCAAACCATAGCAAAAAGAAGAAGAGGAAGAGGGAAAAGAGCACTATGGGAAAGAAAATAGGATCTGTCCCCCTCACAGAGACGGCCTTGTCATGTAAGATTTATTTTTAGGTTTGTGAATTTTAAACATTCTTTCTGTGGCTATTTTTAATCTTCAAGAATTTCCAAATCTTAAATTTGGAGATCAGTCTCATGCTGTCTGGGGCTGAGAGAAGCATCTCAGCATCACATTTTTAAAACAAAAAACCAACCCAGTTAGCTTCAAAGAAGGCAGCTTTGCCAGAGGTGAGGGTTGTTGCTGTTGAAGAAGTGGTATCAGGGGATTTTCAGTGCTGCATTTGACAACCCTTAAGTCCTTTCATATTTGAACTTAATTCTCTTTGCTTTTTTCTTCCTCCATACTTTTTTCACTGCATAAATATCTATTTTATTTACAAAATTTTAAAACATATAAGCAAAGAGAAAGAGGAAAGCGAATACATGTAGTTATGCATTTGTCTAAACCCATGGAATGTACAACAGTAGAGTGAACCCGAATGTAAACTGTGGAATTTGGGTGAGAATGATGTAGGTGGGGAATGCTGATCATGGGAGGAGGCTGCACATTCGGAGGGACACGGCTGCACATTCGGAGGCTGCACATTCGGAGGGAAGGCTGTACCTTCCCCTCAATATTGCTGTGAACCTAAAACTGCTCTTTAAAAAGTAATGTATTTTTTGGCCAGGTATGATGACTCACACCTGTAATCCCAGCACTTAGGGAGGCTGAGGCAGGTGGATTGCTTGAGCTCAGGAGTTCAAGACCAGTCTGGGCAACATGGCAAAACCCCCGTCTCTACAAAAAATACAAAAATTAGCCAGGTGTGGTGGCTCACACCTCTAGTCCCAGCTACTTGGGAGGCAGAGGTGGGAGGATCGCTTGAACCCAGGAAGTGGAGGTTGTAATGAACCAAGATCATGCCACTGCACTCCAGCCTGGGCGACAGACTGACTCCAAATAAATAAATACTTTCTTGAAATAAATAAATAAAATAGATTTTTTTAAGTGAGAAGAAGATCATCAGTAAGCCCATCAGTTACTGATAACTGCTGTTAGGTACATTTCCTTTTAGACTTTCTATGTCTGTCTGTAGCTGTATAACCACATATACTTTGACCTTTATACATACATACATAGGATAATACTATGTATACATTTTGTAACTTTTTTTAACAATATGTGAGTACTTATATGTCTACATCATCATTTGTGGATATGCTACGGTTTACTTAATTTGTTCCCCTCCTTGATAGATATTTAGGTTATTATCCATAATTTGCTATTACAAACACCATTACCCTGAATATCCTGTCATATATCATTGTGCCATTGTCTAATTTTTTCCTTAGGATAAACTACTAGAAGTAACGTCAGTGGATTCAAAGGGTGTGGCACATTGTTAAGATCTCTGATACACATATCAAATTACCTACATCTGTAAAGGCTGAGTTAGTTTCTTTTTCCCTCTGCTTTCTAAAGATGAATCGTGCTGGCCTGTAAAATTCCTTTGAACTACAGCCTATATTTAAAAAAATTATAGTCCCAAACTTAGGGCCTTGGCAGAGTCAGACTGCTGTGGCCACCAAGCCCAGAAGCAGGTAGGAGAGGCCGCTGCTATGGACGCAGAAGCCTCTTCAGTCTGACTCTGCTAAGAGCAGTGGTCCCCAGTGTCTTTTTTCTAACCCTTGCACTCTTTTTCTGTCTTCCAGAGTGAATTAGATGTATCCTTTTTCAATACTGTTTTCCACAGTACTTGGCAAATGCACTCTGGTCCTTATCAGGTAAGTACCACAAGGCAGGAAAACTATTCAGCAGAGTCCAGAGTGTTCATCACCAACAACTATGACAAGACAGCCAGAGGTGTGTGTGTTCTGCAGAACTCCTCCCCAACTTCGTCACCCTGCTTCAACAAGGCGATTCTTTTTTTTTCTTTTTAAGATGGAGTTTCGCTCTTCTTGCCCAGGCTGGAGTGCAATGGTGTAATCTCTGCTCACTGCAATTTCCACCTCACTGCAACCTCTGCCTTTTGGGTTCAAGTATTCTCCTGCCTCAGCCTCCTGAGGCATTACGGGCGCCCACCACCACGCCCAGCTAATGTTTGTATTTTTAGTAGACACGGGGTTTCACCATGTTGGCCAGGCTGGTCTTGAACTCCTGGCCTCAGGTGATCCACCCACCTCGGCCTCCCAAAGTGCTGGGATTACAGGCGTGAACCACTGCGCCTGGCAAGATGATTCTTAAGATTTTTTTTTTCCAGGCAGGATAGCGCTATCATAGTAGTTAATAGCTACTATTTATTAATTTAATTTCCTTTAAGCATATGGAATAGGCATTTTCAAAATTTAAATAACACAGCCAAAAAAGTGTTTAGTCCTCCTCCAGAAACTGGATTTCCAGGGTGCCAGGTCTAAATCTCTAGAAATCCCCTACATGACCAGAATAAGGCCTTCAGTGTTGATAAACTGGAAGGTTAAAGAAATTGCCTGGCTTGTATTCATTGCTATCAAATGTATTCATTCCTTGATAGCAGAGAAAGTTCTCCTTTTTGCCTTTTCTTCTGTCTCTTTTAAATCACAATACCCAAGGACCCTCAAAACAAGCACGATTTGCTTAGAATACTGCAGGCCCACAGATTTTGGCAGGAGCCCTCCAGGCTTTGTGCGAGTGTTTGGGAGGCAAGTTAATTTTTAAGTTTATTTTTTACTTCAAAAATCTACCTACCACTTGAGTCCTTTAAGAACACATCAAGTTTGAATATAAAATAGTAAATTAATTATAACAAATGTTTATATATAAATATTTATATAAGAATATAACAACTATATATGAATTATAACAATGTTTATGTGTATATATACATACATGTATTTATGTGTGTGTGTGTATGTGTGTGTACGTGCACAAACACACAGGCATTTTTCCACATTTTGCCAGAAATATTAAGTGGATGCAAAACTACTGGTTCTGGGCGTAGTGTCTGATGTGTATATATATGATATATATATATACATTTTGTAGAGATGGGGTTTCGCCATGTTAGCCAGGTTGGTTTTGAACTCCTCACCTCAGATGATCCGCCTGCCTCAGCCTCCCAAAGTGCTGGGATTACAGGCGTGAGCCACCACGTCCGGCCTAATTTATAAATTTATATATACACTTATATAAATGCCCAGAACCAGTATGTTTGCATCCACTTAGTATTTCTGGGGAAATTGCTATTTACTTGTTATTACTGATAGGAAATGTCACTGTGTTGACAAATTCATTTTGTGCCCTTAATTTGGAAGCCTCTGTAAAGTAACTGGGAAAATCTGAGTGCCCTCTAGTGGTGAGTGACCCAAATCTATGATCCCTGTGACCTAGAAGGGACTATAGATCCCTTTGTAGGTTTTAGCATGCTGAATAAAAATATACCGTGATATACAGACCACGTTGTATATTATGGTGTATTTTCACTCAGCATGGTCTGTATATTACAGTATATTTTTATTCAACATGTAATATTCTATCTGAATTAAGCCATTCAAAGCAATTCAAAATAAATCTCTTCCTACTTGAACAAGGTACAAGTAGACAAAAAGCTTTTTGATTTAAACAGTCATCAGGAAGATAGCAAGGGCTAAAAGACACTTCACTGGGAGTAGAGAACTCAATTTCCACTTTTGGTCTTGCCACTGACTAGCTGTGTGTATTGGACAAGACACATAACCCGCTCATCTTAAAATGAGAGAATTAAGACTAGAAGAGCTTTGGCCGGGCGCGGTGGCTCACGCCTGTAATCCCAGCACTTTGGGAGGCCGAGGCGGGTGGATCATGAGGTCAGGAGATCGAGACCATCCTGGCTAACAAGGTGAAACCCCGTCTCTACTAAAAATACAAAAAATTAGCCGGGCGCGGTGGCGGGCGCCTGTAGTCCCAGCTACTTGGGAGGCTGAGGCAGGAGAATGGCGTGAACCCGGGAGGCGGAGCTTGCAGTGAGCCGAGATTGCGCCACTGCACTCCAGCCTGGGCGACAGAGCGAGACTCCGTCTCAAAAAAAAAAAAAAAGACTAGAAGAGCTTTAACACCTGATCAGCCTTAATAGTTGATGTTGCCATGACTTTAGGTAACTGAGCTGAGTTACCTTACATCTAAAACAGGAAGAGAGTCTTACAAGACTAGATATTGAGAGAGTTAACGTGAATCAGAGGTGAAGGGATATGTATTATAGTTGGATGAGTTGTGTTGATGTGTCGTATATTTACTAGATGTTTAGTAGAAATAAAGATGGGTATACTTGTCTTTGTAGCCTTCTGGTGTGTAGTATAGGTCTGTGTGATGAGCTCCAGCATTCTTGTTTGAATTAAAATTTTACGTCAAGATACACAATTTTCCCTTCATTTTACCTGGTTTCATTTTCACCCTCTCTTCCCTTCTAACCAAGTTATATGTATTTACTGTCCTTAGGAATTACTTAGGCATATCCATCTGGCAAATTAGGAATTTTACATCATTTAGAGAGGAGAACTAAGTCTTTCTAGACCTGGAATATTATGTCTTTGCTCCAGGTTTGATCTCACTTGTACTTCCAGTGGTCTAAAAGTAGAGCAGGCAGCAGAGAAGGGCATGTGGCACCTCTTTTCTGTTGACACTCTTTTTTTTTTTTTTTTTTTTTTTTTTGAGACAAGGTCTTGCTCTGTCACCCAGGCTGGAGTGCAGAGGTGCGATCATGGCTCACTACACCCTGGATCTCCTGGGCTCAAGTGATCCTCCTACCTCAGCCTCCCAAGTAGCTGGGACTACAGGTACACAACACCATGCCTGGCTAATTTTTTAAATTTATTTTTTGAGGAGATGGGGTCTCACTCTGTTGCACAGGCTGGTCTCAAACTTCTGGGCTCAAGCAAGCCTCCTGCCTTGGCCTCCCAAAGTGTTGACATTCTTAAAAGGTTACTACCCTTAGCCATCTGAAAAATATCGGATTAAAAACCCCTGACTCTCCTCTGCTTCATACATAGTCCTTTTAAACCATCACATGTTCAAGGAGGACCTCTGCAGACTAGTTACACAGCAGAAAGATGAGGGGATCTTGTCGAAGCTCAGCTGCAGTTCCTGCTCCATCTGTGGAGGGGCGTAGACATCCTGCATCACTGTGTGGTAGCATGTAGCCAGGCACCTACTGGAGCAGCCAGCACTGCTTATATCCACTCTGCCAGGAAAGCTCCCTTAGGCCTTAAAAGGTTGAAAACAGGAAAACTGCTATAATGGCAACCTGGATTTGGTCCTTCCACCACTAACAATACATAATCTTGTTTGTGTTTGCTCAGGCTTAAGAAAGCCCTCCTTGTCAGCCCACATGGGACAGACGTGAGTTAAAGCTTGGTTTTGGTACAGGAGAAGGAAGTCAAAACCTGATCAATTCCCAGGAAGCCCCCTGTCTTTTTCTCCAGAGGCTTTTCCCCCTGATTTTTTAAGGCTAGGGAAGTTTCTGAGAACCTGTACAGTTAGACTTGGAAAAATACAGTACACCGTTTACATTTCTCCCTAGTATGGACTTGTTTTACTTCTAGTAAGACTGACATCACAGAGCAAGACAGATTGGATTTTAAAAAGAAAGGACCTAAGCATAAGAAATCAGGACAGAAACTCTGGCTTGTTGAAAAGCCTTCCATTTAGTGGAAACCTCTGGTGCAGTGGTGTCAGGTGGGGCGGGCTGCCCCCTTGGGACCAAGCACGTCAGTGACCTAAATCATTCACGTGCTATGAATACACTCCTGTGCACTCTTCAGTTCCACTCCACCCGCCCGGCTGAAGTGAGGCCTGAAGATTTGTGAAGCCTGTTTCTACAGGGAGACTTTGCCCCATCACATACCTTGGTAGATTTATTTAAGACTTCAAATTTTATGAATTAAGGTGTTTTTTTTAGGAACCAATTGATGAACTTCCCAAAATATGCTCAGCCCTGGAGCCCCAGCAGACTTGCTTTTCTCCAGACAGTTCATCATTCAAAGGAGCTGCCTCCACCACCCCCATCTACTGAATAGCCAGGGGAGGGCACCAATGAACAGCACAGTATGGGAGACACACCAACTACTCTTCAAATCAGTGCGTACCTGCTCTACGCGTGAAGGTACAGAAAACCTCCACGGCCTTTTCAGTATTTGGTGCCTTTAAAGAGGCCTAAGGACTTAGTTTATTTGGGCTAGACTGGAATGCAGCAGTACTGCCTTCAGGCCTGGACAGCCAGGGGCTCCTCGGGCCCTGTGCTCTAGAAGGCCCATTCTATGTCTGCTTCGCCAGCACCCTTTCCCCATCATGGGGCAGATGCCCACCAGCCCTCACTATCTACTGCTTGACCATCCTCTGACTTCCTGGGCCCCTAGAATTTATAAGGTCCCTAGATATCCCAGAACCTGCCACCATGGCCTCTGCAAGCCTCTCCTCCACCTTCACCCCAAGACTAGGGGCAGGAATGATAAGAAGGCTGGGTGGTAGCTGGGATGTCCCACCTACGTGCCTGGGGAGAGAAGCAAGAGCAGGCTGGAGTCTCTACTTTGTATTCTTGTGAGGCACAAATATAGGCTAGAATCCAGGCCCCACAAATATAGGCTAGAATCCGGAATGTTTTCTTGATTTAAAGACATCTTTAGACCGGGCACAGTGGCTCACGCCAGTAATCCCAGCACTTTGGAGGGCTGAAGCAGGAGGATTGCTTGAGGCCAGGAGTTTGAGACCAGCCTGGGCAACATAGGGAGACCCAGTCTCTACAAAAAAATTTAAAAAGCCAGGCATTGGTGGTGTGTGCCTATAGTCCCAACTACTAGGGAGGCTGAGGTGGGAGGATCACTTGAGCCTGGGGGACTGAGGCTGCAGTGAGCCATGATTGTGCTACTGCACTCCAATCTGGCAACAGAGCGAGACCTTGTCTTTAAAAATAAAAATAAAAACATCTTTACAACATTCCTGTTTGTATTTTATAAACTCAAAATCTCAAAGACTGAGCAGTTGATTCTAGAGCCCTAAAGCTCTGGTGGGTTGTGTGAAAAAACCCTGATTCATGTCCCTTCTATTGCAGTTGAGGGTGGGACATAGGAAGGGCATCAATGCTGTGTGCACTCTCTGTGACTCCGCCAGCATCTGCCATGGTGCTTCCTGGAGAATGATGGTGTGCAGGCAACAGTGATCAGCACCACCATGGTTTGCAGACAGGCCTCGATCAGGCCCACTGTGGGCATCTACCTCTAGTTCCATCAGCTTCCTAAAATCTGAAATACTTTTAGAGATCCGGAAACCAGAATAGGGTTTCTCCAAGTGGGAGATAATGTCAGCCTGATTTAATGAGAAATTGCAAAAATACTTGTTCAAACTGAGGCTATAGGAATACCAGCCAGAAGAACAAACAAATTCTTCAGGGAAGCATCCAGCACTGAAGTGGCAGCTTCTAAATGAACTGAAATTTTCTGCATGTTCTCTCAGAAAGTTACAGTGTTAATTAATTAATAAAATCATTACAAAAGAATTTCTTCCGAGGTATGATGGAGCATGTGATGACTTCAGGAATGGCTTGATTTGTTTGTTTGTTTGTTTGTTTGTTTTTTGAGACAGTCTCACTCCAGGCTGGAGTGCAGTGGTGTGATCTTGGCTCACTGCAACCTCCGCCTCCCAGGTTCAAGCTATTCTCCTGCCTTAGCCTCCGGAGTAGCTGGGATTACAGGCATGCACCACCGCACCTGGCTAGTTTTTTTGTATTTTTAGTAGAGACGGGGTTTTGCCATGTTGGCCAGGCTGGTTTCCAACTTCCGACTTCAGGTGATCCGCCCCCTTTGGCCTCCCAAAGTGCTGGGATTATAGGCATGAGCCACCACGCCCAGCCAGGAATGGCTTGATATTATCAGAAAAGAGTAAACCAGCTCCACTTTCCTTGAAGGTTATATTTAGAGTCGTAGGAGCCGGATACTTTGGAGCTAGGAGAAACCTACACAATCATCAGGTAAAAACCTCACTTTTAAAAATTAATGTAAAAAAATTTTTTTACAGTCAGGGTCTTGCTCTGTTGCCCAGGCTTGAGTGCAGTGTTGTGATCATAGCTCACTGCAGCCTCAAACTCCTGGGCTCAAGCAATCCTTCCACCTCAGCTTCCAGAGTAGGAAAACAAAAATATCAAGGAAAAAAAAAATAGTTCTGGGAATACAGACATGCACCACCACACCCAGCTGGCTAATTTAAAAAAATTTTTTAAAATAAAAACAGCATTTCACTATGTTGCCTAGGCTGGTCTTGAACTCTGGAGCTCAAGCGATCCTCCCACCTTGGCCTCCCATAGGGCTGGGTGAGTCACTGTTGGCTGGTGTAAAACCTCACTTTTTAGATAAAAAGGCTGAGGTCCAAAGAGGTTCTGTGACATGTCCCAATCCATAGAGCTACTTTAGGGAAGAGCTGGTACTAGTTTCTGGGTTTCTAGGGCCCTTGACTCTAGGATTATAAATTGGGTAGGTTAAATTTGACTTTTTTTTCTTTTTATTTTTCTTCTCTGAGACGGAGCTTTGCTCTGTTGTCCGTGCTGGAGTGCAGTGGTGCAATCTCAACTCATTGCAACCTCTGTCTCCCACGTTCAGGTTATCCTCCTGCCTTAGCCTCCTGAGTAGCTGGAATTACAAGCCTGCCACCATGCCTGGCTAATTTTTGTATTTTTAATAGACACAGGATTTTGCCATTTTGGCCAGGCTGGTCTTGATCCCCTGACCTCAAGTGATCTGTCCACCTTGGCCTCCCAAAGTGTTGGGATTACAGGTGTGAGCCACTGCACCTGGCCTAAATTTGACATATTTTTTAAAAATTAATCATCTGGAGTAGACTGTGGCAATTTAGTCTCTAATAAAACATGCCTGTCACCATGGTGCCTTGGTGTTGTCGAAGCTTTTTTGTGAATAAGGGGAGATGTTTTAGAGAAATGCCTTTGGTTGGAAGAGTCAGAAAGGATGAAAAAATTTGAGAGTATCTGTGAATGTCTTGTTGAGAACATGCTCTCCAAAAGTGGAGTTCACATTCAGATTTCAAAACATCTTTTTTCCTTTTGAAAATATTAAATGGAAAGCCTCGTTGCCAGAGAGTGAGGACTGGCCTGTGGGTCCGAGGGAACGTGTGCAGCTGTTCCTCCATGGGAAGGGCAGGCATTGAGAGACGAGGGACCCAGGGCCTTCTCCAGCATGGGAGCTCTAGCCAGGGCCATGGTGGGTGATGAGAGTCTTGGATAGGAACAGTCCCCAGGATTCAGCCAGTAGCCCGGAAGATGTGAACGTTGCAAATCTGACAGTTCTGCCTCCAGGTTTTTTTTGGCTCCCACTAGCCTTGACCACTTTCCTGTTTCCTTTCAGGAGCCCGCTAGGTGCCATATTCATCCGCCAGCATTCCTCACCACCAGGTCCCTCTGCTTTAACCCTATTCCTTTTGTTCCATTTTTGTGGGTTCTGTTTTAGTCAGGAATAGTGACAGCAAGTTATGAGAAGCAAGAGAGATTTAGGGGAAAAATGAGAATAATAACAGGCTCGTTGACCCACCTCTGACTTTCATATTTAATTTTGCATAAGCCTACATAAACTTTAAGCAAAACCACAGCTGGGTATCCTGTTGTTCTCAGAATATGAGTAGGCCTTTAATGAAAACCTACTTTAAAAAAAGATAACAGCCAGGCGCGGTGGCTCACGCCTGTAGTCCAAGCACTTTGGGAGGCTGAGGCAGGCGGATCACCTGAGGTCAGGAGTTCGAGACCAGCCTGGCCAACATGGTGAAACCTCACTTCTACTAAAAATACAAAAATTAGCGGGGCGTGGTGGCACGCACCAGTAATCCCAGCTACTCAGGAGGCTGAGGCGGGAGGATCGCTTGAACCTGGGAGGCGGAGGTTACAGTGAGCCAAGATTGCACCACTGCTCTCCAGCCTGGGCAACAGAGTAAGACTCCATCTCAAAAAAAAAAAAAAAAAAAAAAAGTCCTTTTCAGTGGCCTCATTAGCAAGAGACAAAATGTGAACAGGGCCGGGCACAGTGGCTCATGCTTGTAATTCCAGCACTTTGTGAGGCCGAGAAAGGCAAAGTGCCGCACTTCAGCCCAGGGGTTCAAGACCAGTCTGGGCAAGATAGTGAAACCCCGTTCCTCCAAAAAATATAGAAATTAGATGGGCGTGGCAGCGCACCTGTGGTCACAGTTAATTGGGAGGCTGAGGTGGGAGGATCACTTGAGCACAGGAGGTCGAGGCTGCAGTGAGCCAAGATTGTGCCACTGCACTCCAGCCTGGGCAACAGAGTAAGACTTTGTCTTAACCAAAAAAAAAAAAAAAAAAGTGAACAGAAGACTATACTATACTACAAGAAGAATGTCTCCAGGACTATGCAGAATCTTCATGATGATAGCCTTCTATATGGTAGTATTTTCTGGGGGAAATGTGAACACAGTGGCCCTTGGCCACTTACCTAATTTGGTGGGAAATTAAAGTATGAATAATGAGAAAGCAAGTTTTCCCACCCTACATATTTTGTTAAAGAACACTTAGCTAGAATATTTTTTAAAAAAAGAAATAAAATGAGAAACCAAGGGATCTGAGACCCAAATCTAGAGTTAGAAATTGTAGTTTCTAGGTTGGTCTCTGCCGTGGAATTCCTTTTGAGGTTCCATTTGAGTCTGTGCTGCTCAGTTTCTCACTTGTTAAAGGATAATTTGATTGCCACTATGGTGTTAAAATACTCATGATGGAAAAGTGTTTTATTTTCCAGAGATCAAAATTCCAATGTTGGGGCCAGGCGTGGTGGCTCACGCCTGTAATCCCAGAACTTTGGGAGGCTGAGGCAGGCAGATCACTTGAGGTCAGGAGTTATAGAGACCAGCCTGGCCAACATGGCAAAACCTCGTCTCTACTAAAGATACAAAAAAACTAGCTGGGTGTGGTGGCACATGCCTGTACTCCCAGCTACTCAGGAGGCTGAGGCACAAGAGTTCCTTGAACCTAGGAGATGGAGGTTACAGTGAGCCTAGATCACCCCACTCCACTCTAGCCTGAGCAACAGAGAGAAGCTGCGTCTAAAAAAAGATAAAATTCCAATGTTGGGACCATAAACATTTCAATCACTGTATTTATTTTTATTTTCATTTTTATTTATTTATTTATTCTGAGACAGAGTCTTACTCTGTTGCCCAGACTGGAGTGCAGTGGCACAGTTTTGGCTCTCTGCAACCTCCGCCTCCGAGGTTCAAGTGATTCTCCTGCCTTAGCCTCCCGAGTAGCTGGGATTACAGGCGTGTGCCACCATGCCCAGCTAATTGTATTTTTAGCTGAGACAGGGTTTCACCATATTGGCCAGGCTGGTCTCGATCTCCTGACCTCACGTAATCTGCCCACCTCAGCCTCCCAAAGTGCTGGGATTACAGGTGTGAGCCACCGTGCCCGGCCTCATTTCAATCACTGTAATTAAAAAGTTGATTTCAAGTGGCACTAATATTCCAGGAGCCCTACGATGTTCAATTCCAATCCACATGATGTGAAAATTCAGAAAGGCTCTTAGGTTTGTAGGTTGGGAGAAAGTGGACTTCAGTAACTCCGCTCTTTGGGAGATTGTTTCTAGCTCATGTCAGCTCAACCTTAGGGAGCCCATGAAAGAAAACAAGTTGCCTGAGGATCTTTAGAGTCAGTCAAGTTCATTATAGCCTGAAGGTAAGACTGTCTTTCAATAGCCATTCTGAGCTCACTACATTAGTATACCAACAGTCTGGGCCCTTCTTACTTCCTCCTATTTCAAATGTCACCATTGCAGTGTGTTTATTCCATGGGCTTAGCATATAGGGTATTTTTTGGTCCCTGCTTACCTGGCACATGGCCTAAATGCCATTACTCTTGGCCTCACCAGGGTGTACAAGTTGCTCATAAACCAAATCAAGATGTAAACAACAGCTGGATTCTTATTTTAAAAGAGTCACAAGATTCCAGGGGGAAATCAGCTTTCAGGCCTTTGCCTCACATTGGATTTGGTCTGTAGTTTCCCCATATAGTGCCAGAAAGCTGCATGATTATTAGAGTTTGAGTCAGATACACAGATACACAGGCACAGTCACATGTCCACAGTATACAGTGACCTCACTGAGCAACTCATGTTTCCAGGATGTTGGGAAATTGACTTGCTGGAGGACCTTGTCCTTGTTCCTTGTAATGTGGGGATGTCAGTGGTTTATATGATTTAGCAGTAAATTCTGATCTGAATTTCAAAACAATTGGGCAGTTGCTCAAGGGGACATCTGAACAGCAGATCATCTGCTTGCCAAAGATGGGGCAGTCCACAGAGCAGCTTGATCCCCGAACTAATTCATGGGTTAAAATTAGATTTCCTTGTATCTCAAAGAAAGTTATCTTGGAGAAGGCGACATTTTCAAAGGCACTAAGGCTTTCATTGCCCTTAGTGAATATAACAGGAAGGTTCTCCAGGCCATTTTTCACGTAGCCACCTGTGCTTCTTAGCTCTGCCTTTCTATATATACCTGGCTGCCATTCCCACTTTGTCTCACCTAAGTTCTGGCTTCTGGGTCTAGTGAACAGGTTAGAGTCAAGGGCCTAACATTCCAGTCCCAGTTTGGCCGTGGGACAAAGCAATCATCTGTATAATTGAAAGACAGTATTAATAGGTATATCAGAATAACGCTTTTTTTTTTTTTTCTGGGTCACTTAAGGACAGTTCCCATGGGTCCTTGGAAAACAGTTTATTCTGCTGGAGGACTATTTGCACAGAGCTTAATGAGATATTCACACAGAGCCTAATAAAAACTTTAAAGTCATTCACCATTTGTCCTATTCTGTGTAGTTGCACTTCACTAAGCAAATACAGTGTAGACTTTGAATATCTGGTCTGGTTGAAAAAAATCAAAGGGAACAATTCACTTTACAAAGATTTAATTTTGAACTCCGCTAGTGCATTTAATTACCTATTTGTTGAATGAAGTTTATTTGAAACAATCTGTCAACTGTTTTTGTTTTTGTAACAGACCAGGATCATGCTCTTTAAGTAGACAGAGAACTTCAGATATTAAGGTGTAAAACTGAGAAACATTCATTGTCATCATCTCATTCCAGTTCCCCTTCTTTCACCAAAGAAAAGTTAGGTATTCAGTTGAAGGGATTCTTGAGGGAAGTATTTAGTTCTTTGTGGTTTGCTAGACATCATAGTCTAACAATATTTTCTTCTTTCCCCATGCCCCATACTAACTTCCCAGTAAGAACACCTGTAAGCCAAAGTGGCTCCATCATTCTCAAATGACTTCTTAGAACTACCCATTTGTAAGAGATACTGTCTTGAAATCCAGAAATTTTATTATGCCCTGCCTTCTTCATTCATTTTCTCCTCATAGTTATTTTTACATCAGTCTGTCTGACAGAGAAGAAAACTGAAGGTACAAGGCATTTATTTTGGGGTGGAGGTTTGGGGGCTGAGGAGGGAGGTGTCTAGCCCCTCCTGAGGAGCCTATAAGCAGAGCAGTCAAGCCCAAGCTTTGGGTTTAAATTCAAACCTGGCATTTACTAGCCATGTGACCTTGGACTATGCTTTGAACCTGTTTGATCCTGGGTAAACTGAGGATAATATGTAACAACATACATCAGAGATTTGTAGAGGGCTGAAACTCAACACACTGTCTGGAACGGGAGTATTCAACAAATCGTTGCTACTGTTACTATTATTGTCTGGGAAGACAACACTATTTTTGAGTTAAGGTCATTCTCTTGCCACATGACACTGCTGTGTTCTCTAGCACTTAGTAGACCCCCTATCCCTTTGGTTAAAAAATGTAGCTGTTTCATTTTTATCCCTACTTATCCTGTTAGCTTAACCAAGGTGAAACTAGGTATGTATATATGAAGGTAACAATTTCTAATATGGATGCCAGTTTTAAATTTAATTTCAGAAATTTTGTACAAAAAACCTCATGCTTAGGCTAATTTACACTGGGAACACTCTAGGTTAAGCCATAAATTTTTACTGAATGTTAATAATTTTTAACTTTAAACTAATTTCCTTAATATAACCGTAGATAATGTTTAATTTGGATAAAGTACACATCATTTTGGATGAGATGGTGTTAAATGGCTGCATTGTGGAAACTAACAGGGCAAGAATTCTTGCCCCTCTACTAATTCTTGATAAGATGTCAGAAAGCTGAAAGGAAGTCTCTTCGAGACAATATGGATTTATCAGAAATGCGAGTACCGTGGAATACATCTCAACATGTTAACCCAGAAGAATCTGGAAGACCACAATTACAAAATGGGGTATCCTTCCAAAGACATTATAAATAGGCATTTTCCACAGTTCCTAAAAAGAAAACACAACTGTACTTTAAAATATGTACAAAGAAAAAAATTTCTTTAAACTGAGAGAGAAGTTTTATTTTCTAATTGTAAACATATCTGTCGCACTTTAAATTCTGTTGAGCACCTAAGGAACCCTTCTTGGTCTATGCTTCTTTTGCAAATTGAATTCAGGAATAGCAGGATGGTAGTGGGAAGAAAGTATGGCAGTTTTCCGTCAGCCAATAAAGTTTTAAAATTTAAACACAAGGCATTTTGAGTAACGCTGTTTTCTGAAAGCTATTTTTTTTTTTTTGAGACGGAGTCTAGTCTAGCTGTGTCACCTGGCACATTCTCGGCTCACTGCAACCTCCACTTCCGGGGTTCAAGCGATTCTCCTGCCTCAGCCTCCGAGCTGGGACTACAGGCATGCACCACCACACCTGGCTAATTTTTGTATTTTTAGTAGAGACAGGGTTTCACCATGTTGGCCAGGCTGTCTCAAACTCCTGACCTCAGGTGATCTGCCTGCCTCAGCCTCCCAGAACGCTGGGATTACAGATGAGCCACAGTGCCTGACTTCTGAAGGCTGTCTTATTCCTTTAAAAGGCTTAGTAAAATTAACTTTTTAAGAGGTGTTTTTTTGTTTGTTTTTTTGTTTTGTTTTTTAAGACGGAGTCTTGCTCTGTCACCCAAGCTGGAGTGCAGTGGTGTGATCTCAGCTCACTGCAACCTCCACCTCTGGGTTTAAGCAATTCTCCTGCCTCAGCCTCCTGAGTAGCTGCGACTACAGGCATGTAGTCCCCAGGAGACTGAGCTGTGATTACAGATGTGAGCCACCATGCCCTGCCCGGTTTTATGTAAAGCCCAGCTAATTTTTGTATTTTTAGTAGAGATAGGGTTTCACCATGTTGGCCAGGCTGTTCTTGAACTCCTGACCTCAAGTGATCCACCTGCTTCAGCCTCCCAAAGTGCTGGGATTACAAGCATGAGCCACCATGCCCAGCCAAGAGGTGTTTTTTGTTTGTTTGTTTTTAAGAGAAGCAGGTCTTGCTGTGTTGTCCAGGCTGGACTGCAGTGGCTTTTCACAAGCATGATCATGTTGTACTACAACCTTGAACCTTCCTGGCCTGGCTCTAAAAGCTTTGTAATGTGGGGCTGGTGCAGTGCCTCACACCTGTAACCCCTGCACTTTGGGAGGCTGAGGAAGGAGGATCGCTTGAGGCCAGAAATTCAAGACCAGCCTGGGCAACATAGACCTCATCTCTACAAAAAATGCAAAAATCAGCCGGGTGTGGTGGCACATACCTGTAGTCTCAACTACTCGGGAGTCTGAGGCAGAAGATTTCTTGAGCCCAGGAGTTCGAGTCTGCAGTGAGCTATGATCGTGTCACTGCACTCCAGCCTGGGTGACAGAGTGAAACCCTGTCTCAAAAATAAAAAAGTCCGAGTGCGGTGGCTCAGGCCTGTAATCCCAACATTTTGGGGGGCCAAGCCAGGAGGATTGGTTGAGCCCATTAGTTCAAGACCAGCCTGGGCAACACAGCAAGACCATATCTCTACAAAAAATAAATAGGTGTGATGGCTCATGCCTGTAATCCTAGTACTTTGGGAGGCCGAGGCAGGCAGATCACTTGAGGTCAGGAGTTTGAAACCAGCCTGGCCAACATGGCAAAACCTTGTCTCTACTAAAAATACAAAAAGTTAGCCAGGCATGGTGGCAAGCACCTCTAATCTCAGCTACTCAGGAGGCTGAGGCAGTAGAATTGCTTGAACCCGGGAGGCAGAGGTTGCAGTGAGCCGAGATCATGCCACTGCACTCCAGCCTGGGCGACAGAGTGAGACCCTGTCTCTAAAAATAAGTAAATAACTAATTAAAAAGTTAGCCAGCTGTGGTGGTGAGCACCTGTACTCCTAACTACTCAAGAGGCTGAGATGGGAGAATTGATCAAGCCTAGGAGTTTGAGGCTGCAGTGAACTATGATCACAACACTGTACTCCAACCTGGGTAATGGAGTGAGGCCCTGCCTCAAAAACACAAAAACAAAACAAAAAAACTTTTATAACATGTACCTAACAAAGATGCAGAGTTAAATTTTATTTGCCAGTTTGTAAAAGCCTTTGATACTCATTTTAAGGGCACTTAGTAATTACAATGCCATTATGTAATTAACTCTATAGAGAACATTACTTTCAAATAATGGATGGTCAGACATTAAGACAGCCCCAGAGAGCCCCTACAGCTATCCTTTATCCCGTTTTTTGTTTGTTTTTTGGAGACAGCATCTCCGTCTCCTAGGCTGGAGTGCAGTGGTGTGATCATGCCTCACTACAGCCTGTACCTCCTGGGCTCAGGTGCTCCTCCCACCTCAGCCTCCTGAGTAACTGGGACCACAGGTGCGCACCCCCTCCACCCAGCTAATTTTTGTATTTTGTTGTAGAGATAGGGTTTCACTATGTTGCCCAGACTGGTCTCGAATTCCTGCAGTCACATGATCCATCTGCCTTCGCCTTCCAAAGTGTTGGGATTACAGGCCTGAGCCACTGTGCCCAGTCTTTTTATGCCACATTTTAAAAGGTTTGCTTATTAATAAGCTTACTGTTAATGAAATTTAGTTCAAAGTTTAAAAGTAGAATGCAGCCAGGCATGGTGGCTTACGCCTATAATCCCAGCACTTTGGGACGCCAAGGTGGGTAGATCATTTGAGGTCAGGAGTTCAAGACCAGCTTGGCCAACATGGTGAGACCCTGTCTCTACTAAAACTACGAAAAATTAGCCGGGCATGGTGGCACGCGCCTATAATCCCAACTACTTGGGAGGCTGTGGTAGGAGGATCACTTGAACCCAGGAGACAGAGGTTGCAGTGAGTTGAGATCGAGATTGTGCCACTGCACTCCAGCCTGGGCACAGAGTGAGATTCCGTCTCAAAAAAAAAAAAAAAAAAAAAAGTAGAAAGCAAGAAAGTGTCTCTGTACAGGTAGGCATGAAATGAATCCTTCTCTTCCTCCCCTTTACTCCTTTAACCCCTTCTCCTGCAATGTCTTGAAGTAAATTACTGTCATTACAGAAGAGCAATGCACTGCATCCCCCCAAAACCTTTCTATATGCTTTTGCTACCCCGTTAACAGAAGAATATACAGAACTGTCTTAGGCGAAAGTATGTACAGTAGTCCCTCTCTTATCCACTGTTTCGCATTCTGTGGTTTGTGTTACTCATGGTCAACTGAGGTCCCAAAATATTAAACAGAAAATTCCAGAAATAAACAATGTATAAGTTTTAAACTGCATGCCATTCTGAGTAGTGTGATGAAATCTTGCACCATCCCACTTTGTCCTGCTCTGTCCCGCTCCGTCTTGCCTGGGAGGTGAATCGTCCCTTTGTCCAGCATATGCATGCTGTATACACTCCCCACTTGACAGTCATTTGGTAACTGTCTTGGTTACCAGATGGACAGATCATGAGAAGAGTGAGTACAGTGCAATAAGGTCTTGAGAGAGACTACATGCATATACATATATATATATAAAATTATTTTTCGTTTTTTTTTAAAGACAGGGTCTTGCTCTGTTGCCCAGGCTGCAGTGCAGTGGCATGATTACGGCTCACTGCAGCCTCAACCCCTTGGGCTCAAGCAATCCTCCCATCTCAGCTTCCCAGGTAGCCGGGACCACAGGTGTGTGCCACCCCACTCAGCTAATTTTTTTTATTTTTTGTAGAGACAAGGTCTCCATATGTTGCCCAGGCTAGTCTTGAATTCCTGGGCTCAAGCGATCCTCCTTACCTCAGCCTCTGAGTGCTGGGATTACAGGTATGAGCTAACACACCTGGCCATCTTTTGTTTTGTAAGAGATGGGGTCTCTGTTACCCAGGCTGGATTTGAACTCCTGGGCTCAAGCCATCCTCCTGCTCAGCCTTCCAAGTAGCTGGAGCTATAGGTGCACACCACCATGCCCAGCTTTCACATAACTTTCTTATATTGTAATAATTGTTCTATTATTGTTGTTAATCTTACTGTGCCTAATTTATAAACTTTATCATAGGTATGTATGTATAGGAAAAAACATTCTCTTTCTCTCTCTATATATAGGATTTGGTACTATCCTCAGTTTCAGATATCCCCAGTTTCAGATATCCACTGGGGGTCTTAGAACTTATCCCCCAAGAATAGGGAGGTCTACTATATATATGCATGTAGGGGTGGGAGGTCAGGTGCAATGAAGAAAGTAGAAATCTTTTTCCTTTAAATATAGAGACGGGGTCTCACTATGTTCCCCAGGCTGGTCTCAAACTCCTGGGCTCAAGCAATCCTCTCACCTCAGCCTCCCAAAGTGCAAGAATTACAGGCATGAGCTACCCTGCCCGGCCAAAGTCTATTTTTGGTATATTAAGATACTGTCCCAGCCTATGGAATGATCCAATAGTTCATTCTTCTGTGACACTCCAGCCTCTAAAATAGGACATAAATGCATTTTTTTTCTTGAGACAGTCTCGCTCGGTTGTCCAGGCTGGAATACAGTGGCATGATCTCAGCTCACTGCAACCTCTGCCTCCCAGGTTTAAGCAATTCTCCTGCCTCAGCTTCCCGAGCAGCTGGGATTATAGGCGTGTGCCACCACACTGGACTAATTTTTGTATTTTTAGTAGAGATGGGGTTTCATCATGTTGGCCAGGCTGGTCTCAAAACCCTGACCTCAAGTGATTCGCCCGCCTTGGCTTCCCAAACTGCTGGGATTACAGGCGTGAGCCACCACGCCTGGCCAAATGCACGTTTCAGAGTTATCATTCAGCACTGTTCCGTTTGGTTTGTCTGTGTATTGTGGGGGGTAGGCAGTGGAGCTTTTTTTTATCCTGTTCTCAAAATCCACTTGCAATATCAAGGTTTATGTCTATAAAAATGCAGTCAGTCAATAGTGGACTCCAAACCTGAGTTGTTTTTGGACTCGTTCAGGAAGGCAAAAGGAAGGCTTCTGACCTGTGGGAACAGTGAGTGGTCTGTGTGTACAGATACACCTTTGTATCAAGTAGCCAAGGTCTGGGGAAAGCCCAGCGTAGACCGAAGTGCTATGGAGGGTCTTTCTCAGACACATTAGCTGGGAAACACTGTCCTAGTTGGTAGGTACTTCATCAGTTGCACATTCAGGTAACTGCTGAAACTGGTACACCAGAGTAGCTAGGGAGTGAACAAAATTAATTTTTGGGTCACACCAAAATAGTAGTTGAATTACATCTCGGCACAGATTTTAGAACCTTGAGAGAATAACAGTTAAAAAAAATAGTTGGTAGGTATCATAGGAAACAATATTTAAGAACTTACAGTTGAGGTGGAGACCCCGGTAGATGTCTCAGAACACTTGACTCATGCATATGTGTTCTTACAGGCTGTGTCGCCATATAACTTCACTAAGATGCTTTAAGTGACTTTTCATACTTATATTTGGCCAGCCTTACCTTGTTCTTGGACTTTTTCTGAGGAAGACTCCTAATATTTCAAAAACAGCTATGATTTTATATAAACTTTTTGTTTTTATTTTTTCGGAGACAGAGTTTCGCTCTTGTTGCCCAGGCTGGAGTGCAATGGCACAATCTCGGCTCACTGCAACCACTGCCTCCTGGGTTCAAGCAATTCTCCTGCTTCAGCCTCCAGAGTAGCTGGGATTACAGGCATGTGCCACCATGCCCGGCTAATTTTTATATTTTTAGTTGAGACAGGGTTTCACCATGTTGGTCAGGCTGGTCTCAAACCCCTGATCTCAGGTGATCCACCCTGCTCGGCCTCCCAGAGTGCTGCGATTACAGATGTGAGCCACCGTGCCCTGCCCTATTTTATGTAAAGTTATCAATTTATCTGCTGTAGCTACCTGCCAGACCAGGGTTCAGCAAGCTTTTTCTGTAAAAGGCCAAATAGTAAATATTTTAGGCTTTGTGGACCATATGGTCTCTGCTAACTACTCAATTCTGCCATTGAAGTGCAAAAGCAACCATGTAAATGAATGTACGTGGCTGTGTTTATTTGTGGACACTGAAATTTAAATTTCATAATTTTCACATAAAATATTATTCTTTTGATTTTTTTTCCCCAACAATTAAAAAATTTTAAAGCCATGCTTAGCCATGAGCCATTCAAAAACAGGCAGCAGGCCATAGTTCGCTAACCCTGGTGCCAGGCTAGTCTTGGTAAAAGCTGACTACTGATAGACATCTTAGAGACTTGTAATTATAGCAGAAGATATCTCTCATAGGCAGAGAATTTGCCTTTTAAACAGGTCGATACTGGGCAATTTCAAACATGCTTTTGGTTCCTTAAAAAACCATTTGAGCCAGGTGTGGTGATACACATCTGTAATCCCAGCTACTCCAGAAGCTGTGGTGGCAGGACTGCTTGAACCTAGGAGTTTGAGACCAGCCTGGGTAACACAGCAAGAGCCTGTCTTTAAGAGAAAAAAAAAAAAAAAAAAAAGCTATTTGGCTAAATCAGGCCTAGTGTCTTTCCTTTCACCTATAAGCACAGATATGGTAATAACTGGAATTTGGAAAATCTACTTTGGAATTTGGAAATACAGTCCCTTCTTCAAAACCAGAAAACAGCGGTATCCCCGTGTTTTGACACACAACATTTAAAAATCATTCTTGGATCTCACTTACATCCTTACTTATATATCCTTATAGATACAATAGTTAAGTTGTGGATCTGGTGTTTTTTTAAAAAAATAACACAAGTAACTGGTCAGTTCTAGCTGAGGCATACTTTAAAACTGAACCCAACCATTGGATCACAAGTGTGTGAATATATATTTCTTCTAGCCTTTCAATTTTAATACCCGTATTTACTATAGAAAAACACATTTCTTTATGTAGTAATTTCAGAAAACTTTGGATGATTCAAAATGACAAGTACCTGCTAAAGCTCTTAAGTCTGATGACTGCATTGAAATAGTCACATGACACAGTTCTGTACGCTGCAAACATTTTAATGATTATTGTTGAGCATACATTTTGGAAATTTTTTACTTCAAACGGCAACAAGTTAAATAAATGTTTATAATATACAAAGAAAATACAACCGAAAGTAAAACTCGCTGTAAGTGTGCCTTGCACTTAGACCAGGTTTTCCCCCCTTAATACATCTTTATTTTTGAGCTGCAAACACACTTAAGACTTTGATCTTCATAGTATGGCATTTAGGAAATAAAAATATACTCCCACCTTAAAGAAATAAAAAGTTTGGTGCATGATTATATGCCAAACAAAGAGAGAACACTAGAATACTCTTGATAGTGCAGGCATCATTAAAAAGGAAAAGAAAAAGCTTGAGATGCTCATTAATTCTCTATGTTTTAAGGAAGCAGGATTTTTGACCAAGTAGCTTAAAAGCCAGCAAAACAGGGATCAGTGACAGCAACTGTAGTGTATGGAGTATGAAATGACAAACTTTACACAAATACACTGTTAGAAATTTACCAGTGAACACTGAAGATCTGAGAAGCTGCTCTTTGGAACAGTCAAGTGGGACCACCTTATTCCAGTCACATAAGCCCTTGTAAAGTAACACAGTGTTCTGTGCTATATACTTGCTGGCTGGGTAGTTACAGGATTTGTTTTGTCATTAGCAGCTAAAAAACTTATTCCACATGTTCTTAAAGCCTT
Source organism: Homo sapiens (assembly GCF_000001405.40). Lineage (NCBI taxonomy): Eukaryota > Metazoa > Chordata > Mammalia > Primates > Hominidae > Homo > Homo sapiens. The sequence goes on from NC_000014.9 coordinate 31,100,809, forward strand.
AATGGTGGAAAAAAAGGCAAGTGTCATTAGCATGGTGGATCATATACTTCTCTGCACACAAACACAAGAGGCTTCACTAGTATTTTTAAAGTCTCTGATGTCTCCCATTGCACTTCAAAGCTCAATTGAGATGAAAGCCTTTCTCCATTGTAGCAGCTAGCAGGCGCTCTCTCATGATCTCCTCGGAAGAATATTCAGGCAACTTAAGGTAATGCACACATGTATTGACTGATGGATAGCTTGCATCAGTAGCATCAACCTACAACAAGAAAGCAAACACAACAGAAGACCATGAGTTTAAATACTTCTTTCTTTCAAAAGTAAAGTAACTAAATTTCATTTGGATTCCCCATTAGCCAGAGAGCTTGTACCTTGCGTACAACCGTGAGCCTGGGATGCAGGTTAGCCAGTCCACCTGGGGGTAGAGTTGAACAACCAGTGGTAAACTGCAAGAATGCTTTCCTTTCATCAGAAGACATGCCACATAAAACCCTCACAAACCTCAGGAAACCAGGGCTAAAAGAACAAAAATATAGTTATATTGAGTTGACTGCAGATTTAAATGAAAATCACTACCACTATTTTCTAAGGCAGCAACAAGCCCCCTAAAAAACAATATCCTCACACCAGAACAACAACACATCTAGAGACTCTTGGTTAAGTATGAAATGGGCTAATATAAGCTACTTTAAAAATATCCCGGGCCAGGTGTGGTGGCTCATACCTGTAATCCCAGCACCTTGGGAGGCTGAGGCGGGTGGATCATCTGAGGTCAAGAGTTCAACAGCAGCCTGACAAACATGGTGAAACCCCATCTCTACTAAAAATACAAAATTAGCTGGGCGTGGTGGCGCACGCCTGTAATCCCAGCTACTTGGGAGGCTAAGGCAGGAGAATCGCTTGAACCTGGGAGATAGAGGTTTCAGTGAGCTGAGATTGTGCCATTGCATTCCAGCCTGGACAATAAGAGCGAAACTCCATCTCAAAAATAAAAATAAAAATCCCTCAAAGACTGTCTTGAACTTACAAATTGTAAGAACTAAAAAATACTGACAGTGTATGGGGTCCATCTATTCTGCAACAAAGTCAGCAAATCATAAAAACACAGGATGCACTTGCAAAATCATTTCAAATATGGATAAATATACCAAAGGGGATCTGAAATAATTTTTATTCCAGCAAAATAATTATCTTGTGATAAATTTATGTAATGAAATAGTAAATGAACGACATGCCACAACATGGATAAATTTCATAATCATAATATTACTCAAACCAGACCACAAAGAAAACAGACTACATGATTTCATATATTAAAAGTTCAAAAGCAAGCAAAACTGATCAACATATGGTGATTAGATTAATAGAAAAGAATATGGTGGGAAGGGGGATTTTTGAAGTTGTTTCATATTCTGGATACCAATTATACAGGTGTGTTCATTTTGACAAAATCCTCTAAACTGTATATATGATGTGTGTACTTATCTGTTATATTCAATAAAAAGTTTAATATAAACGTAGTATATAGCCCAACAGCTTACAATTTACCAAATTTTAAAAATGAACAATTAAAACACAATGAGGAAAGGAATCAACATCAGCCATGATGTCAGTTGTCTTTTTTTTTTTTTTTTTTTTGAGACAGAGTTTCACTCTTGTTGCCCAGGCTGGAGTGCAATGGCATGATCTTGGCTCACTGCAACCTCCACCTCTTGGGTTCAAGTGATTCTCCTGTCTCAGCCTCCCAAGTAGCTGGGATTACAGGCGTCTGCCACCACGCCCAGGTAATTTTTGTATTTTTAGTAGAAACGAGGTTTCACCGTGTTGGCCAGGCTGGTCTCAAACTCCTGACCTCAAGTGATCCGCCCGCCTTAGCCTCCCAAAGTGCTGGGATTACAGGTGTGAGCCACCGCGCCCGGCCTGCTGTCAGTTGTCTTTTTGTATCCTCCCAGCCTTATCAGTGGATATGCATTCTGGTAACTGTGAGACACCACTGCTTTCTCACTTACTTTATGATACTCACTGAATTAAAGTTCTTTAGAGAATCTGTCATTTGATTTGGGGAATATAAATAATTTTGTTGATCTTGGAAAATAGTATCACATACCTGTCACGTGTATAACCCAGCTTAGGTTCAGTGTAATTGATAATATCCTCTGCTGCCCAGGATGGTGACTGGTTTCCACAAAGAATCATTTGGACTTCTTCATGGCTGAAGGAACTTAATTTCTCCATTGGAAAAACTTTATTAAACCCATCTACATCGTACATGTAACGGAAACACAAAAAACAAACATACAACTCAGTTTCCAAGTTACGATTCCAAAATACCAAATTTCAAACCAAAATACCCATTATCAGAATCAATCTAAGTATCTATCAAGGGATGAATGTGTAAAGAAAATGTGGTATATGTACACAATGGAATACTATGCAACCATAAAAAAGAATGGGCTGGGCACGGTGGCTCACGCCTGTAATCCCAGCACTTTGGGAGGCCGAGGCAGGCAGATCATGAGGTCAGGAGATTGAGACCATCCTGGCTAACACAGTGAAACCCCGTCTCTACTAAATATACAAAAAATTAGCCGGGCGTGGTGGCGGCTGCCTGTAGTCCCAGCTACTCGGGAGGCTGAGGCAGGAGAATGGCGTGAATCCAGGAGGCGGAGCTTGCAGTGAGCCGAGATGGCACCACTGCACTCCAGCCTGGGACTCCAGCCTGAGACTCCGTCTCAAAAAAAAAAAAGAATGAAATCTTTTCATTTGTAGGAACATGGGTGGAACTGGAGGTCATTATATTAAGTGAAAAAAGCCAAGCACAGAAAGACAAGTATCACATGTTCCCACTCATATGTGGGAACTTAAAAAGTTGATCTTGGCCGGACAAGGTGGCTCACACCTGTAATCTCAGCACTTTGGGAGGCCGAGGTGGGCAGATCACCTGAGGGTGGGAGTTCGAGACCAGCCTGACCAACATGGGGAAACCCCATCTCCATTAAAAATACAAAATTAGCCGGGTGTGGTGGTGCATGCCTATAATCCCAGCTACTCGGGAGGCTGAAGCAGGAAAATCGCCTGAACCCAGGAGGTGGAGGTTGCAGTGAGCCGAGTTCGTGCCATCACACTCCAGCCTGGGAAACAAGAGCAAAAACTCCGTCTCAAAAAAACAAAAACAACAAAGTTGATCTCATAAAGGTAAAGAAAAGAATGGTATCAGAGGCTGGGAATGTTGCATGTGGGGGTGGATGAAGAGAGGTAGTTTAATGGGTACAAACTTACAATTAAATAAAAGGAGTAAGTTCTAATGTTTTCTAGCATAGTAGGGTGACTATAGTTAACAATAATATATATTTCAAAGAAGCTAGAAGAGAATAATTTGAATGTTCCCAACACATAGAAATGATAAATGTCCAAGATGATGGATGTCCTAAAGACTGATTTTATCATTACACATTCTGTGTATCAAAATGCCCCATAAACATGTACATATATTATGCAACAATAAAAAAATACCCATTACCGATGAAATGGACAGAAGATGAATATTCAACATTCATAAATGTTTGAATAAACAAGCATAAATTAAGACAGCTTGAAATTAAAACTGTATTTTAAATTAGAAATCCCTGCTTAACATCACAAACGTGAACAGAGAGAGAACATTCAGTTGCTATGGTCAGTATGCAAATTCTTATTACTACTCAGTCTGGAGTTCACCAGCTCTTTCTGTCATACAAGTCAGGCAAAACTGTGTTCTCATTTTCAAAAGTAATTTACCTTGTAATATACTTTGTTCCCATCATGATTCTTTCATGTTAATTCATCCTGATCAAGTAATCTAGAATGTATGCAACCTATGTCCACTTTCTTTCTTTCTTTGTTGAGGCAAGGTCTCCCTCTGTTGCCCAGGCTGGAGTGCAGTGGCACAAACATGGCTCACTGCAGCCTCAGCCTCCCAGGCTCAAACTATTCTCCCACTTCAGCCTTGCAGGTAGCTGGGACCACAGGCACGTGCCACCACATCTAGCTAATTTTTTAAAAAATGTTTTGTAGAGATGGGGTCTTGCCATGTTGCCCAGGCTGGTCTTGGAACTCCTGGGCTCAAGCGATCCTCCTGCTTCAGCCTCCCAAAGTGCTGAGATTACAAGTGTGAGCCACCACCACACCCGCACACCCGACCACCATCAATTCTTTTTTTTTTTTTTTTTTTTGTGCAGCGGAGTTTTGCTCATCGCCCAGGCTGGAGTGCAATGGTGTGATCTCGGCTCACCGCAACCTCACCTCCCGGGTTCAAGCAATTCCCCTGCCTCAGTCTCCCCAGTAGCTGGGATTACAGGTATGCGCCACCATGCCCAGCTAATTTTGCATTTTTAGTAGAGACAGGGTTTCTCTATGTTGGTCAGGCTGGTCTCGAACTCCCAACCTCAGGTGATCCTCCCGCCTCAGCCTCCCAAAGTGCTGGGATTACAGGTGTGAGCCACCGTGCCCAGCCGACCACCAGCAATTCTTGACCATAATTTCAACTGTCTCAAAGTGAAAGGAGAGCAATTATGCTAAAAATCCTTTAAAATTACCTCTAAAGGCTTCCATTTGTTTCTGAATACCCGTATGCATACAAAAGTCAAACATCAAATCCACATATTCTTCTGCATTATCCATTGTTATCATCTGCAAAAGAAAATTTGTCAGTATCTAGGAATATTTCAGGAGTGTCTAGTACAACTGGCCTTGCTAAGAGGATATGTCAGAACTTACAACTATATTAAAAGCAAACTTTTTACCTCATCTTCACCACTTGGCTTGAGATCCACAGCTGTAAAACCATATATTCTTGAGGAAGGGCAAAACTGGAAATTTAAACTGGGAGGACAAAAAAGATTAAATTAACTGACATGCAGCTACTACTAATGGTGTTTAATTTTTATAACATTACTATCATCTGCCATCAGTGGGTACAAGAGAAAAAATTAAATAAAATAACATGGCTATCAAAACCATAAATCCCACCCCTCTCCTCCTCCAACAAAATCAGTACACCAGCTTAGAAGTAAGTTGAGGACTTTTTAAATGCAATATTCTATGGACAAAATCTACTAGGCCAACTGTTATCAAATCTGTCTGGCTTTGCAAAGATTGCATGAAACCACCTTTCTATATTTTACTTCTAACTTATGGCACAAAATTAATGAACTAAAAATTTTGCAATGAATTATGACAGCAACATGTTTGTAAGACTTTTAGGAAGAAACTGTTGCTTTACTGAAGTCAATCACGCTGTGTACAAAAATATATATTAAAAAAAACCTTGAATATATAACCATTTATCAAACACAGTTTACCAACATTATCAGCAAACATTAAAAAAAAAAGGCCTTGCAGTTAACCTAAAATCACAGCTGAAGATATGATAATTACCTGTACATAAAGTAACAGAGTTTTATCAAAAGTTCTGCAGCATCTCAACTGCTACAGCCTTTGGTGATAAAGCTGACATACCAACCAATTTTTGAGCTTTGCAAAGTGAATCATATATTAGCAGATGAATTTGTCAAAATATTGTTGGCTCTGGACATTTTACACAGGCATATAAATTCACATTGGCTAAGTCAGGTAATCTTCTAAAGGTTTGATGATTAATAAACTAATATTCTAGTATTCTGAGTGTTGTCTTTATAATATTAAATCAAAGGTTCAAGTCGATCATCAATATTTCCTACAGCATATTACTGTTTTTGACAGACTATTTACTCATATATTGCAAATCAGTGACGACAAAGAAACAAAAGCTTTAAAACTTATTCATGCATTGGATTGAAGAATGTACATATAATGCTTACCCTAAATCCTCTATGCTAAGTGGAGGCCCAGAACCTGATGGATTCTTCAGCACTAGTTCCTGTAATTTTGTGTTCTTCTCATCTTCAGAAAGACCTTTGTTGCTTAAAATTTGGCGCCTCTTGATAGCAAGGTCTTTAATTTCTTTTAAAAATCTGGCTCTGTGTGGGTTTACTAATTCAAAGTCTTCCCAAGTCAAAATTCCATTAAACCAAGCTGGGGGTTTTGGTTTAGGGGGATCAAGAATAAATTCTGATTTTGAATCCTCTTCAAAGCTTCCTACCGAGAGTGAATCATGACCTTCTTCTGTAGAAGCTTCAGACTGACTTTCAGTACAGTGTAAGTCTCTATCACCTCGTGACTCATAAATCAGTTTACTCATATTGCTTTTAATGTCACCCATACACATAAGTTTAAAAAAAGGTTTAGAAATAGGTAAGTCCACAAGTCTATTGTCTTGAATGCATTTGGCCAAGAAAATTCCAAGGAAATGAAACAGTTTCGTGATCCTTTCAAGCTCATCACTATCCTGTGGAAATGGTGCTGTGAACAGTCCACATGACCTCTGCACATAATATCCAGGAGGTTTCAATCCACCTCCAAGATCAACCTAATTTTTTAGAGGGTGAAATGCAAATAAAATTAAACAAAAGTTAATAGAAACTAAGCCTATCATCATCTAAGAAAAAAATCCATAAACATTAAACATCTTCATGAATTTGGCTATCTAAAAGTATATAATTTTATTAAATAGCTTTTGGTGACTAAATTTTATCGCTTTAGAACTATTTTAATTGCATCAAGATTATTCAATAATAAAAGTAGAGTCAGAAACCTGGCTTATGCTCTGAACACATAACCTATTTTTAACACTTTTGAAAGCAGAGTCACAACTCAAGTCACAAAATGAGAAATATTCTTACGTGACGAGATTCATCATCTGGAAAATTATCATCACAAAGCCAAGCTCCCAAGTCAGTTCTCTGGAATTCTGCTGCCACCAGAGCATAAAACTCTAATGTGGGTCCCAAGCCAGTTCCTTCTTCTCCTAAAAATTCAACCTAAAATATGAACAAATAAATTGTGGGTTAAACGTAAAGTTTGGGGTGTTTTTAAAAATAATCTAATTCTTGTCAAAATTTATCATATCTGATCCAGTAATGTACCTTTTTTCAAAATAGCAGTGTATATATATAATAAACAGCACAGAAGTGTTATTTTAATTTTCCTAAAGAGTCCACTTGTTGTACACTATTACATGCTTAAGCACTGTGCCAAGCATCATTCATACATTTACTTCTCACAACAACCCTGCAAAATAATTATTTCCTTTTTACACCAAAGGAAACCAAATCTCAGATAAGGAGGTTAAATCATTTGCTTGAAGAAATGATGGTGAACAGACTTTTGTGTGTCTCTGTGTGACACCAAAGCCTAGACTCTTCCACTTTTTAATTTTTATTTTTTGAGACAGTTTCACTCTTGTCGCCCAGGATGGAGTGCAGTGGCACGATCTCAGCTCACTGCAACCTCTGCCTCCCGGGTTCAGGCGATTTTCCTGCCTCGGCCTCCCAAGTAGGTGGGATTACGGCATGCACCACCATGCCTGGCTAATTCTGTATTTTCAGTAGAGACAGGGTTTTACTATGTTGGTCCGGCTGGTCTCAAACTCTTGACCTCAGGTGATCCACCCACCTCAGCCTCCCAAAGTGCTGGGATTACAGGCATGAGCCACTGCGCCTCGCCTCTTCTGCTTATTTCTGAGTTAAAGACACTTTAAATCATTTTTGCAACAGGAAGAGTATGGACAAAAACCCTTAAAGTGATTGCATAAAGTATAATAAAAACTACAGCATATGGTTAAAAAAAAAGATTATCTATATTAGAAGAATGTAAACAACTGGGCATGGTGGCTCAAGCCTGTAATCCCAGCACTTTGGGAGGCCGAAACGGGTGGATCACTTGAGCCCAGGAGTTTGAGACCAGCCTGGGAAACATAGTGAGAACTTGTCTCTATTAAAAAAAAAAAAAAAGAAGAAGAAGAACATAAGGGTAGGAGGAATACAATGAAAGTCTGTATATAAAGTGAAAGATGTAAAGCCTTGGACATCTTCTAGAGATGTATCATATTTCTTGCAATTAGTTTATGATCCAAAAGTTAAAAACAAACCAGTTGGATTCACCCCTGTGACAGGAGACGTATTTCCACTCTTCCTCATATAGGGAATACTGTGTATATGAAATAAAACCAACAATGTCCACAGTAACATTTCTAAACTAAATATATTAAATGTCATACTACCATTTGCTATAACATGTCTCAACACAGACCAGTGATATAATACCAAGCACAATTCAAGTGAAACAATATTACAAAACCAGGTGCTCCCAAAATATCAAACAGCACAGTTTAATGTAAAAGTAAAAAAGAATCCCTTGTGAGTACTACTATTTTAGTCCAACTTTGTTATGAAATGGGTAGAAGCCCTCAAGCAGAACAAGCACTTTGCCACCTCAAGAGTGGAGATCTTCTTTGTTGCTCATTAATGGCACAAGACCTAACCCCTAAGGAGGTGGACTGACATCCTCTTATGAAAAAGATGCTCTGCCAGAGGAGAAGGCTTCTGCCTACAGAACAGGAAAACCCCTCTTCATGTTTACCTACCACAGTTTTTAATGCAGTGAAGATACACATTGGGCTGGTTCCCTAAGTGTCATTCCTGTTCCCTAAATCTAATTTTATATGAGATTACCTCAAGAACTGATTTCCGATCTGCATGTATTTGCATGACATTCTCAGCCCATTCCATCAGTGACTCGCCACGTGGAACTTTTACTCTTTCATGCTTGAGACGACCAACTCGAAACTCTCCAGGGTCATCTCGCCTAACACTGCTTGTGGTTCTCGTTCGCTCCACAGTGGCTTCACGTCGGTTCTGTAACCATACTATTGCTCTGAAATAGAAAAATATCTATGAGCTGCAGCATACGTTAACAGCTGAATGTACTACTAAACCAGCAACAGAATTCAAAGATTTAAGAAATTAAAAAATAGTATTTTATCAGGTGATTTTTAAAACACAGTAATCTTTTTTTGTTACATAAACTGCTTCCTGTCACAAGTAAAAATATATGAAACTCCTTTTATTATAATCTGCCTTAAGCAAACTGAGAAAGTACTGGGTCTATATTTTGCCTCCTTATTTTAGCAGTTCAATAAAAATAATAATCTGTTGTCCAAGCCCCAACATCATTCAAAAAAAGGAAAAATGTTTCCTATCAGAGAAATTTAGAAATGATTAAGCTATCTTTCAAACTGAAAGCCGCCATCAAAACGGTAATTATAATTTTAAAACAATTTTTCTTTTTTTTTTTTGAGATGGAGTCTTGTTCTGTCACCCAGGCTGGAGTACAGTGGCATTATCTCGGCCCACTGCAACCTCCCTATCCCGGGTTCAAGTGATTCTCCTGCCTCAGCCTCCCCAGTAGCTGGGATTACAGGTGTGTGCCACCACGCCCAGCTAATTTTTGTATTTTTAGTAGAGATGGGGGTTCTGCCATGTTGCCCAGGCTGGTCTTGAATTTCTGGCCTTAACTGATCCACCCGCCTCAGCCTCCCAAAGTGCTATGATTACAGGCATGAGCCGCCACACCCGGCCACATTTTCTTTTTTTTAATAACAATCCATTTATGGTGGGAGGAAGAACCGACAATTAGGAATAAGAAGCTGAAGGTTCTACTCTCATGTGTGCTACTATTTTCTCATGATCTTAGGCAAATCAGCTAAGTACGTGCAGAATCAATTTCCTCATTTATAAAACAAATTATAATCAATGCCAGTTATCACAACATGCCTATAGTTCTATGTATATAAATGCTTTGTAAATGGCATTAAATGGTACAAAAATGTAACTATCAGGGAAGAAAACAAACAGTTTAAATTATAACTTTTTTTTTACAACTATTTTGGAAGAGTACTTAAGGTAAACAATCATTCAACAAAATATTTATTGAGCACCTACAATGAGTCTTGCTCTGTTGCCCAGGCTGGAGTGCAGTGGTGCAATCTCAGCTCACTGCAACCTCTGCCTCCCGGGTTCAAGCAAATTCTTATGCCTCAGCCTCCTAAAAAGCTGGAATTACGCCCAGCTAATTTTTGTGTTTTTTTGTAGAGATGGGGTTTTGCCACATTGGCCAGGCTGGTCTCGAACTCCTGGCCTCGAGTGATGTGTCTGCCTTGGCCTCCCAAAGTGCTGGAATTATAGGCATGGGCCACCGTGCCCAGCCTGAAAACAGAAACTTTTTAAATGCTTTTTTTTTTTTGGTAAATTACTTCTTCCATGATTAGAGGGACTATCTTCAAAGTAGTACAAATATTTCGTAAATAATATCTGACCATTTTCTAACCAATTGAGTAATTTGTTGCACAATAAGCCATCTCACATCTTTCAGCAAGAAATACATTAAATTTGAATAGTAAAGACATTACACAATTAGGCTTAGGACAAAATTAAAATTTGCCTGAAGTATTTCTTTGGGGGAGAGGACACCACACTTCTACTCAAGGAAGAGAAACATTTTTACAGTCCAGAGGTCTTTTATTTTTATCTTTATTTTTTATTTTTTTGAGATGGAGTCTCGCTCTGTCGCCCAGGCTGGAGTGCAGTGGCACAATCTCTACTCACTGCAAGCTCCACTTCCCAGGTTCACGCCATTCTCCTGCCTCAGCCTCCCAAGTAGCTGAGACTACAGGTGCCCACCACCACACACAGCTAACTTTTTGTATTTTTAGTAGAGATGGGGTTTCACCACGTTAGCCAGGATGGTCTCGATCTCCTAACCTCATGATCTGCCCGCCTCGGCCTCCCAAAGTGCTGGGATTACAGGTGTGAGCCACCGCGCCTGGCTATTTTTTTTAAACACTATTATGCATGAATTCACAGAGAAGAGGTTCCAGCAGCTCAGACTTCTTTCCCTTGGTTTTCACACAGCGCGCTTCTCTGGGTGGAACAGGCTGGCACTTCAGCTAAATGCAGGTACCTTTCTCTTTGGCTTCCTTCTTTTTCTGATCATTTTCCTTCATGTGTTTCAGGAAGCTATCTCGGCTCTTAGAGTGCTTAATGTGCTCAATATGCACATTAATTCTCTTGGTAAGAATCTTGCCCTTGTTTGTTTACAACAATGCCATTAGCCACGCGTGGTGGCGTGCACCTGTAATCCCAGCCACTCAGTGGGGCTGAGGCAGGAGAATCGCTTGAACCTGGGAGGCGGAGGTTGCAGTGAGCCGAGATCACACCACTGCACTCCTGCCTGGGCGACAGAGCGAGACTCTGTCTCAAAAAAACAAAAACAAAAACAAAAACAAAAAAACAGCAATGCCAACAGCCTGCTGGGTAACACTGTAGACTCTTCCAGTTTAGCCACGGTAACACTTGTGGGGCATTCCTTTTTGAACAGTACCCATTCCCTTAATGTCTACAGTATCACCTCTCTTTTAGATTTGCATATACGTGGCCAAAGGAACAACTCCATGTTTTCTAAAAGACCTAGAAAACATCTATCGGGTATCTCTCCTCCTTTCCTTTGGATTAGTCATTTTGGCGAATTACTAGAAGATTGGTAGTTCAGGCCAAAAGGCAATGCTGACTATTCTTTATAAGAATACAAGATAATATATTCCCTCTATCAGTCTTGACAGTATAGTTGTACATTTTCAACTTACATAACATAAAAGCATACTTATTCTAAAAACATAAAAAAAAGGCTTCTTACCTTGAGGCGCCAAATGCTGTACATGTGAAATAAAGCTGTCTAGTTTCAAATGGTATTAGAAAAGGACATTTGCTGGTTAATTGTTCACACCAGTCTGGCAGAGCCCCACTTGCCAGTGCCAATGGTTCCTGCGAATTAACAAATAATAATGTCTTAGTGCTATAAGGCATTCATGCATGCATGCATTCATTCATTCGTTCATTTTTTTTTTTGAGACAGAGTCTCACTCTGTTGCCCAGGCTGGTGTGCAGTGGTACGATCTCGGCTCACTGCAGCCTCTGCCTCCTGGGTTCAAGCGATTCTCCTGCCCTAGCCACCCAAGTAGCTGGGATTATAGGCATGTGCCACCGTGCCCAGCTAATTTTTGTATTTTTAGTAGAGACTGGGTTTCGCCATATTGGCCAGGCTGGTCTCGAACTCCTAGCCTCTAACGATACACCCACCTTGGCCCCCAAAATGCTGGAATTACAGGCATGAGCCACCACACCTGACCCTATAAGGCAATTATTAAAAATTACCAAGTCAATTATAAACCTGTAATTAGGAAATAAATGCAAAGGACCATATAGCTCAAATTACCAATCAGAGGGAAGGGAAAGATGGTGAGAGGTAGAAAAGAAAGTAAAGGGAATATTAGGAAAAGTCCAACAGTAATAGAATGAAGAGTTCAGCTGTCTGATTTTATTACCTCAATCTGCTGTAATATTTTTGTTGTAATTTTTTTGCTAGTGAATTCATCTGGTGGAAAAGTAAACTGAGGCTGTTCATCACCATCTATAAAATTAATTAATAAAATTAATAAAAATATAAACTGACTTGCTTTAAAACTGCTATAGAAATGAAACAAGGCTTCTTACAGACCTTCCTGGGATATTCTTGAATAAGGGTCACTTGCAACTATATATAGAATACGCAGAAGCTGAAGGACATCTTCTACTCCACAAGAGTTCTGTCCATTGCCTGCTTTGGCCTGAGGTTGTTCTTTTGTTAAATTAAGAATATCACTACTTTGAAGAGTAGAAATGGCCCCCTGGTTTAACCCAGACTTTGTTCCATGCTCACAAAAATCCTATAGAAACAATTAGAAAAACTGGCCATTAATCACATTTTCAAGAAAAACAGTGTATCATTGTATCAATACCACTATGAAAGGGTTGGAATTTTTTAAAGTGCCTTCTTTTTAAATAAAAACATAACACAAGACATAAATCAAGGCATTCTAAACCATTAAAATTCCCAAATAAAATATAACCACTCTAAGCCATGGTCAAAGTCTGCATTCAGATCCAATGCTACCAGCCATATTTGAAATTTTAGAATTTGTGCATTAACAGTGTTAATTCAACCTCATTTTTAAAATTATGTCTCAATGAACTGCTGTTCCTTAAGAAGCTTCCAAAGCTGCAAAACAAAGCACGAAGCCATTTGCAATCAAAATAGTGTTTTGATGCCAATATATACCTTATATGCAGCTATGAGCTGAGAACAATTTCTGTTTTTCCTAATACTTTTATTAGTGCCAGTTAATTTCCAGTGGCGCAGGAAAGCAGCGTCTGCATTCTTCTGCAGGTAGGTTATCAAGTCATTCTTTGGTAATTCATCAGTGCCAAGGTACTGCTCCACATGCTCTATAGACCAGCAACCCTACAACAGGAAAAACCAAATGTTGGCCTTTCCCAATTATAAAGTCTATGATATTTCACATGCATTACATGAGGTAGCTTTAAGATCATGCACTTGGTCTAATCTAAAGAATTCCATGTTAGTCATTATTCCCTTCAACGTTCAACTGCAATACTGTGTTAGTTTTACTATCTTTCTTCTTTTAACTAAATAGCCAAGAGTAAACCAATGTTCTAAAATAACTTACCATTTTTCCATTTTCCTTTTCTTTATCAGAATCCTTCATTTCTCTGTACATGATTCTAAACATGAAGATATTCAAGTTAATTCATATATAATTTGTGATTATTTCCAATAAGGCTTCAATTCTTTAAAAAAAAAAGTGAATGTCATTCACTAGACATATGCCTGCACTGAACACTGAACTCAAGGAGGATTCTTTTTTTCTATATTTTTTGTAGAGATAAGGTTTTGCTATGTTGTCCAGGCTAGTTTCAAACTCCTGGTTTCAAGCGATGCTCCTGCCTTGGCCTCCCAAAGTGCTGGGATTAAGGTGTGTCACGACACCCAGCCTCAAGGAGTATTTTTAAGAAAAAATGTTAATTTGTTAAACATAAGGCAAAGTAGCAGAAACCATATTCCTGAATTATGATTTATAAATTTATCATTATTACAAAGAAAGCATGTATCAAATCTAGAACTTTTAAAGATATGACTGTATCAAGTGTTATGCAGCATTAGGTGATCTGGTGGTTGTGAAACATCACTGAGTACATTACACAAAACAAAATGGTATAGCCTACTATCTACGTAGGCTATGTGTTATAGCCTATTTTTCCTAGGCCACGAACCTTAACAGCATATCACTGTACTGAATAGGCAACTGTAACACAATGGTATTTGTGTATCTAAACATAAAAAAGGTACAGTAAAAATGTGGTTTTATAATCTTATGGGACCCCTGTCATACATGGTCCATCACTGACTGAAAAGTTGTTACATAGCACATGGCTATAACTGTTGTAAAAATACAATGGGATAAGAAACAGGTTCTCTGTGTCTAGATGGAAAGAAGGATAGAAATAACAATGATCAGGAGTGCTTATGTTCAAATAAGGCAGTTGAGATCAATTTTTAAACTGTAATAAAAATTGAAGGGAGGTTTTCCTAGCTCTTGGGAACTTGGGGAAAAAAAACTGAAGGGCGGGAGAATACCGTTATGATTTTCTGTTCTATTTCAAAAGGACCTACATTACTTTTATTGGCCATTACATAAGATTATCAGTGATGTTAAGAGAACATCAGAAAACATACTAATAGAAGTGAAGTTACAGTAAGAATGATGATATAATTTATTATTATTAAATAACAATTACTTTATAGATAACATTTACTGAGCACTTAATATATCCTAGGGGGTATTGAAAACACTTTGCAGGCCAAGCACAGAGGCTCAACACCTGTAATCCCAGCACTTTGGGAGGCTGAGGTGGACGGATCACTTGAGCTCAGAAGTTCGACACCAGCATGGGCAACATGGTAAAAACCCCATCCCTACAAAAAATACAAAAATTAGCTAGGCCTCGTGGTGCACACCTGTAGTCCCAGCTACTCAGGGGACTGAGGTGGGAAAATCACCTGAGCCTGTGGAGTTTGAGGCTGCAGTGAGCCATGATCGCACCACTGCACTCCACTGCACTCCATCCTGGGCAACAGAGAGAGACCTTGTCTCAGAAAAAAAGAAAAGTAAAGAAAACACTTTATACATGTTAATTCATTAATTCCTTAAAACCACTCTCATTTTATAGATTAGGAATGTGAGGCACAAAAATGTTAAATAAATTTACCCTAAGTCATTGATGATTATTTGTACAAAGAAAGGCAGGTGTTAACCCACACACCCCCAAAATCAAGAACAGAAAGAAGATAGTTAGTACTCATACACGATCTTAGACAAAGAATTCAAATGACGCTCTTTTCAACAATTACGTAAGAAGCTAGTATAGACTGTAAATGTCCTTCTACTTCTAAAACTTAATCATTCTACACCAAGAGTCCCAAACACTATTATCTGTTCCTGTAAGCCAACAGAATAAAAACAAAATCTTTTCTGTTCCTATAATCCAAAATAAATGCAATGCTTCTTGGCTCTACACTAGGACATTATCTACCAAAACATTAAGTTAAAATTTCTTACGTGTATGTGGGCTCCCAAATACGCCTAAGTTTATCTGATTTCACATTGCCATTACAGGACAATTGAAGCAATTTTTGTACATAGTAAAAGATGGTTGATCTGAAATTGGTGAGTGGTAATTCAACTTCACGAGTCGTTCCAAGACCTGTTACTTTCAAAGTGAGAGCTAATCGAGGTGACGGAGTACATTCGACTTCTTCCAAGAGCTCTGAATGAGGGGTCCCTAAAAATTTGGAAGATGGGTGAAAAACAATTATACTAAAACAAGCAGTCCAAGAAAGGCCACTACACTAGGAAACAAGGCTACATGAAATCCAAACCTCTCTGCCATATATTAGCTAAAGGATGTCAGCTACTTAAGACTCTCTAGGCGTCGACATTTTTGCTTTCTGTTTCTTTTTTTTTCTTTTTTTGAGATGGAGTCTTGCTCTGTTGCCCAGGCTGGAGTGCAGTGGCGTGATCTCAGCTCACTGCAACCTCCGCCTCCCAGGTTCAAGCAATTCTCCTTCGTCAGCCTCCCGAGTAGCTGGGATTATAGGTGCCCAACACCACATCTGGATAATTTTTGTATTTTTAGTAGAGACGGCAGGTTTCACCATGTTGGCTAGGCTGGTCTCAAACTCCTGATCTCAAGTGATCTGCCCGTCTCAGACTCCTGAAGTGCTGGGATTACTACAGGCATGAGCCACTGCACCCAGCCTGTTTTCTGTTTCTTTTGTAATGGAAATAATTACACCTACGTTACTGAAAGAGTGCTAGAACAGAATACATGTGTATGATAGAGAGCTCTCTCATTTTTACATGAAAATAATACTAACTGTATGAATACTTCGGAAACATTTTAATTTTATAAATGAGGCCAGGAGCAGTGGCTCATGTCTGTAATCCCAACACTTTGGGAGGCCGAGGCGGGTAGATCACTTGAGGTCAGGAGTTGAGACCAGCCTGGGTAACACAGTGAACCCCGTCTCTACCAAAAATGCAAAAATTAGCTGGACATGATGATGCCCGCCTGTAGTCCCAGCTACTCAGGAGGTTGAGGCAGGAGAATCACTTGAACCTGGGAGTGGAGGTTGCAGTGAGCCGAGATCACACCACTGCACTCCAGCCTGGGTGACAGAACGAGACTCCATCTCAAAAAAAAATTTTTTTTATAAATGAGAAAACTAAAAGTATCCATACTCAGAGAAAACCACATATTCTGGGCCAATGACGTGTCAACCTTTTATCACACTGAATAACTGCATCATGAGGTAAACACATATACACACACACATATAATTAGTTTCATAATGTATTTGGAGAATGCTCTCATTTTTTATTAGCTCATGAATGTTTTCTTCATTATCATGATCGTCTTCTAAAATATTATTTCTTTCACTGCACAATATCCCACTGTACCTAAACAGAGGCATATCCCAGTTACTGGACATAATTAAGGTCATTTCCAATTTTTTGAAAATATAAATACTTCTACAGTCACCTATGTGTACAAAACGGGGTACAGAGCTAATATTTAAAATTACCAATGGCAACAACACTTTGTCAGAAGATACAAAATATACTGGCAGAGAGCTCTACAAAAAGTTTGTGCCTATTTATACTCTCTAGAATGTGTTTTCCTTTTTTATAATTCATTTTTTTTCTCTGAGATCCAAAGAAACAAGATTTTCCTTTTTGAAGGGACCTTAGAACACCTTGATTCAGTCTATCTATCCTCCCCAAAGAACATTTATACAACCGAGTATACTTACTTTCATATTTAATACAGGTGTCTTTTTTTGTTCGAGACAGAGTCTCACTCTGTCACCTAGGCTGGAGTGCAGTGGTGTGATCTTGGCTCACTGCAACCTCTGCCTCCCGGGTTCAAGCAATTTCTCCTGCCTCAGCCTCCTGAGTAGCTGGGATTACAGGCGCGCACCACCAAGCCTGGCTAATTTTTGTATTTTTAAGTAGAGACGGGATTTCACCATGTCGGTCAGGCTGGTCTTGAACTCCTGACCTTGTGATCCACTCGCCTCAGCCTCCCAAAGTGCTGGGATTACAGGCGTGAGCCACCGTGCCCAGCCTAATACTATCAGGCTAAAAAATACACTCCTCACTTAATCAACAATTTAAATCTTTGTTAAGGATAATTTACTGATTATAATAGCTGACATTTATTGAGACACACATCAGGCAGCATGCTAAGCACTTCACATACCTTACTTCATTTAAGCTTTTTAACTACCTTGTCAAACAGGGACCTTTATTCTCTCATGTAAGAGATGAAGAAATTCAAGCTTGGATAGTTTTGGTGACTTGCCCAATATATCAGTTTCCTACTGCTGCTATAAAATATTACCACAAATTGGGTGGTTTAAAATAACACAAACTTGCCAGGCACGGTGGCTCACGCCTGTAATCCCAGCACTTTGGGAGGCCAAGGTGGGTAGATCACTTGAGGTCAGGAGTTCGAGACCAGCCTGGCCAATGTGGTGAAACCCCGTCTCTACTAAAAATACAAAAATGAGCTGGGCATGGTGGTGCATGCCTGTAATCTCAGCTACTCAGGAGGCGGAGGCAGGAGAATTGTTTGAACCTGGGAGGCGGAGGGTGCAGTGAGCCGAGGCTGTGCCACTGCACTCCAGCCTGGGTGACAAAACAAGACTCCATCTCAAGGGAAAAAAAAAAAAAAAAAAAAAAAAAAAACTACCACAAATTTATTATCTCATAGTTCTAGAGGTCGAATGCCTAAAATGGATTTGCAGGGCTTCATTCTTTCTAGAGGCTCTAGAGAAGAATCTGTTTCCTTGCCTTTTCTAGCATCTAGGAGCTGCCCACATTCCTTGGCTCACTGCTCGTCGTCACTCTGACTCCTGTTTCCTTAGTCACATGTTCTTCTCTGTCTCCTGCCTCTTGTGATTACACTGTGTCCACTTGGATGATCCAGGATTATCTCCCCTTCTCAAGATCCCTAATTACATCTCCAAAGTCTCTTTGGTCTGCTTTGATAATATATCATAAGTTCCAGAGGTTAGAACCTGATTTTGGGGAGAAATTAGTATGCCTACCACAATCTAAAATAGAGTTTTGTAAGGGATAAGGTTGTCACCCAGGCCAACTGACTCTAGAGGGCATGACTGTAACCACTGGATAGCCTTTCAAAACTGAGAGGAATAAATCCTTAGAAATTTTGATCCAGTAGAAAATACAGTAAAAATTTCCCACCTTTAAATGGGACTTTGCCTTAAAAATTGCACAAATACAAAACACATGTTGGTTTTTAAAATTTGAAATAATTTGTAATTTGCTCCTTTAAAAAAACCTTTACTTTTTAAAGAATTTGTGGCTGACTAAAAAAATTTTTTATAACCTGCATACACAAAACTAAAAAAAAATTTTTAATAACGTGCATACAAAAGCAACACCCTACTTTTCATATCTGATTTAGTATGTATTAAAATTAAATCACAAAACCAAAACATTCTGTACCTGGGGGTGGTATTTCTAGATCAGTTGTCTGCTGGACATTAGTACGACCAGGTCTAGGATCAAAAGCAGGAACCAATGCAGAAAACTGTCTCTTTAGCACATAATCATCATCCCATGTTCTCCGGCGTCCTCCTTTAGTTTCGTACTCTTCTTCTTCCTATCAAAATAAAATTTCACACACAAACATAATAAGATGCAAAATTTCATTGTTGCAAAAGCAATGTGTTATTTAGAACTACTGCATTTCCTTAGCCATATTTCTTAAACCCAAAATGAGCTAACCTAAACATGTATAGATACATACATTTCTTCATCATTTCAGTTTACCCAAAGTAAGTTGCATCAGTGATGGTTATACAAATCTACACATTTCACCAAATGATAACCATTCATGGCCAGACATGGTGGCTGAAGCCTGTAATCCCAGCACTTTGGGAGGCTGAGGCAGGCGAATCACAAGGTCAGGAGTTCGAGACCAGCCTGGCCAACATGGTGAAACCCCATCTCTACTAAAAATACAAAAAATTAGCTGGGCATAGTGGCAGGCGCCTGTAATCCCAGCTACTCGGGAGGCTGAGGCAGGAGAATCGCTTGAACCTGGGAGGCGGAGGTTGCAGTGAGCCGAGATCGTGCCACTACACTCTGTACTCCACCCCGGGAGACAGAGTGAGGCTCTGTCTCAAAAAAAATAAAAAGATAACCATTCACAAACATCCTCAATTTCCTGGCTTTGTTACTATACTAAAATTAGGTAATATGAAACTAGCCAATGGCAAAAATTAGGTAAAGGGCACATAAGACCTCTCTGGAGTATTTTCGCAACCTCCTATGAACCTATAATTATTTTAAAATAAGTTGGTTTTTAAAACGTAAATTACATTTTGTACTGAATTACTTATATACCAAATAAAATGCTGGGGAGTTGCTTTAAATTACTATGAGGCAGACAGCATGTAAGTACACACGTGCACATCCACAGTTTGGTTTAAACACTTAACTGAAACAAACTGACATTTGACAGCTCTGGTTTCAGAATGTTTGGGTTTGCATCCTGGAACCAAAACTACTATTACATGTATGACTTTTAGCAATTACTTCATCTGAAAATTAGGGCTAACAATAACCCTAAAAAGGTTGTTTTGTTGGAAAGAATTAGTTAATATACATAAAGTATTAAGAACTATGCTGGCAAGGCACAGTGGCTCATGCCAAGGCAGGCAGATTGCTTGAGCCCAAGAGTTCAAGAACAGCCTGGGCAATGAAGCGAAATCCTGTCTCAAAAACAAAAACAACTCTAGCACTTAGTTAGTGATCATTAAGCGTTAGCTATTAATAAACTACTACTGCTGCATCTACTACCACTTCTACTACTACTAAAACTACAAATCTTAGATACCATATATTAACCATTTTAATGTATGTTTACTATTACCCAAAGCAACGTAAAGGGGTTTCAAGCATTAAACTCCTGCATGCATTATGTCACAGCAATCATGGATTCTATATAGAATATGAAACCCAACCAGTAGGGGAAGTTTCTTTGTGTAACTGTTTGGTAGCTCCCTCCTCTCACCCCTTCCACACTGCACATTTTTGTAGGCATTTAGGTTGGTGCTTTACTATAAAAGGGAAAAATATACATATGGTAGGGAAGATAAACATGAAGATATTACCTGCTCCCCAATAGGTCGGCTCCCTGCTCCAGCAGGTACCTGTGGTAGCTGCGAGGTAACAGCATGATGCGTTACATCAGAGCGGGAGCCAGCTCGACGTTGCAGGGATGGGCGTCTCAGAATCTAAAATAAAACAATCCCAAGAGATACATGTCTAATTATTTGACCCATATATGCCCCCTTTCAGCCATGACCTGAATATATTAACCCCTATTAACAAAAGTGTCACTGAAAACTTTTTCATTAGCCAACTTCAGAAAAGTTATGAGTTCAATGTTTTAAATTCATCATGCATTTTATACTAACCTCCTTCATAAGAAGTATTGTGTTTTCTTAGCAACCATATACTAAAAGCATTTTTTAAATTTCTTTACTCCATTAAAACTCAACTTATCAATTTTTTTGAAATCTAGTAACATTTTATAAAGAGAAATTTTAAATTTACAGTTAGTTACAATAAAGGGTATTTTTTAGGCACAATTTTCAGTTAGAAGACAATCCTAGTGGTTAAATATTGAGAGTTCTGGATCACATTGCCTATGCTTGGGTCCTCACTCTTCCACTTAACTCTGATGATAAGGGCAAATTTTTTTTTTTTATGCCTCTACTTCATTCCTTCATGTGACAACTAATGAAAAAACAGATGGACCCTGCTTGCAAAACCATAGGTACTAAAAAACAAACTCCAGGGCCACTTCAGCCTCTTGAGTAGCTGGGATTACAAGCACAAGCCACTGCACTGGGTAAGTTCATACACTGTGTGTGTGCTTGGGTGTGTGTGTGTCAGGGTCTCATTCTGTGGCTCAGGCTGGAAAGCAGTGATGCAATTATAGCTAACTGCAGCACGAGCCACTGCACTGGCTAAGTTCATACACACACACGTGTGTGTGTGTGTGTGTGTGTGAGATTCTGTGGCTCAGGCTGGAGTGCAGTGACACAATTATAGCTCACTGCAGCATGAGCCACTGCACTGGCTAAGTTCGTGTGTGTGCGCGCATGTGTGTGTGTGTGTGTGTGTCATTCTGTGGCTCAGGTTGGAGTGCAGTGATGCAATTATAGCTCATGGCAGCACGAGCCACTGCACTAAGTTCATACACGTGTGTACGTGTGTGTGTGTTTGTGTCATTCTGTGGCTCAGGCTGGAGTGCAGTGATGCAATTATAGCTCACTGCAGCCTGCAACTCCTGGACCCAAGTGATTTTTTACCTCAGCCTCCCAAGTAGCCAGGACTACAAATGTCAAAGTGTGGGACTACAGGGCATGAGCCCTATACCCAGCCTAATTTCACACCCTTTTAAGCCTGTTAAAACATCATGTGACATTCTAAAATTTTTCAAATATAAGCAACTTATTTTCTTTAAGTGGAGAATCATAAATGCTCAGATTAAAACTGCTTTTCTTAATTAACTACATTTTTTATACTGGTGCCACATTTCCTTGCTTCAAAGTTTGATTATGACTTAGCTTTTCCTTTCTTCATTTCAATTATTAACATCCTATCTTTGTAAAGAGAATGGGGTACTCTCTCTACCATAACCTCCTCGTATTCTTGGTCCTCCTGATTGTCATCTTCATTCTCATCATCTTCTTCATCTGGCTCAGGTAAGTCCTCATCATCATCGAGCTCAGCCAATAGAGTACTGGCACGGCAGCTATCAAGGAAATCTTGAAAACAAAACCCACAACCTTATGTCAACACAATTAAGAAAGCATAACAAAGGAACTTTGCATTTTAGGTTTTTACAAAACAAAAGTAAAATTCAAAAGGGACAACTGTTGCGTTCTGCCACCACATACAAGATGAGCACAGACACAAGCATGACAAAAACAAGTGATAAAGGACAACCATAAACTAAACCTGAATTACAAAATCATAATATAAATGGATAACCATGTGGGGCTATTTAAAAAACAATAACCAAAAAAACAAACCTTTACAACATGTAAAAGATCTTACGAGGAAAAACAGAATTAAGTCAATCAGTGAAAAACGGGGCTTAGATATGTGACCTGGTAGGTTACTTAAAAACAATGACTACTTAAGATAATGCCTATTTACTACGGAATAATGTATGTGGCATCTTTCATGTTATCCATATTATCTAGCACATAAGGAAGTTCAAAACAACTTGCATCATTTTTATCTCCTTCCTTCTTATAATCTCTTGCCTTCGATGGAGACTGGGTCAAATTACATTGTCCTGCATAAATGAAGATGCTGACAAACTGTTCTTCATAAAAACTGAAAAAAAGAGGACTAAAGGGATTATAACAGAAGTTTTTACTGGATCTGGAAAAAATAGTAAAATATAATATCAGAATTGCACAAAGGATAGAAAACAAAATACTTTATATTCCTGAAGAACATCCAGAAGACAATTTATAATTGCTCAGAAACTTACACCTGCAGACCACTGAACCAAATGGTTTTTAGTCCAATAATTACACAGGACTAAATATTCAGTGCCTTTTACTGGATGGCCAGTAGAAGAGGCCTGCCATTATATTTCATTAGTTTCTAAGGGTCCACATTTTTTTGCTGTTATCAACTTTCTCAGGTTGAAAGGTCTACATTTTTAAAACATTGTAATGCTTTGAAATCGGAATGTATCTTACAAACAATGGCAAGTCAGAATTAAATTGCAACATTTTTAACCTTAGTAACAGAAAAAAAATGGTGTGTCTTAACACTCAACAGCATCTTAAATTTGATAAAATATGTTACCCTTTAACACTTGTAAGGAGCCACCTGCAATTTAGGAACTGGTTGTGATTAACATGATGTGGTGGTACACAAAATAAACCAGTTCCACTTTGATTTGTCTTTTAAAGAACATAATCTAACTTCATATATTGAAATTCTATCTCCGGTATGTTACAACTGACTGATGTCCCTTTTTTTTTCTCATCTTCCCTTTTTTACCAGCATTAAAAAGCTCTGTATTTCACAGATTTGACCACATCATAGAATAAAATGTCTCTTCAAAACACAACATGGTATAGTATTCGTGCCTGCGGTAAGAGAAAAACCACAAAACACAGTAAAAGCTTGCACAGCATACACAAATGGTATAAACTGATGTTACTCTGATCCTTCACCCCAGCAGTCTTAAAGTATCTACCAGCTTTAAGAATATAAAAAAGAAAATCTTCTATCATATGTTCTCACTTATAAGTAGGAGCTAAACCTTGGGTACACATGGACATCAAGATGGGAACAGTAGACACTAGCGACTCCAAAAGGAGTGCAAGAGTGGGCAAGGGCTGAAAACTTCCTATTGGGTACTATGTTCACCATTTGAGTGATAAGATCAATAGAAGTCCAAATCTCAGCATCACACAATATACCCCTGTGACAAACCTGCACATATATCCCCTGAATCTAAAATAAAAATTATATTAATTTTTTTCATCATCTAACAATAAATTTTTTTTTTTTTTTTGAGATGGAGTCTCGCTCTGTCACCCAGGCTGGAGTGCAATGGCACAATCTTGGCTCACTGTAACCTACACCTCCCGGGTTAAAGAGATTCTCCTGCCTCAGCCTCCTGAGAAGCTGGGACTACAGGGATCCGCCACCACACCCGGTTAGTTTTTGTATTTTTTAGTAGAGACAGGTTTCGCCATATTGGCCAGGCTAGTCTCGAACTCCTGACCTTGTGATCTGCCCACCTTGGCCTCCCAAAATGCTGGGATTATAGGCGTGAGCCACTGTGCCCGGCCAACAATAAATTTTTTTAAGGCTAGTCAAACCTAACAACAAAATTTAAAAGTCAATCAGTAGTTCTAACTTTTTTTTTTTTTTTTTTGAGACAGAGTCTTGCCCTGTTGCCCAGGCTAGAATGCAAATGGCACAATCGTGGCTCAATGCAACCTCCGCCTCCCAGGTTCAAAAGATTCTGGTGCCTTAGCCTCCTATGCAGTTAGGACTGCAGGAGTGGGCCACCACACCTGGCTAATTTTTTGTACTTTAGTAAAGAGGGTTTTACCATGTTGCCCAGGCTGGTCTCACACTCCTGACCTCAGGCAATCTGCCCGCTTCAGCCTCTCAAAGAGCTAGGATTACAGGCGTGAGCCACAGCGCCCGGCCAGTTCACTCTTTCCTACCCACAATCATCTTCAACTTCCCATGACCAAGAACTAATGCTTGAAGTTAACATAATAACAAATCAGTAGAGAGGGGCACAGGGCCACCATGAGAAATAATAAATCAGAAAACACCTTATGCAATGAATTTATAACACTTTGGTGTAATCATCATCATTTTGCTACACACACGTTTAATAAGCAGAAACAGAAATATAATGACTCTCTTAAAACTATGGAACATCATATCAAATTCTTGCTATGAATTAGGAGAGGCTATATTCTCACAAAAAGGAAGAAAACATGAAAATGGGCTATACACAAAATAGCACCTTAAAAATGTATCTTCACATAAACTTTGTCTTTAAAATTACTCCCAATTTTTTTTTTTTAAAGAAAAACAGGCAGTATGATCAAGGATATATGGTAAAGGGTATTCCAAAACAATTGGGATGGAGTGCAATGTTTTTGGAAAGCAATTCAATAATTATTACTTTAAGCATTTATCCTAAGGAAGTATATTAAAATACAGTTCAAGAAAGCTCATTCATAATGATGTTTATGGTAATGGAAAAGTTCTAACTTAAATATACAAAATTGATAATAATATTAAATGATGATCATACAGTGAAATATTTGGCAGTCATTTCAAATGTTATAGAAACCCATGCAACATATGTGAAAATATTTTCACAATGTATTGAGTGAAAACAGCTGGCGGAAAAGGATATAATCCTTTTATGTTAAAAAAACAAAAACATACATCAAATGATGTACATCAAAGCTGGTTGTCTGGTAGGTGGGGACTAGATGATTTTAATTTTCTTCTAGTTTCTATACAGAGCATTACTTTTCTAATAAGATGAAATAAAAGAAATAGAAACACAGATTCTATCTTAACTGAATCAAATACATCCCTTTGATTATAGCATGGAAGCCATAAGGCTGTTACTGAACTTTCCAAATAAAATTTAATTTGCAAGAATCATGCATTACCTAACTAAGGAATTACTTCCAAAAGACTGTGATAACAGCATACAAGGAATATCATTTTACAAAGCTTATGAATCTATTACACTTCTTCTCTTAGTGATAAGAGTGTCAAATAGCTTTATGGTTCTTCCATTAAAACTTCTTTTGTGACAAAATACAAAAAAAAATGACATATAAAGTTCCTAGATCTACTTCATGTATAATCAGATAATTGCAATTTAAAAAAAAATATTTTTTCAGAGATAGGGTCTAGCCCTGTCACTGAGGTTGGAGTGCAGTGGCATGATCACAGCTCACTGGGGCCTTGAACTTCAGGGCTCAAGTAACCCTCTCACCTCAGCCTTCTCAGTAGCATGACATCACACCTGGCTAATTTTGGGGATGTAGGGGTGGTAAAGATGGG